>NC_000002.12:1222121-1525151 GCF_000001405.40 Homo sapiens | reverse complement strand
ACACAGTGAGGGTGATTTGGGGAGGTTGCACACAGTTTGGGGATTTGAGCAGGTTGCACACAGTAGGGGGATTTGGGGGGGTTGCACACAGTGGGAGGGATAGGGGGAGGTTGCACAGAGTTGGGGGATTTGGCGAGGTTGCTCAGAGTTGGGTGGATTTGGGGAGGTTGCACACACTGGGGGGATTTGGGGAGGTTGCACAGAGTCGGGATTTGAGGAGGTTGCACACAGCGGGGGAGATTTGAGGAGGTTGTACAGTGCGGGCAATTTGAGGAGGTTACATCACAGTGGGGGGATTTGGGGAGGTTGCTCAGAATGTGGGGATTTGGGGAAGTGGCACACAGTTGGGGGATTTGAGGAGGCTGCTCATAGTGGGGCGATTTGGGGAGGTTGCTCACAGTGAGTAGAGTTGTAAAGGTTGCACACACTGGGGGGAATGTGGGGAGTTTGCACACAGTGGGGGGATTTGGGGAGGTTGCCCACAGTGGGGGGATTTGAGGAGGTTGCAGGCAGTAGGGGGATTTGAGGAGGTTGCACACAGTGAGCGGATTTGAGGAGGTTACACACAGTAGGGGGATTGGGGGGGTTGCACACAGTGGGGGACCTGAGGTTGCACACAGTGGGTGGGATTTGGGGAGGCTGCACACAGTGGGAGGATTTGAGGAGGTTGCACACAGTGGGTGGGATTTGGGGGGTTGCACACAGTGGGGGGATTTGGGGGGGTTGCACACAATGGGAGGGAAAGTTGGAGGTTGCACAGAGTGGGGGGGATTTGGGGAGGTTGAACAGAGTGGAGGGATTTGGGGAGGTTGCTTACAGTAGGGGGATTTGGGGTGGTTGCACACAGTGTGGGGATTTGAGGAGGTTGCTCACTGTGAGGAGATTTGAGGAGGTTGCACACAGTGGGGGGATTTGAGGAGGTTGCACACAGTGGGGTGGATTTGAGGAGGTTGCACACAGGATGGGGATTTGAGGAGGTTGCACACAGTTTGGGGGATTTTGGGAGGTTGCACAGAGTTGGGGGTATTTGGGGAGGTTGCACGGAGTGGGGGGAATTTGGTGAGGTTGCACACAGTGGCAGGATTTGGTGTTGTTGCCCACAATGGGGGGGATTTGGGAAGGTTGCACAGAGTGGGGGGGATTTGGTGAGTTTGCAGAGAGTAGGGGGGATTTGGGGAAGTTGCACAGAGTGGGGGGATTTGGGAAGGTTGCACACAGTAGGGGGGATTTGGGGAGGTTGATTACAGTTGGGGGGATTTAAGCAAGTTGTACACACTGGGGGGATTTGGGGAGCTCACACACAGTTGGGGGGATTTGAGGAGTTTGCTCACAGTGGGGGGATTTGGGGAGGTTGCACACAGTGAGGGGATTAGAAGAGGTTGCACACAGTGGCGGTATTTGGGGGGGTTGCACACAGTGGGGGACCTGAGGAGGTTGCACACAGTGGGGGGGATTTGGGGAGGCTGCACACAGTGGGGTGATTCGAGGAGGTTGAACACAGTGGGGGGTGATTTGAGGAGGTTGCTCACAGTAGGGGGATTTGAGGAGTTTGCACACAGTGTGGGGGATTTGGGGAGGTTGCACAGAGTGGTGGGGATTTGGGGAGGTTGCTCAGAGTGGGGGGGATTTGGGGAGGTTGCATAGAGTCGGGGGGATTTGGGGAGTTTGCATAGAGTGGGAGGGAACTGAGGAGGTTGCACACAGTGGGGGTAATTTGGGGAGGTTGCACAGAGTGGGAGGGATTTGGGGTGTTTGCACACAATGGGAGGTATTTGGGGAGGTTGAACACAGTGGGGGGATTTAGGGAAGTTGCACACAGTGGGGGGATTTGGGGAGGTTGCTCACAGTGGGGGGATTTGGGGAGGTTGCTCACAGTGGGGGGATTTGGGGAGGTTTTACACAGTGGGGGGATTTGGGGAGGTTGCTCAAAGTGGGGGGATTTGGGAGGTTGCAAACAGTTGGGGGGATTTGAGGAGGTTGCACACAGTGTGGGGGATTTTGGGAGGATGCACAGGGTGGGGCGGATTTGGGGAGGTTGCACAGAGTGCGCAGGATTTGGGGAGGTTGCACACAGTGTCGGGATTTGGTGAGGTTGCACACAGTTGGGGAGATTTGGGGAGGTTGCACAGAGTTGGGGGGATCTGGGGAGTTTGCACAGCGTGGGAGGGATCTGAGGAGGTTGCACACAGTGGGGGGAATTTGGGGAGGTTACACAGAGTGGAGGGGATTTGAGGAAGTTGCACACAGTGGGGGGATTTGAGGAGGTTTCACACAGTGGTGGGATTTGAGGAGGTTGCACCCAGTGGGGGGATTTGGGGTTTTGCTCACAGTGGGGGAGATTTGGGGGGTTGCACACAGTGGTGGGATTTGAGGAGGTTGCACACAGTGGGGGGATTTGAGGACCTTGCATACAGTGGGGGTTTGGGGAGGTTGCAGACAGTGGGTGGTGTTTGGGTGTAGCCTTTGCGATGTGTCAGACTTGAACATTCGAAGCCAGGTTGAGATGATAAGGAGGGAGTATTCTATGGAGAGATTGAGGCTTGAATAAAAGCCAAGAAGTGGGAATGGCTGGGCATCACACGGTGGCAGGGCCTGTGTGAGGTAGATGGTCTGGGGGCAGGAGAGGGAGACAGATCAGAGAGACTGTGAGGGCACGGTGGCGGGCCGGTGTGGGGTAGAGAGTCTGTGAGGGCACGGTGGCAGGCAGGTGTGGGGAAGAGAGACTGCGAGGGCACGGTGGCAGGCAGGTGTGGGGTAGAGAGACTGTGAGGGCACGGTGGCGGGCCGGTGTGGGGTAGAGAGTCTGTGAGGGCACGGTGGCAGGCAGGTGTGGGGTAGAGAGACTGTGAGGGCAAGGTGGCAGGGCCGGTGTGGGGTAGAGAGACTGTGAGGGCACGGTGGCGGGCAGGTGTGGGGTAGAGAGACTGTGAGGGCACGGTGGCGGGCCGGTGTGGGGTAGAGAGACTGCCAGGGCATGGTAGCAGGGCCAGTGTGGGGTAGAGACTGTAAGGGCACGGTGGCAGGGCCGGTGTCGGGTAGAGAGACTGCCAGGGCACGGTGGCAGGGCCGGTGTGGAGTAGACAGCCTGGGGTCAGGAGAGGGAGGAAGGCACATTTCCCACCTATACTTGCTCAGAAGTGGGTGAAGAAAGTGGGGCCACAGAGGGAGGGGCTGGGAGCTGCCCAGAGAAAGCAGATGAGCCTGGCAGCCAGGCTTGGGTTCTGGGCTGGAAACTGGACAATGCGTTTAGCTGAACCCACGGGGGGACTGGGGTGGGAGGCTGTCCTTGCTGTGGTTCATGTGTGACCAGGCTGGGAACAGCTCCCCCTGCTCATTTCCAGGGCAGACGTGGGTCTCTAAGGAGCGCAGGTCCTTCCCCAGGTCCTCTGGGGCCTGAGTGCCTCACAGACGCCGTACTGACTCTGAAGGATTCCACTACAACAGGTTCGGATCCCCCATGCTGTGTAGCCCAGGCTGGCCACTCTACGTCTGTCCCCCAGCAAAGGGCCAGTTCTCTCGGACTTCCCTAATGACGTCCTGAAGACAATTCCTGTCATCAACATGCAGTTCAGATGACCAGAAGCTTCAGACTCCATCTCAAGAGACTCAGGCCGTCTCTACCCCAAGAGTCTGGGGAAAGAGGGCCCTGGGGGAGGAGGGTCCCTGGGGAGGAGGGTCCTGGGGGAAGAGGGCACCCGGTCACCCATGGCTTACAGGGATCCCGTGGCCCACTGCCCCATGGCTGCCTCGGCCTAGTCCCAGCTGGCCTCCCTCCAGCACGCTTATGAATCTAATGATAAAGAGAGGAGAGATGGCAGGAACCCCCCGTGACGTGCCTAGAGAAACAGCACCCGTCAGCTCACAGCGTGGGAAGGTGCAGGAGGGAACAAAGGGTTAGACGTCCTGGACGGAGGACAAACCTGGCTGCATCCTAGGGAAGGACCTCGCGGCTTTCCCATGGATTTGCTGGAAATTAATGCAAATGATTCAAACTTTCTTGAATTTATAATGCATACCATAGGTAGGAATATCAATACAAAATACAACTGAAAACAGCAAAAAGGTATAGGGCACCGTTTATCAACGACAAGGAAAACCTGAAAAATTGTATTTCAGAAATTGCAGAACTAAGTGATGGTGGAAAAGTAGAATTGGTAAAAATAATAAAAACAAGAGCGAATGGAGAAAGGACTGGAACTGCACATTTAGCATCTTCCCTGGACAGTAAGAATCAACAGACAGACAAAGTCTTCATGAAATTTAAGTTTAAAATGCTGAGCTAAGAAAGCCGGATCTGAAGAAATCATAACACAAAGGAAAACACCTCCATGGCGAAAGGTCTAATTGGCAAAACTGACATGGACCAAAGAACTGATTTGAGGAATGAATTTTTAGTGTAAAAGTTTGCACAGAAAGAATTCAACTTGGTGAAAACAATTTCAATGCAATAAAACAAGCATAATACCGTGGAGGTATTTTAAATGCAGTGTCAAGAAAGTTGATGGAGGAGTTGGTTTCATGGAGTTAACTCCGAATCGTAGATTTGCAGTGAAAATATATCAACAATTTGTCACATTAATAACAATCACACCAAAACATACAGTGTGAGACCCCAGACAGCAGGGTGGGTAGAAAACGAGGAGAGTAGAGAAGCAAACACCTTTGTCTCACTAGGAGAGGAAACGTGTTTGCTGAGCACCTGCTGTGTGCCACACCGTGCTGGGTTCTCTCCCCTCCCGTGTCTCTCTCTGCTGTCTCTGTCTCTCTTTCTTCCTATCCCTCTCTGTTCTCCTCCCTACTCCTCACCGCACAATAATGCCCTAAGGTGGAAATAAGATCATGTTTTTAAAAGCTGAAGAATAAGACACAGGGAGGCGAGGCTGGGATTGTGTTGAGCCCATTTGCTGGGAGCAGAATAGGGGTCTCAGGGTAGGTGGTGGGAAGACATTTCCTAATGAGTGACTTGACCTTCTGAGCTCACCTAATCACAGGTCTGGGGGTGCTGTGGTTTTGGTCCAGGATGTTTCTGCCCTGGAGCCCCAGGGTCTTCCCTGTTATGGTCTCTGACTCTGTAACTGCCTGTGTTCTCAAGCGTGTGATGGCACATTAACATCCACTTTTTCATATCTTTCAGCTAAGTGGCATTTTGCAAACTAAATTGGTGCTTGGTAGCGTATTTTTAGAACTCCAGAGTCTAAAATCAACTATAGCCAAATATTTCTCTCCCAAGTTCCCTTGGAAAGGTATTCATTTCATCTATGGCTGTCAATCTTAAAGAAAATTGCTATTTTTCTTGTGAGTGTGGGCTACAGACACTAATATTTATTATAATGATAATGTGATAGATGTTTATAGGGATGTTTGCAAATACAAAATTGTTTATGAATAGGAAATTATAGTCGTATCAGTTTTTGTTACAATTATACATTTCATAGTTCTAATTACAGAACCAGCTAATTTGAAGTTATTTGCTTACAGCCTATTCAATTTTTATTGCTTAGTCTATTTCATGGTTAGCTGAGGGTTTTAATTATTAGTTATTAAAGTTTTTAAGGTTTAAAGACCAAATGATTCATAAAACATAGGGAATATTTCCTGCCACCACCCCATCTAAAACTAGAGACACCATTTAAAGGTTAAAGTACTCTCTTTCCAAAACAGATCAGTATAGTGTCTTGTAGAGAGAGTAGGTGATTATTCAATCTTCACTGGTAATGATTATTTGAAACAACAGCCCTGGCATGTGGAATATAATCTTCTCGCGAGGAGAAGCAGGGCAGCTGTGGCACGACCTCCAGCACCAGACAGGTCTTGGGTTCAAGGATCTGCTCTGGGCCTACCAGCTTTGAGCAAGTAACAGGCTCTCGCTCCACCTCCACATGCTACACTGAAAATGGACACAATCATAGCACTTCATTAAGTTTTCTGGGGCTGCAGTCACAGAGGACCACAGACTTGGCTGCTTAAACAGCAGTTTATGACCTAGAGCTCTGGAGGCAGGAGTCCACATCAAGGTGCCTGCAGGCGGCTCCCCCGGCCTCCCTCCCAGTTCCTGTGGCTGCTGGCGATCTTCCCAGGCCCCAGCTTAGAGAAACCCCACCCTGATCTCTGCCTTCCCGTCAAGATGGCCTTCGCCTGCTCAGCATGACTCTGTCCAAACTCTTCTTTCTAGAGGAACACCAGCTATACTGAATTAGGGGCCCCTCTACTCCAGGACAGTCTCATTTTAACTAATTACACCTGCAGAGACCTTAGTTCCAAATAAGGTTACGTTCTGAGGTCCTAAAGGTCAGGATATAAACATATGTTCTGGGCAATGCACAGTTCAAGCCATGGCAAGCACCTGAGTCAGATGATTGATCAGAAAATCAGAGGAGACAGTGGCTAAGGATGACTTAGCATTACATCTGACACATGGCTTTAGCCATTACTATCACCTCTCTACTGGAAGGAATTTCTCACAGTTGTCTGAATTATGGTGTATGTTAGTTTTGTTAGAAGCTATGAAGCTACTCAGAAATACGTCACTGAAATATCATATGCCGGATAGATCATAAGCTCATGCATCAAATGCAGGCATCTGGGTCAACCACAGCAGTTGTCAGAGGCCTTGCAGAATAACTGAAATGGGGAACTGGCTTTACTACCATATCTCAGCCCCAGAGAGACAGGATGCAGAGCAGATGGCAGGTACAGAGTCTTCCCTTACAAGTGATCACAAAAATAAAAACAACAGAAAAGAGTCCATTAACTGTGGATTCTTGACAAGGCCCTTTGGAAACGATAAAGATCATGGGTAACATCTGGTTGCTAAGCTTTCAAGTTTTTAAAAACCAGTTCCTGTAGGAGGTGCAAAGACTGTAAGAAAAAGATTTCCTGTTCAAGGGGCAGATGTTCCTCAGTGTACTGAGAAGTTGCTAGAAAAATGAAGTTTGCTAGAATGTTGAGTTTCTATTATTGGGAAGATGAGAAACACCCTGGAAGATGGCCTTAGAGTGGGAAAGTCCTGGATAATCCATAGATATGTGGTATCGGGTGAGGCTGGGAGGCTTGGATAATCCATACATGTGTGGTATGGGGTGGTGCTGGGGGCTCCGCCAGTGAGGAGCTCTGAAGGCCGGGGTGGAGGGCGAAGGTGACTGCAGGGGTCATCCTGGCAGAGGGCAGGGCTGGCTGCAGCAGGAGTGTGCACAGGGCATATTGGGGGGGGGAGCCTGGCACTCAGGGAGAGCAGAAGCCGAGAAACTGTGGCCTCTATCTGCAGGTATCCTGGGCATGGCCCTGGGGGCCCAGCCTGGGCCTGCAATGACTTCTTATAGTGTTTGCTGTTATTTTTAATACTGTCTATATAAAATGAACAATTGTGCATTAAAAATGGAAGGGATGCTCAAGGAGTTTGGTGCTCAAGAGCAGCAAGGTGAGAGGCAGCAGCAAGGTGAGAGGCAGCAGCAAGGTGAGAGGCAGCAGCAAGGTGAGAGGCAGCAGCAAGGTGAGAGGCAGCAGCAAGGTGAGAGGCAGCAGCAAGGTGAGAGGCAGCAGCAAGGTGAGAGGCAGCAGCAAGGTGAGAGGCAGCAGCAAGGTGAGAGGCAGCAGCAAGGAACAGAGCCGGTTCCTCAGGGCTAGGGACATGGACCAGCTGCCGCACCTGAGGAAGCCTCGAGGGGCTCTTTCTGCAGAGAGCACTCTCACAGGGCAGGGCCTCTCAGGTGCGGGTCTGAGTCTTTCAACAGCAGCGCCATTTTTAACATGAAAGTTCAACTTCCAATTTCTGCCCTCAAGGGAGGGAATAAAACTGAAGAATAAAACTTTTTATTCATGGATGACCTTTTTTCTCTGAGAAACCTTTGTAAGAATCTTTACTCCTAACAAGAGACTACTTCAATGCAATCATTTAGTGTTAGAAAAGTGTTCCATATTGCTGAATGTTCGTCCACAGATACCTGACACCACCTAAGGTGTACAAATGATCACTCCACTTTCATTATTTAAAGCATAATGAAAGATCCGGAGAGTCTATTACGTTGTACAAAATAGCTCTGAGATCAATGCCTTTGAGATACCAGTAACCTGTGTTAGCTTCGGGAAAATAAAGCAGCTTCATTGCAGCCATGTCCAGAGGAAAGGAGATTGCTTTGTGTCTAAGTAACAGTCAAAAAGTGAAGGACTTACCACCTGCAAATCACCGTCGAGGTGAGACCTGCGAAGCCTCCGATCAGCAGAGCAGCCAGCGACATGGAGATCCAAGTCACCCGAGGGAGCCTCCCGGAGTCTGGGGCACAGAAAGAGGCCTGGTTAGAAGAACCTTCCAGGGCCTGGGCAAGCCAGGTTGTCCTGCCTGAGTCTGGGCCATACCCTGTCCTGGGCCAGTGGCCTTCACCCCACAGCATGACGCAGGGAGGGAGGGACATTTATCTGCCCAGAAAAGCCATTTAGACCACTAAGTCCAGATCCGAATGTGACGTGTGTGGGGAGAGCCAGCAGGGGACACAGGGCAGAGAAGTTAGCTCTCTCTATGGAACCTCACTGTGGGTTCGGCATGGACGCGTCCTGCAGGACAGAAAGCACACCTTGCTGCCCAAACCAGGGAGGGCTCTCAGTGCCCTCGGAGTGGACCACAGGACCCAGGGAGCCCTGGAGGCCTCGGACCGGGGCGGGAAAGGTTCGCAAGGTGGGCTGTAAGGGACGCGGTATAACGCTGTGAGGTTTTGCCCTTGGCTGCATTTTATCTTTCCCAGAAGCCTCCTGGAGGTGAAACCGTGGTTGAAGGAAGGTGGACAGCACCTTGCAGAGCTGGAGCCCTGGGGGGACGGGGGCACGGGATGGCAGCAGATTTTGGAGCTCATCCTGGGTCTCATCAGCCAATTCCAGAAAGAAACCGAACAAGGTTGGTGGGAATCAGACAGAGAAGTGCAGGCCTGATGGGACAGAGGAGAGAGGCAGCCCAGGAGCCGGCCCCAGAGCATCTGGTGAGGGGCCTGAGGAAGTGCCTCCCACCTGGACCTGTGTCTTCATCTGAAAAAGCCGGGGACTGAGTAACGGCTCCTGGGCTCCAGCCCTTGGCTTCTGTGCTTTCTGCAAGGAGCTGCCAGCCTGGGGCCACTGCGGCTCTGAACTCAGAGCTCCTTTGACCACAGTTTTATTACCGACTTTTCTGTTTGGATACCCATTCGAGGTGGCCGAGGAGAAATCCAAGATGAAACGAAAACTGACTTTTAAATAAGAATTTAAATACTACCAATCAGCGTTTTTTTTTTAAACAAACATGGGTCGCCCTGGATAAACATCATCACGTGTGGTTGAAGATAGGCTCTGGGGCTAAGAGAGCACATTCAGGTACCAGACAGAGGCAGCGGCTGGGGGAATGGGTGCTTGGTTTGGTTCTATTTCTCACACTGGATTTTTTAAAGTCGGTGATGAATGCGTCTGTGGGTGACTGCGGTTCCCTGTGCCACTTAGCACCTGGGCATGATTTGCAGGTGTGTCTCATTTGCAGCCCGGACACAGGTCGTGTCCATGGCTGTCTTCCTATCATGGGTCTTTCCCAGCCCAGACACAGGTGGTGTCCGTGGCTGTCTTCCTCGCATGGGTCTTGGACACTCAGCAAGCATTTGTTGGATACAAGAATGAATGAATAAACCCTAAATGCGCATCCTGACTGTTTCTCCAAAACGATCCTGTCCTCTTAGCCTTTGCACCTCATGACTTTTCCTCCTGGGCTCCTCTAACCATCCTCCCGCCTCCAGGATCTCCTTCCTGCCACCTTTCACAGACGCAGGGGAGTCTGCAGGGCAACCTGAGCACACCAGCCTCTTGCTAAAAGCCCATGGGGAGCAGAGCTGCTTGCTGGCCCTGGGATGCCGCTCCTCCTGCATCCAGAAAGAGGCTGGGTTCTTGTTTCCATCTGCTGCTACTCGCTCTCACCCCCATGGCTGCTAGAGGTGGGGGCTCCGCCTGTGTGCCTGGGGCTGGGGGTGCGGGGAAGGCTGAGCTGATCGAGGCCTGGGTGGGAATTCCAGGTAAGCACAGGCCAGGTCAGGGCAGTCAGGACAGGGCAGCCGTGGAAATTCATTCTGGAATTGGTGTTTGACATTTCCGGCTGGATTTGGTTCTGAGAAACTTGGGCTGGAGGGGCCACCTGTGGAACTTCAAAAACCAGCAAAGCCAGGCATCTGACATCAGAGCCTTGAGTGAGAGGAGGAGCCACGTCCTGGGCCGTGGCGAGCATCTGATTGAAGCCCACCTCACACCAGCAAACGGCAGACCCACAGCAGGGACGTAAGCAGCTCCATGTTTACCCAAAAGTGTGAAACGAGCCTGGGCAGGGGGAAGGCCAGATGCCGCACAGCAGAAACTTTCCTTTATTCTTTGCTCCAAATTTTTGTTTCTTGGCATTTTCAATTTCAAGAGCCAGTAAATCCGCTTGGAACCAGATTGAAGGCTGTGTGCTTCTGGGAGATACCCAGCTGAGACAGGTCCTGAAGCCCCTGCATGTCCTACGGGGGCATCACAAAGGTCACGGCTGCTGCCGGAGTGGCTTTCCGACCTCTTCAGTGCCACCCCGGGGAGCCCTGGAGTTCTCTGCTGTGGGCGTGGGTGCCCCTCTGGTGGGGCTGGGCAAGGGGGAGTCCCTGAGGCTGGGTGAAGGCCAACGAGGGCCTTTGGAAAGAAACGGCATCGGGTTTGGGCAGGCCCTGGGCAGACAGAGGGCACTGGGATTTTGGAGAATTCAGGTCAGAATAACATGACTGGGATGGTTAATTTTATGTGTCCGCTTGACTGGAGCACAGGCGCCCAGATTAGACATTATTCCCACTGTGTTTTTGAGTTGGGTCCTGGAAGGGATCAGCATTGGAATCTGTGGTCTGAGAAAAGCAGACGGCTCTCCCCAACATGGGTGGGCCCTGTCCCATCCTTCCAGGGCCCCAGTAGAGCAGGAAGTGGAGGAAAAAGGGCTTCACTTCTCTTTTCCTGACTCTCTGCTTGAGCTGGGACATCTCATTGCAGCTTCACCTGCCCTCAGACTGGAACTGCCCCGCCAGCTCCCCTGGGGCTCCAGTTTGCAGACAGCAGATCCTGGGACTCCTCAGCCTCTCTAATTTCATGACCAATTCTGCAGAATAGAGATGCTTTCACATATCGGTACATAGAGCTAGAAGCACATGTAAAACTATGTCTATGTATGGGTAACTACCTCTATATTTACATCTATACCAAAATCTATATTGTGTCTATATCTAAACTTACATAGGTATAGCTACACCTAAATCTATTCTATACCTATGTGTAAATTTATATCTATATTTTTATATCTGCATCTGTACCTAAAACTATATATACCCACAATCAGTATCTATATCTAAATCAGTATAACTATATCTATGTCTACATATTTGTTATCTATATCTATGTTCAATCTATGTAAATCTATATATAGTATATCTACATATATCCATATTTAAATCGATATCTATATCTAAATCTACGTAACTACATCTACAAACTGTGTCTCTATGGATGTCTCTAATCTATAACTATTTCTATACATACATCTGCATCTCTGATTGCTCCTGTTTCTCTGGAGACTCCGTCTAATACGATCAGCACACGGGCTGGCCGGGGCCAGAGCTCTCGCAGGCCAGGGGAGTGTGAGCTCCTCTCACAGCCATGCCTCATCTTCCAGGCCTTGGCATCCTTGTCTGTGAGTCACTGTGAGGACGGAAGGAGAAGCCGTGGCACCTGTTTATGAATCTCTCAGACATGGGCCCTGGTGCCCACCTTCCCTGGAACCTCTGGCCTCCAGCCAGGGCTCGTAGGAGGGGCTGTAAATATGGCTCAGCTGTTGCTCCTGGGTCACTCTCAGCCCTCAGCACCTGAGCGCATGTCCACTCAGCCGAGGCCTCTGCTGCTGTCTGTGTCCACCCTTCCTCATGCAGGCAGGCTTGGGTTTCACGCTGTCATTCTGAAAACTGAGGGACAGCCATGTCCATCACCCTTTTGGGTGTTCCAGCCAGCAGTGACAGAGCTGGTGCATCCAGGGACAGTGCTGGGTCCTGCTGGCCTGCTCCGTCTGTACAGAGAGGGCACTGATGGCTGCGCCATCTGTACGGAGAGGGCACTGACGGCTGCTTGCACGGGAGCAGGGCTCTTTCATCAGGGACGTGTGTGGCCTCCGTGCAACAACAGTTAGGCTTGTGCGTCAGGGATGCAGAAAGGTCATGCCCAGCATCCTAATTTTCCATGGTCATTTTTGCAGGGGCAGCAGTATAATCATAAGGGTGCTGGTGGTGGGGGAAGCACTGAAGCCAGCATCCCCAGCTGTTCACCTCCCAGCTCCTGAGATGCTCTGGGGGCACTTTCCCTCCCTCAGTCCCTTCCTTAGAAGGAGAAGGTCACTGTCCACCATCGTCCACCATCAGGCTCCACCGGCGGCCTGGCCCAGTGCCTCCGGAGGGCCTGAGTCACAGCCAGGGAGGTCAGGGAGGTACACGGCAGCTGTCGGAGAGGAAGCTCCTCGGAGGCAGCCAGCTGCTTGAGGGGCTGCAGGGCTCAGCGGGAAGACGTGTTCTGCGGCGGACCCTGACTTCAGGTTCGGCAGCCAGGAGCCCAGCAGGGGCGGAGCGGGGCAGGGACAGCACCATGCAAGCATCACATCCATCACACAGAACCAGAAGGCAGCGCGGAGCGCACAGCTGCCCTGAGCACGGGCGCTGGTCCGGGCCGGGCTCAGGGGCTCTCTCGGACGCCCTTGGCGGGGGCAGGATCTGGAGAGGCAGATGGACAGTGTCCAGGCAGGAGGATTCCTTAGCAAAGAGGTAGCACTGGGAGGGAACGTCTCAACTCTAGAGACACATTTGGCTTCAGCGTTTATAGAAAAGAGTCCTTAAGATGTAGGAAATACATCCTGGCTAACATGGTGAAACCCCGTCTCTACTAAAAATACAAAAACAAAAATTAGCCGGGCGTGGTGGCGGGCGCCTGTAGTCCCAGCTACTCGGGAGGCTGAGGCAGGAGAATGGCGTGAACCCGGGAGGTGGAGCTTGCAGTGGGCTGAGATCGCGCCACTGCACTCCAGTCTAGGCGACAGAGCGAGACTCCGTCTCAAAAAAAAAAAAGATGCAGGAAATAGATAAATGTATGTTGTAATTGTTCTCAGGACAAAAACTAAAACAAGACGTTTGAAACAAAATATTGGAAATTAGTTTATGCAACTCATGCTCCTGTTGTATACACTTCTTCTAAAGTTTTATTCTGAAGATTAAAAGATGGCACTATGGACCAATTGGCTGTCGTGGGCTGAACCGGGTCTCCCAGATTCTCATGCTGAATCCCCAACACCCTGGGCCTCAGAATGTGGCTGATTTGGGGATGGAGCATTTGAGGAGGTAATTGCAGTGGCATGGGGATGTCACTGTGGGCCGTGGCCCAAGGCAGCTATGTCCTTATGAGATGAGGAGATGAGGCCATGGACACACAGAGGGACTGCCCTGGGAGGACATGGGGAGAAGGTGGTATCTGCAGCCAAGGGGTGAGTCCTCAGGGGGAGCCAACCGTGCCCTCCCCTTGATCTTGGACTCCAGCCTCCAGGACTTGCTGAGAGAGAAATCTCTTGTTCAAGTGCCCAGTCTGCAGGGCTGCGCTGTGGCACCCCCAGTCTGCAGGGCTGCGCTGTGGCACCCCCAGTCTGCAGGGCTGCGCTGTGGCACCCCCAGTCTGCAGGGCTGCGCTGTGGCACCCCCAGTCTGCAGGGCTGCGCTGTGGCACCCCCAGTCTGCAGGGCTGCGCTGTGGCACCCCCAGTCTGCAGGGCTGCGCTGTGGCACCCCCAGTCTGCAGGGCTGCGCTGTGGCACCCCCAGTCTGCAGGGCTGCGCTGTGGCACCCCCAGTCTGCAGGGCTGCGCTGTGGCACCCCCAGTCTGCAGGGCTTTGCTGTGGCACCCCCAGTCTGCAGGGCTGTGCTGTGGCACCCCCAGTCTGCAGGGCTGTGCTGTGGCACCCCCAGGAAATGAATACAGTTCCTTTAACCGCAACGTTAGGAACAAAACACTGCAAAAGCAGAGCTCCCTCTATAATTATATCAGCGCCTGAATCTATATGTGTATCTACATCTAAACTTATGTAGGGAGAGCTGTACCGAAATCTAAATCTATTCTTTTATATCGATGCCTGAATCTATATGTGTATCTACGTCTAAACTTATATAGGGAGAGTTGTACCGAAATCTAAATCTATTCTTTTATACCTATATGTAAATTTATATCTATATCTATATATCTGCATCTGTGCCTATATCTAAACTGTCTCTATCCATAATCAATATCTGTATCTAAATCTAAGTCTGTAAATCACCACGGAGACAGGAGAAGCCCTGGGCACCTGTGTATTAATCTCTCAGACATGGGCCCTGGTGCACAGAATGGTCTTAGGCTCATGTGCTCCTGGCCCCGGTCACGGTGCAGGCATTCAAAGGGGGCCCAGGAGGAAGAGAGGTAGTGGGCAAGTTCTCTTAGGCACCAACACATCTTTGGGTGCTCTCCGGGAGGAGGAAGAGACGTAGTGGGTGAGCCCTCTTAGGCACGAATTCATCTCTGGGTGCTCTCCCAGGGCTGTTCCTGACCTCCACTGGGACTCCTTTCTCCTTCTTTCTGTGGGTGAGTCCAGAAGAAAACATTGGGAGGGATGGAGGGTGGTGGCTTCAGCTGGAGTACAGCAGTAGAAGTGTTTCCTGGGGCCCCATGGAGCCATCTGACAGGGTTAGATATTATCAAAAATACAGCAAGTGCTTCTGGGCTGTAGTCCAGCAAAACTGCAGTCTTGACGTAAATGCCCCACTGCCTTCACCTGAGCAGGGTTCTGAATCCGCTTTCTTAGGTTTGTAATAATAATGCGGAAAGCAGCTGAGCTCCTCTCTGTGAATGTGGCAGCTTCGCTACCTGGCTACCTTTGCAATTCACATCTGAACCATTGATTTAAACATTTTATTTAAAAATCTGAATGCAAGAGCTGCTGTTTCTAATTTTCCATGATTGAGAGTGCTCTGGTTTGAAAGGAAGAGAGGATACTATTTCATATGGAGAAAAAACATGAATAAAACCAGAGGCTGATAAAACAATGAGTGTGAGGGGGAAATGCTGTGCAGAGAGAGGACACCTGAAACAAGAGGGTGTGGTGTCCCTGAAACGAGAGGGTATCCTGTGCCTGAAAGAAGAGGGGGGGTGTGCCTGAAACAACAGGGTGGGGTGTCCCTGAAACAAGAGGGTGTGGTTTCCCAGAAACAAGAGAGTGGGGTGTGCCTGAAGCAAGAGGGTGTGTGTGCCTGAAACAAGAGGGTGTCCTGTTCCTGAAATAAGAGGTGCGGTGTCCCTGAAACAAAAGGGTAGGGTGTCCCTGAAAGAAGGGGGTGGGGTGTCCCTGAAACAAGAGGGTGGGCTGTGCCTGACAGAAGAAGGGGGGTGTGCCTGAAACCAGAGAGTGTGGTTTGCCCTAAACAAGAGGGTGGGGTGTGCCTGAAAGAAGAGGGTGGGGTGTGCCTGACACAGGAGGGTATCCTGTGCCTGAAACAAGAGGATGGGGTATCCCCGAAAGAAGAGGGTGGGGTGTCCCTGAAACAAGAGGGTATCCTGTGCCTGAAACAAGAGGTTGTGGTTTCCCAGAAACAAGAGGGTGGGGTGTCCCTCAAACAAGAGGGTATCCTGTGCCTGAAACAGGAGGATGTGGTGTCCCTGAAACAAGAGGGTGTGGTGTCCCTGAAACAAGAGGCTGTGCTGTCCCTGAAAGAAGAGGGTATCCTGTGCCCGATACAAGAGGGTGTGGTGTCCCTGAAAGAAGAGGGCGGGTGTGCCTGACACAGGAGTGGGGGTGTGCCTCTCCTCAGCAGATGTAAAAGAACAGAAATAACAAACCGTCTCTCCGACCACAGTGCAATCAAACTAGAACTCAGGATTCAGAAACTCACTCAAAACCGCTCAACTACATGGAAACTGAACAACCTGCTCCTGAATGACTACTGGATACATAACAAAATGAAGGCAGAAATAAAGATGTTCTTTGAAACGAACGAGAACAAAGACACAACATACCACAATCTCTGGGACACATTCAAAGCAGTGTGTAGAGGGAAATTTATAGCACTAAATGCCCACAAGAGAAAGCAGGAAAGATCTAAAATTGACATCCTAACATCACAATTAAAAGAACTAGAAAAGCAAGAGCAAACACATTCAAAAGCTAGCAGAAGGCAAGAAATAACGAAGATCAGAGCAGAACTGAAGGAAATAGAGATACATAAAACCCTTCAAAAAATTAATGAATCCAGGAGCTGGTTTTTTGAAAAGATCAACAAAATTGATAGACCGCTAGCAAGACTAATAAAGAAGAAAAGAGAGAAGAATCAAATAGACGCAACAAAAAATGATAAAGGGGATATCACCACTGATCCCAAAGAAATACAAACTACCATCAGAGAATACTATAAACACCTCTACGCAAATAAACTAGAAAATCTAGAAGAAATGGATAAATTCCTCGACACATACTTCTTCCCAAGACTAAACCAGGAAGAAGTTGAATCTCTGAATAGACCAATAACAGGCTCTGAAATTGAGGCAATAATCAATAGCTTACCAACCAAAAAAAGTCCAGGACCAGATGGATTCACAGCCGAATTCTACCAGAGGTACAAGGAGGAGCTGGTACCATTCCTTCTGAAACTATTCCAATCAATACAAAAAGCGGGAATCCTCCCTAACTCATTTTATGAGGCCAGCATCATCCTGATACCAAAGCCGGGCAGAGACACAACCAAAAAAGAGAATTTTAGACCAATATCCTTGATGAACATTGATGCAAAAATCCTCAATAAAATACTGGCAAACCGAATCCAGCAGCAAATGAAAAAGCTTATCCACCATGATCAAGTGGGCTTCATCCCTGGGATGCAAGGCTGGTTCAACATACGCAAATCGATAAATGTAATCCAGCATATAAACAGAATCAAAGACAAAAACCACATGATTATCTCAATAGATGCAGAAAAGGCCTTTGACAAAATTCAACAACCCTTCATGCTAAAAACTCTCAATAAATTAGGTATTGATGGGAAGTATCTCAAAATAATAAGAGCTATCTATGACAAACCCACAGCCAACATCATACTGAATGGGCAAAAACTGGAAGCATTCCCTTTGAAAACTGGCACAAAACAGGGATGCCTTCTCTCACCACTCCTATTCAACATAGTGTTGGAAGTTCTGGCCAGGGCAATCAGGCAGGAGAAAGAAATAAAGGGTATTCAATTAGGAAAAGAGGAAGTCAAATTGTCCCTGTTTGCAGATGACATGATTGTATATCTAGAAAACCCCATCATCTCAGCCCAAAATCTCCTTAAGCTGATAAGCAACTTCAGCAAAGTCTCAGGATACAAAATCAATGTACAAAAATCACAAGCATTCTTATACACCAATAACAGACAAACAGAGAGCCAAATCATGAGTGAACTCCCATTCACAATTGCTTCAAAGAGAATAAAATACCTAGGAATCCAACTTACAAGGGATGTGAAGGACCTCTTGAAGGAGAACTACAAACCACTGCTCAATGAAATAAAAGAGGATACAAACAAATGGAAGAACATTCCATGCTCATGGGTAGGAAGAATCAATATGGTGAAAATGACCATACTGCCCAAGGTAATTTATAGATTCAATGCCATCCCCATCAAGCTACCAATGACTTTCTTCACAGAATTGGAAAAAACTACTTTAAAGTTCATATGGAACCAAAAAAGAGCCCACATTGCCAAGTCAATCCTAAGCCAAAAGAACAAAGTGGGAGGCACCACACTACCTGACTTCAAACTATACTACAAGGCTACAGTAACCAAAACAGCATGGTACTGGTACCAAAACAGAGATATAGACCAATGGAACAGAACAGAGCCCTCAGTAATAATGCCACATATCTACAACTATCTGATCTTTGACAAACCTGACAAAAACAACAATGGGGAAATGATTCCCTATTTAATAAATGGTGCTGGGAAAACTGGCTAGCCATATGTAGAAAGCTGAAACTGGATCCCTTCCTTACACCTTATACAAAAATTAATTCAAGATGGATTAAAGACTTACATGTTAGACCTAAAACCATAAAAACCCTAGAAGAAAACCTAGGCAATACCATTCAGGACATAGGCATGGGCAAGGACTTCATGTCTAAAACACCAAAAGCAATGGCAACAAAAGCCAAAATTGACAAATGGGATCTAATTAAACTAAAGAGCTTCTGCACAGCAAAAGAAACTACTATCAGACTGAACAGGCAACCTACAGAATGGGAGAAAATTTTTGCAACCTACTCATTTGACAAAGGGCTAATATCCAGAATCTACAATGAACTCAAACAAATTTACAAGAAAAAAACAAACAACCCCATCAAAAAGCGGGTGAAGGATATGAACAGACACTTCTCAAAAGAAGACATTTATGCAGCCAAAAAACACATGAAAAAATGCTCACCATCACTGGCCATCAGAGAAATGCAAATCAAAACCACAATGAGATACCATCTCACACCAGTTGGAATGACAATCATTAAAAAGTCAGGAAACAACAGGTGCTGGAGAGGATGTGAAGAAATAGGAACACTTTTACACTGTTGGTGGGACTGTAAACTAGTTCAACCATTGTGGAAGGCAGTGTGGCGATTCCTCAGGGATCTAGAACTAGAAATACCATTTGACCCAGCAATCCCATTACTGGGTATACACCCAAAGGACTATAAATCATGCTGCTATAAAGACACATGCACACATATGTTTATTGCAGCACTATTCACAATAGCAAAGACTTGGAACCAACCCAAATGTCCAACAATGATAGACTGGATTAAGAAAATGTGGCACATATATACCATAGAATACTATGCAGCCATAAATGATGAGTTCATGTCCTTTGTAGGGACATGGATGAAACTGGAAACCATCATTCTCAGCAAACTATCCCAAGGACAAAAAACCAAACACCGCATGTTCTCACTCATAGGTGAGAATTGAACAATGAGAACACATGGACACAGGAAGGGGAACATCACACACCAGGGCCTGTTGTGGGGTTGGGGGAGGGGGGAAGGATAGCATTAGGAGATATACCAAATGTTAAATTAGGAGATATACCAAATGTTAAATGACGAGTTAATGGGTGCAGCACACCAACATGGCACATGTATACATATGTAACAAACCTGCACGTTGTGCACATGTACCCTAAAACTTAAAGTATAATAATAATAAAACTAAAAAAAAAAAAACTGCCAAAAAGAAAGCCACAAGAATTTCTCCGCAACCCCTAAGTAAACAAATGGTTCCTTTGCATGGACACAGAAAGGAGAACAGCACACACTGGGGCCTGTTGAGGGGTGGAGGATGAGGGGAGGAACTTAGAGGATGGGTCAATAGGTGCAGCAAACCACCATGGCACACGTATACCTATGTAACAAACCTGCATGTTCTTCACATCATTTATCACTTTTTTTTTAGAAGAAATAAAAACAAACAACAACAACAACAAAAGGAGTGGGGGTGTGCCTGACATGGGGGTTGGGGGCTGTACCTGACACAGGAGGGGGGTTGTGCTTGACACAGGATGGTGGTGGGGGTGTGCCTGACACGGGGTGGGGGGGATGCGCCTGACACAGGAAGAGGGGTGCACCTGACATGGGGGTGGGAGGGTGTGCGTGACACAGGATGGGGCAGTGTGCCTGACACAGGCTGGTGGGGTGTGCCTGACACGGGGGTGGGGGTGTGTGCCTGACACAAGCTGGTGGGGTGTGCCTGACTCAGGAGAGTGGGATGTGCCTGATATAGGATAGTGGGGTGCGCCTGACACAGGAGGGGGTGCGCCTGACACAGGAAGGGGGTGTATGCCTGACACAGGAGTGGGGGACGTGCCAGTCAAGCGGATGTAGCTTGAGAGCCCCAGAAAGAGCCTCCCCAGCCTCTGAAGGCCCCGGGCAGCCGCGTCCTGGCCATCTCTTTTCAGACTCACTTGCTTGATAACTGGCCTTGACCCTGGCCCTTGTGCCCTTCGCTGAGGAGCTGAGTTTCAGCAAGAATCCTATTATTCCAGTTTAGCAGAAGCTCCTCAATGCAGTTGAGTCATGAAGCGTTTTGCACTGACCCCTCTCCGCCCTGGCTGGACGTCCCAGCTACCTTTGCTGCATTTGAGCCTTGCACTTGGTTCTTTCTGGAGACCTCTCTCCCCTATGACAGTAGCTCAAAGGAAGTCTGTCTGTAACTTGAGTCTGGTAAATAATTATTTTTCTATAAGAGCTGGAAGCCAGACTATTAACACAAATTCCCGGCCAGCTACGGAGTGGCTGTGTGACCAGGAGCGTCTCTCGCCCTCTCTTATCACTAGTATCCTCTTCTATAAAATGAAGATTAAAGATAGTGCTTACCTAAGAGCCACAATTTTCAGGGGAGTAAATTCGTCAAAAGTTTGGGCGTAGCTGGCACCTGGCTTGGAGGCAGCGGTGAGGAAGACGCTGTCCCTGAGCTGAGTGCAGAGCTGGGGGACTGGACAAGGCCATCCGAGGCAGATGTTGAGCACCCAGGCCCCATGCCGGGCGGGGACATCCGGAGGTGGAGGTGGGAGAACAGGCAGGCAGCTGTGCTGCTGGCCCTGGTCAGGGTGCAGTCGGGTGCATTTGGAGGGGTCCCAGGAGGAGGAGAGGTGATGGATGGGTCTGTAATGAATCCTGCCTGTTTCATAGGTTTTTTGTCTGGGGTGTGATCTAGGCTGGGTATACACCTGTGGGCCTTGTCTGGCAATGCATTCTGGCTGCCGTCCCCAGCCTCAGTGTGCTTCGAGGGTCTCTGCAGACAGCAGGCACACGAAGTGCATCCTCTGCCCCCAGCACAGCGCAGACGCCCCTCGGGCACCGTGGGCTTGGTGTCTTATTCATCTCCGCCCTTCCCAATCAAGATGGTGATTGACAGTTGCCTAACTTGAACACACTTTTCTTCATTTTACAAAAACTCGCAAATGGACGGACAGAGAGAGAGGGGAACAGCCTCACCTACGCAGGTTCTCCCATCGTCTCCTAACTCGTAGGGGTCCGCGCAGAGACACTGGAAGCCGCCTTTGGTGTTTCTGCACCTCGCAGAGGCGTGGCAGGGGGGGTGGGCACCGTCTGCACACTCGTTCACATCTGCCAGACACACAAGGCCACACACGTGAGAGGAAGCGGCTGCACCCCCATCTCCCGCGAGCGACCCCCGTTCTGGGAGGTGCTTCTCTCTGGGGAGGTCAGCCCTTTGCCTGCCATCCCACCTGGTCTAGGGGGAACCGGCCGCCCCCTGCTCCCGGCACATCCGAAAAGGTGATGAGGAGCAGACAGATGTGCGCTGGCCACGGGCTCTGAGCCTGCAGGGAGTCCACACACTGGGGCTCACTCAGGCCCGAGTCACAGGAGACTTCCTGGAGGAAATCAGGGTCTGCCTGGGAATGTGGAATTTGGCCAAGTGCAGGACACGGGGGCAGGAAGGGGCCAGGGTGAGGGTGGGGCAGGGTCTGCTTCGCCCAGGCAGATGCTCCCAGCTGGCCGGCAGGTCCTCTGAGAGCAAGGACTGGGGCCACCTGCCACCGCCAGTGAGGATGTGGGGTCCCCTCCTGCTCCTGCTCCCCCTGCACAAGAATCCTACAACCTAGTATCTCATCCCCTAGGCGTATGTTTCCAGATAACCTGCTGTACATTTTGTTCAAATAATGTTCCTTTTCTGGCCAGTTTTAGAAAAGAAGCTGTAGCGTGTCACAGGTCTTCTCTACATGCCCAGTGCGCATTCTCTAAATGGAGCAGGTGCTGTCAGTGTGGGGAACACGAGCTCTTCCAGGAGCTGCTCTGTCTGGAGGGAACAGAGCTGGCCTGGGTGCAGCCTCCGCCGAGGGCCAGGCTGGAGGCAGCAACCTCCCTGCACTCCTGGGGCCCTGGTGCTGACGACATCCCTAGACAGAGCAAAAGCACTGGGAGAGGTGGAGGGACCCTCCCCAGTCTCACCGCTGAGTGGAGGAGCCGGGGTCCACATAGGCCACAGGGTCTTGGTCCCCGACTCGGCCACCCCAGGACGATGAGAATGTGCGAACCTGGGCAGTGCTCAGGCGACCCAGTGCCGGAGACCCGTGAGGCCTCGAAGGCCAGCTGGGGTGGTCGGCTGGCCACCTGCTCCCCAGGGTGAGGGGCTGCATTGGATGGGACTGCCCACTCCTAACCCCGGGGGAGGCTTGGCCCATGCTGGTTTTCTCAGTTACAGAATGGGTATCATTATGTCAGCTGTGAAAAATGGGCGTGGAATCAAAGACGATGCTTATGACAACTAGCAGGGTGTCAGGGATATCTCAGGCTTTCTAAACAGTACGGTCTTTAATAATGCCATTATTGATAATGACAACCATTCTATAAGAGTATAAGAAGTCGGGTCCGGTGGCTCATGCCTGTAATCCCAGCACTTTGGGAGGCTGAGGTGGGTAGATCACCTGAGGTCAGGAGTTTGAGCCCAGCCTGGCCAACATGGTGAAATCCCATCTCCACTAAAAATACAAAAATGAGCTGGGTGCAGTGGTGGGTGCCTGTAATCCCAGCTACTCAGGAGGCTGAGGCAGGAGAATCACTTGAGCTCAGGAAGCGGAGGTTGCAGTGAGCAGAGATTGCGGCACTGCACTCCAGCCTGGGTGACAGAGTGAGACTCTGTCTCAAAAAAATAAAAAGAAGTATAAGAAAAGGGTCAAGAAATTTCAAGGGATTGGAGCTATTGACTATCGGCTGTTAATTGTCTCTATCTAGCAGCAGCTATTAAAGTGTTTCATGTACAGGTAACCATGTCAAGGCTGTTAAACCTAGAAGGTCTTTCTTGGCTAAAGCTGCCCCTGGAACCAGCCCCTCCTGCATCCCGTTATGCAGAGCTGTGGAGCACCAGAGCTGTGTGAAGGCATCTGCAGCCGCCTCTGGGGTAGGGAGTGTTTCCATCATGATCGTGTGAAAAATCAAAGTCATCACCCATGAACGCTACAAGCCCATTTTCTCTCCATCCCCTGGGATGTGCAATGGGGTCCTCAGAATGGGAATGGCAGCTGCCAACACATCCCTGCATCCCTCTCGGGGAGTTCCCTTGGAGCAGCTTCTGCCCCCTCTCCTCACCCCATCCCTGCAGTTCAGACTCATCCTTATGAGTTCCCTGTGGCTGCTGGGAAAAATCATCACAAAGTGGATGGCTCCAAGCAACAGAAATGCATCCTCCAAGAGTTCTAGAGGTCACAGGTCTGAAATCAGGGTGTCGGCCGGGTGGTGCTCCTTCAGCAGGCTCTCGGGAGTCGGGGGGCGTCCTTCCTGCATGCCCTGGCTCCTGGTGGGTCCTGGGGGGCCCATGCCTGGCAGAAGCTTTATTTCCATCCTGGGTCTTCACAGGGTCCCGTCTGTGTCTTGTCTCTGCTTCCTATGAGGGCACTGCACATTGGAGCAGGATGCACCCGACAGCCTCACTTTAACTCGACGGCACCTGCAAAGGCCTTGCTTCTTCATCAGGCCACATGCAGAGGTACACGGGGCTAGAACTTGAGCATAGCTTTTTGGGGGCACAGTTTGGCCCACAACGCTCCACCCACGGTCAGTTTCTTCTAAGCAGAAGGCCGAGTCAGGGGCCAGCGCTGTGTAGGTCTCCTTCCCAGGATGGACAGGAAGGAGGGGGACAAATCGGCCTTGTCTGAAGAGCAGCGCTCCCGACAGAGGAGGAAACCAGCCTCAGCCGCAGTGTCCCCAGATACCAGGGTGACCTGCATGGAGGCCGAGGCTCTGCTCTCCGACTGCTTCGCCTTGAGTTTCAAGAAGAGTGGCCGTGGTGTCCACACATCTCCACGCGCAGTGAGTGCGCAGATGGCTGTGGTGTCCAGTCTCCACATGCAGTGAGTGCACAGATGTTTCCATTTCTCTAAGTAAATTAGTACTGGTTGCGAACTGTATTTTCCATAATATGCACAAAGCATTTATGTATATTCGTTTACTGCATAACCTCCTGACAATAACTCATGGAAAAAGCCACTGACTCACAGCTTTTTATCTATTTGAAATTTGCAGCATCCAGGCACTCAGAGGAGACTCACTGCAATGCATTTGCCAGTTTTTTTTTTTTTTTTTGAGAGGGAGTCTCACTCTGTTGCCCAGGCTGGAGTGCAGTGGTGCAATCTCGGCTCACTGAAACCTCCATCTCCCGGGTTCAAGCAATTCTCTTGCCTCAGCCTCCTGGGTAGCTGGGATTACAGGCGCCTACCACCATGCCCGGCTAATTTTTCTTCTTTGTATTTTTAGTAGAGACGGGGTTTCACCATCTTGGCCAGGCTGGTGTTGAACTCCTGACTTCATGATCCACCTGCCTCGGCCTCCCAAAGTGCTGGGATTACAGGCATAAACCACCACGCCCGGCCTTAATATCAAGTTTTTATGTGAATGAGTTTGAGTGAATAAGTAGAATTTGAATAGAGAAGAGAGCAGCGAATACTATTTGTTTTTCTGTATCAAATATTCAGTTAAGCCCGTAGCCTTCCTTTCTGTAGCCGCAGATGTGTTGATGAGGTTTCACTGAGGATCTCCTTGAGTGCTTATATTCTTATCAATTTACCATAAACGTAAAGTTTCCTGTCTGTTATACTTGAGTTTTTTCCCTTGTGATTCTCGATTTTGAAACTTCTAGTGCAGGGAACAGCTGTAGTAAAAATATCTGTGCACACGCATTTGTACCAGATTTTGGAGTTTTGTCATTTATCTCTAAGATATATTTTAATTACAGATATGATAAAACAAACAAAAAAAAGAGTTGTATTGATGAAGGTTAGCAATCTCTCCTACCTGTCCCCATCTCAGGCTGCCGAGGTCTCCAGTATTAACAGGTTCTGGAGCAGAGCCTAGCGCTCCCCTCACATTCGGGAGGACACTCATCAAAGTGATGTGTGTGCCTGTGGCCCACTGCTTTAAAAAAAACCCGAACAGATTCCCAATGTACACATTGCTGTGTAGCTTACATGCTTATTGAGTGACATGTCACCAACACTCTTCCAAGTCAACAGACGCCCTGCTAACTGTGTAGTGTAATTGTTCTGGGTGTGGCTGTCCCAGCATTCAGAACACGGCTCCTGAGCACTCACAGTGTTAATATCAACAGGCCTGCACCCCGCTCTTTGTACTGTGCATTTATAACTAATTTAAATCAATGCCTTATTCCTGTCCTCATTTCACATTTGAAACCGTGGAGGCACACAGAGGCTCAGCAATTTGGGAGACAGATTAAATGGCTACGGAAATGTCTGTGGCAGGAGAACATGAAGTTGGGCCCAAGTTAGTGAACTAGAGAGAGAAGACAGGATGAGTTAGGGTTGGCCGATGGGTGTCTCAGACCTTCATATACACAGTCTCATGGGGTCTTGTGAAGAGTGTGGATTCTGACGCAGGGATTGTGGTGCCCCAGACACCACAGGTGTAATAAGCTCCTTGGTGATGTTGTTGCTGCAGCCCTGACTCAGGGATTGTGGTGGCCCCAGACGCCGCAGGTGTGATAAGCTCCTTGGTGATGTTGCTGCAGCCAGGGAGCCCACCAGGAGCACTGGCTGCTGTGCACGCACCATGCCGAGACAGGCCCCTGCACCCTGGGGAGCACCCAGACTGGTTCAGAAATAGTCCTTCTTACAATGGATCTTAACTTCAGACAGCTGTTAATTGTTGGACTAAAAATCAAGGAAGATAAATGAAAAAATTTCAAGAACAGAAGAGTGATTTTGATGGCATAGGATGGTCTACAGGAGGCTGAAGGAGCATTCCTCACTTAGGAGACAGATGAGCAACGTCCCAGGCGGAAGGTCAGAGGGCAGGTGGAAGGTCAGAGGGCAGGCGGAAGGTCAGAGGGCACGCGCACAGGGGGCAGCTCCACACAGGCAGGTTGTAGGACTCCAGCAGTCTCCCTTCCTGATCCACTCTAAGGTCTCACCCATCTTTTATTTGCACCTTGAAGATGCCTGTGAGTAGCACTTTGGGGTCATTCATACTTAAAATGAAGCTAAAATGGACACGTGAAACGTCTGGGTATTTGGGCAAGGAGAGACGCAGGTGTACAGTGAAGTGCACCATAGGAAGGCTTGTTAACGTAGAACACGCAACATGCTATACCCTGAAGCACCTGCCATCAATTCCTTAACTGTAATGCCAACACGGAAAACCAGGAATCGTGAGTGAAGTGGCCGTTTCAAGTTTGTGCAGTCTCTAAGCCAAGGGAACAGGAAAACCTTGCGATTCGTGACCCTTTTGTCACTGAAGTGTCAGTGGCAGAGCCTATGGTCAGGAGTCATGCAATAGTGTTAACAGCAACCACGAGTTTACACAGATGTCATCACCCGACAGAGTAGTTGTGTTTCTATCACCGAGGCTTCTGGAAAGTTCTCTGGGAGAAACATCCTGGTCTGCTGTTCTCTGGGGCACTGTAATCTCTGGGTGATCTCCTTGTACACTGTCATTCATGACCAATCCCAAAATGCAGCAGGGGAGCACGTCTGCAAATCTGGCATTGTGCAATTAACAGTTTAAACAGAGGGTTTCCAGCCCAGGCTGCTGGTTTCCAGTGATGACACCCCCTCACCTATGTAGCAGGCCTCTGCCCTATCCATGCCCAGGCAGCTCCTTGTGCCGTTAGTGAGTTTGAAAGTTATTTCCGAGGCACCGTTCCCCAGGCCAGCTTTGTTTCTTCCTCTCCTCATCCCTTCTCTCCTCTTCTAATGGGAAGGTGGCTCCCGGGAGGGCACCTGAGACCACAGACTTGGCGGGAGCCGCACCCCTACCTGACCCCTGCCACAGCACTGAGTCCTGGTGGGTCTCTGGTGCACACAGGGTCTCAGCCTCTCCCTTTATGACTGAGGGTCTGGAAGCAGTTGACCACTGCAACCCTTCAAGGAGAAACATTTTGGACTTTCAAAATTGAAATGGAAATTTTGTTATTGTGCTGAATTATACATAATGTAAACTTTACCACCTCTGCCATTTTTAAATGTACAGTTCACTGGCATTGAGCACACTGACCTTGTGCAACTTATCACACCATCCCCCTCCCAGCCACTTTTTTTTTTTTTTTTTTTTTGGTAGATGGGGTTTCACTATTTTTCTCAGGCTGGTCTTGAACTCCTGGCCTCAGAGGATTCTCTCACCTGGGTCTCCCAAAGCACTGGCTCCAGGACTCTTTCATCTTCTGAAAACTCTGAGAAAACTGAAAACTGTGGACTTTGCTTGTATTTCTGCTTGCAAACCAGCCAGATTCTTGCACGAGACCATCTCTTTCTTCTGCGGTCTAGGTAAGTGCAGCTCATAGCACGTAGCTCACAGGAGACTGTGAGTCTGATGCCAACTTTCCTCTCCTAAAATGCAGTCCCTGAAGGCAGCTGGTTGGCCTTCTAAAGATTGCTGGTGAGTGTCATCTGAGCAGCCTTCCTCCCAGAACAGCAGCCATTCCTGCTCCTGCCTGCCCTGACGCCACTGTCCCATGAGACCAGAACCAGCGGTCCAGGTTTTGTGGCAGGGCAGTTCTGAAGTAGTTGGAGGACGCAAGCTGCTCTGACAGGAAGCCCCAGCCTCAGGAGTCGCACCCAGAGGGCTCTGCCTCAGAACAGTCAGATGGGGACTCTCATTCTGCTGTTCCCCGCAGAGGAACCCCAGTACACGGCTCTCCCCCCGGGAGGCTCTGTTGTCCAGCACACCTGCTCCCAGGTGCCCTGGGCTGACACCCGCTCAAGCCAGCACATGGGAGGAGCAGGTGGAAGTGGCCCACGGCTGTCTTGCCTTGCGGCCTGAAAGGTGCCTCCCCATCCTGCTCTCAAATTACCGCCAGGAAGCCACACTTGTCCACACCTAAACATGCGGGAGGCTGGGAGTGGAACCCAGTGGCTGGAGGAGGACCAGGCATGGGCTTGGGAATCAGCCACCTGTAGGAGGTGGAGGTGGAGGCGAGCCTTACTCTATGGGTTCCTGGAGTGGAGACGTTTGCTGCTGTGTTCCCTTTGAGAAAGCGCCCCTGCGAGTTCACCACAACTTTGCCTGGAACTCACGGACTCCCCTCTCTCTTCCCTCACCGGTGACCCCATTGGTCACGATTCCACGTGCCTGTCCTGAGGCCTCACTACCTAGAAAAAGGCCAGCTGGGAACATGGCCAGCCAAGGGGAGAGCCCTTGCTTTCTATCCCCAGATTGCTCCTGGGAAGATAACAGTTTCAGAAGCACCTTTTGGCGAAGAAATTTTCAATGACATTGCATTGTTAACTTATATCGGAAACATTCAGATGTTTTGTAATTGTCATTGAAGAAAGGACTGACCTTTGCAGAGGGGAGGCTGGAAATCCCATCCTTCCTGGGTGCAAGTGAGCTGCTCCCGGCCTTGGAGCTCATACCCGTGCCGGCAGGAATACACCAGCACGCGCCTCCCAGACTCCTCACAGTGCACAAAGTCCCCATTCTCCACGCTCTCTGGGAAGCCACACTTGTCGTCTATGAAATGTGGACAGGTTGACATGTAGTCAAACTACGAGAAAAGAAAACCACACACCAACGTCCCTGTCACGGGTGCGCTTGTGCCCTGGAGGGGCTGGTGCCAGGGCCGGGGAGCCCTGCTGTGGTCACTCACTGAGCACCCACGCAGCACACACGGCCTCTTCCCAGATCGGGCCCCGCGGGCTCCCTTTCTCTAGGCCTCCAGTTCCTTTCTCACTAGAGAAGGGCCCCGCCCCGCCCCGCCCCGCCCCAGGAGCTGCCCTGAGGGTGTAAGGCAGGGCGTTGACACTATTTTCTAAACAGTGAAAAGTTAAAATCAGCTCCTGGGGAAGATAAGCTTTGTTTGATGAGATGCACGTGCTGTAACGTGGTGTGAGAGGAGACCGAACTTCACCTTGAGGAAAGGTTTCCCTCCAGGCCTCCAGGTTCATGCCAGTGATGCTGTCACAAGACTCAAAGTCTTCGGGGAATTTGCCGACTTGGAAGGCATCCATGGGCACCCTGGTGAGGCCAGTGTTGTCACAGATGACCCGAGACAGGGAGTGCTTCTCCAGCTCACGCCTCTGTGCATCCGTGAAGACGTGGCTGTTCTCCCACCAAAACCTCCAGAGAAGGAGACAGTGAGTAAGGTCACAGTGCATGGAGAACCCCCAGGGCAGGCACTCAAGACCAGCTGCCCACAGCTGTGTGCTGCCAGCCTCTCCTGCGGCGTCTGCCCAGACCCCCAGCACCCGGGGCCACACAGGTGCAGGCGCTGAGGACCTGAAGGAGACCCTGTGGCGTCTGCCCAGACCCCCAGCACCCGGGACCACTCAGGTGCAGGCACTGAGGACCTGAAGGAGACCCTGTGGCGTCTGCCCAGACCCCTGAGCACCCGGGACCACTCAGGTGCAGGTACTGAGGACCCGAAGGAGATGTGGAGGGGCAGCACAGCGTGCACCTGGCTGTCTGAACGAGCGGCCTCAGAAGAGGGGCTCAGAGCCACTTTGCTTGTTGACTATGAGCATCTATTTTGCTGCATTGCTGTTATCTGGGGTGTATTGCTGTGTTAAAAACAAGAATGATGACAGCAAATCCAGCTATTTTAGAGGGTGCTCCTATTCTGAAGTCAACGTGCCCTGCACAGTCTCTCTACCTTCAGCTTCTTCCTCCAGGCCATGATTAATCAGAAAAATTGCAATGTGAAGAAATGAAGTCCCACTTTCCTCTCAAAATATGAAAATAGTTGCCAAAGCCCCAATAGCTCCTGGCCTGAATGCCGTAAAGCATGCATCTCCCATGTGCATCTCCCCTGCCACGTAAAACTCTTCTGCTTCCCATCACAGGGATGAATTCCTCTTAGAACATGAAAAAGAGGCCCCACTATACGTAAGTTAATTGATCCCATTTTTGCATTGGGGAGATATGTGGTCATAAATACATAGGATGAGAAATTGGGGGCACCACCCTAGGAACCTGCCAGCTGCCTCTGCACTGATTTCAGATGGCGCTTCAGCCACAGGTGGCATAAAACACGCATGGGAGACACACGTATGGGGCAAGCTGGTGAAATCTTCCCCCTTCTGAGCGAGTGGCTTCCCATGTCCCAGAGAATTCCAAACCGCACGTTTGCTGAAGACACAGCTATAAGGGAGACAAGTTCTCCTGGTGATTTCTACCCAGGTGTTCGTAGCTCTTTGAAAGGCTGCATCTCAGAAATTAGAGATAAAAGTCACACTGGGGAAAGGACAGGAGCCCCAGCGTGTGGCAGGTGCACTCTCTGGGAAGAACACAGATCCTTTACAACAAAAATCTGACCTCGGCACAGTGACTACCAAAAATAGAGAGAGAATTGGATAGGTAGGGATGTATTTAAAAGCAAAAGAAAACATTTTCCTATTGCTTTTGTCTGTGTTGTTCCAAAATCCTAACACTGGTATCCTGCGCACCTGCTTCTACGGGGGGCATGCACTCAGAGTCAGATGGGAACAGGATCTGCCTCTGACTCCCTCCAGTACAAACCTCCAAATTCTAGGTTGAACTTGAGGAGGGAGCAGACATGCATGAGGCAGGCAAAGCGGGACCTCAGCTTTCTGCTACCGGCAACCATCTGCTATCTGTAGGTGGGGTCTGGGGGGCCGGGAAGTCCTGTCCAGCCTAGAGGCATCCATGAGCACCGGGCATGGCCTGTGTCTGCGCCTGAGTCACTGTCCACCTCTGCGCTTTCCCGGGCATTGTCATGGGACGTGAGGGATGGGATGCAGTCTCCGGGCTGTCACGATTGTGTCACAATTTGTTTAGTTAGGTGCCTGCTTGCTCGTGTGGTTGGATCTAGGAAAAATCAGTGCTAGCTCCCATTCTAAGTGCTACGTGCTTCGTAGTTGCTTCATTGTTATAAAAACACTGTTCTAGGTTAAAGAAGCTGTGGGTGGGAGAAACAACCTGACCAGGCTTACGTAAGAGTTGAATGGTGGAGCCGGAATGTGAATGCAGGTCTGGCTGGCTTCAGAACCAACGCAGACCACCTGCCTCTGTGCAGAACGTGAAGGAAGACGCTCTGGATAGGAACGTACCAGTCACCGTCCCGCAGAGCCTTCATCTGCTTCCCAATGAGACAGGCAAACAGGGGCCCTGTCCGAGCCCTGGGGAGGAAGTTTTCAGCTAAGCCTCCCAGCCAGACATCGATGTTGTCAGGATGCTTGTACAAGTCCAGGATCTTGTCGGCCACGCTCCTGCTGGCGATGGCTGTGCTCAGGTCAGCGGGGGTCTCCAGGCGAGGCAGGCCGCAGAACTCCCTCCACTCATTGTAACCTGCACAGGGGAGAGGCTGCAGGGTTTCTCTCACAGAACTGAACTTTTGTTCAGCCCATCTCACTCATGCCATGGTCCCCGAGACTGGAAGCGCAGCAGGGCAGAGTCCTGTCCCACCCTGTGACACTGCCTGGCAGTTTGCCAGGCTAGGATATTCCAGCTCCGACGCCCGGCAGAGTCCTGTCCCACCCTGTGACACTGCCCGGCAGTTTGCCAGGCTAGGATATTCCAGCTCGGATGCCGGGCAGAGTCCTGTCCCACCCTGTGACACTGCCCAGCAGTTTGCCAGGCTAGGATATTCCAGCTCAGATGCCGGGCAGAGTCCTGTCCCACCCTGTGACACTGCCCGGCAGTTTGCCAGGCTAGAATGTTCCAGCTCGGACGCCAGAGCTCTTTTTGCAGGTTTGTTCATAAAGGAGCTGGAGACAGCAAGAATGCTGAGTCCGTGACATCTAAGTGCATTCCTGTTATTGCCCAGCCTGCACTTAGTTCTTGCCTCTACAGGGCAACTGACACAGCTCTGCATCCTCTTCAGAGTTTGCCTCCCACAATGACATCAGGAGCACACACAGAAGCCAGCACCCCCCCCCCCACCCACTCACACACACACACACAAATATCTTTATCTGTCTGGCCACTCATCTCCATATTGAAGACTGGAGATCTTTTCTTCCTGGGAGCCCTGGTGAATCCCTGGCCTCTCTTCTCACTCCTCCTCCTGCTCACTGACCCACGCCTCAGCTGCTCCCTGCCCAGGCCCCCGTCCATGGTCTGACTCTGTGGCTGCGCCTTTGCCTGACACTCGTGCCCCTCCCTGTGCCCCACTCCTCACATCTGCCTTCGTCCCTCATCCACTCCTCTTGGTTCAGCTGTCACCTCCTCCAGAAGTGCTCCCTCCTCAAGGATGGGCGACCCTCACTCCCACGGGTTCTGATCAGAGCGCCGCCCAGGGCCTCTGCTACTGTCTCTACTCATCCACCCGCCCTGTGTGGTGCTTTAGCTAAGACTGTCTGGTTCTACTCTCAGCGCCCTGCCCACCACAGGCTCCCAGCAGAAGTCCTGGACAAGCACACGCACAGCAACATGTGAGCACTGGGCTGGTTCCCCCCAGGGACAGTGAGGCTTTCATGGGACAGAAGGTTGGGCCTCTTGGTGTCTCATGTTTAGACCAAACAGAACTGGGAGAAATAGCCAGGCATCCTCCAGTTGGTCTGGGAAGGGGATGCCCATGTGGTAAACAGACTCATGGAGCAAAGGGGTGGGAACAACTTGGAAGAAGAGGGATTGGAAGAATGGACAAAGTGAAAGAGGAAGGCATGAGTGAGATTCAAAATCTGCGCTTCTAGAGGCCAGGTGCGGTGGCTCATGCCTGTAATCCCAGCACTTTTGGAGGCCGAGGCGGGCGGATTGCCTGAGGTCAGGAGTTTAAGACCAGCCTGGCCAACATGGTGAAACTCCATCTCTACTAAAAATACAAAAATTAGCTGGGCGTGATGGCGGGTGCCTGTTATCCCAGCTACTCGGGAGGCTGGGGCAGGAGAATTGCTTGAACCTGGGAGACGGAGGTTGCCGTGAGCCGAGATCACCCCATTGCTCTCCAGCCTGGGTGACAAGAGTGAGACTTCGTCTCAAAAAAACAAAAAACAAAAAAAATCCTGAGCTTTTAGAAAACTGCTGTCAGGTGCCATTGAGTCCATTTCTTAGCAGGTGGCTCCCTGGTTCACCCTCAGGAGGAACAAGTGTGTGTCTGACTCTTGTGCTCCTAGAGTCACCTGCCTTGGCTGGCCCCGTAGCCCTGGTGCTTCCACATCTGGCAAGGGTTCCCCCGAGCCCCCGTGAGAAGCTGCGCTGCCTCAGCCTGACTCCTGCTGTCCACAGTGGGCTCTGCCGCCCTGTGATCTGCAGAAACCACTCTCGTTTTCTGTCTCCAGATGGGCCATCCCAGCCCTCTCATCAAAGCCACCGGGAAGTGCTTTGCCCCGTCAAGAGGCTCTGTGTCTCTCCATCTCAGCACCTCCAACAAAATTTCATCTTTATCACCCAATCTACTGTAGCCTAGACCATCCCAAACATACCCCACAAATTTCTCAGCTCCAGGAATAGGTAACCTGTAGACACTTGGTTTATATAGAAAACAGACGCCCATTGCTTGCCACAGGGCTTGGGGGACACAGCAGTTATTTCATTAAATATTTACTAAAAGAATGCAGTTATTTTCAGACTAGTGAGAAACCAAAATAATGAGCAAATTAAAGTTCTCAAATGAGGAGAGAAAGTTTCTGTATAGTCAATTTAGACCATTGTCAAACTGTTTTAAGTAGTCCAAAATAATTAAAACATTTCTAATACCTGTGAGAGATGGAAATCTTAATTTCAAAAAGAAAAAACAACGAAGTTAGAAGGGTAATTTCCTTTCTTATTGCTCTAAGAGGAAACACATTTGCATCTTTTTCCAACTCTAGAGGGAAAATATGCAAGGCCTGTGCAGGAGGTAAAGACATGGAGGCTGAAGCTCATCACAGCTTCAGAGGCCGCAGAGCTGGGAAGAAAGAACATCACTTTAGATGTCCCTGCCTGTGGGAGACACTGCAGAAACGGGAATGCAAAAAAAAGTGTTTTTTTGGTTTTTTTTTTGACTGAGTCTCGCTCTGTCACCCAGGCTGGAGTGCAGAGGCATGATCTCAGCTCACTGCAACTTCTGCCTCCTGGGTTCAAGCAATTCTCCTGCCTCAGCCTCTCAAGTAGCTGGGATTACAGGTGTCTGCCACCACGCCCAGCTGATTTTTTATATTTTTAGTAGAGACAGGGTTTCACCATCTGGCCAGGCTGGTCTTGAACTCCTGAACTCGTGATCTGCCCGCCTCGGCCTCCCAAAGTGCAGGGATTACAGGCGTGAGCCACTGTGCCCAGCAGCAAAAAAGTGTTTTGGGGAAGGTTGTACATTTTATATTCCCCGTAAAGTACAACAAAAGATTTCAGGGCGTAGTGGAAATCATCATCACAGCTCAGCTTGCTGAGACATGAGCGTTTCTCTTTTATCTGATTTATCCTCAGATCGAACTGATCAGATCTAATGAAGCCTCTGCCAGGTTTGTGGCCTTTCTGGTGCATCGATGCCTCCAGTTGCTGGAATTCAGACCTGGGGAAGTTGCCTAAACTGTCTGTGCTTCAGTCTCTCGATCCATCTTTTAGAAAGTGATCGCAGTCCGGCCTTCTACGGTGGCTGGGGTATAGAGTGCTAACACATGCAGTGGGCTTCGAACTGCAGGCCGCAGGGACCCATGTGTGGCAGCTCTTACACTGCTGTGTCGTGACTCCCCCTGTGTGGGACCCTCGTGGCGGCTCTTACACTGCTGTGTCGTGACTCCCCCTGTGTGGGACCCTCGTGGCGGCTCTTACACTGCTGTGTCGTGACTCCCCCTGTGTGGGACCCACGTGGCGGCTCTTACACTGCTGTGTCGTGACTCCCCCTGTGTGGGACCCTCGTGGCGGCTCTTACACTGCTGTGTCGTGACTCCCCCTGTGTGGGACCCACGTGGCAGCTCTTACACTGCTGTGTCGTGACTCCCCCTGTGTGGGACCCTCGTGGCGGCTCTTACACTGCTGTGTCGTGACTCCCCCTGTGTGGGACCCACGTGGCGGCTCTTACACTGCTGTGTCGTGACTCCCCCTGTGTGGGACCCTCGTGGCGGCTCTTACACTGCTGTGTCGTGACTCCCCCTGTGTGGGACCCTCGTGGCGGCTCTTACACTGCTGTGTCGCGACTCCCCCTGTGTGGGACCCTCGTGGCGGCTCTTACACTGCTGTGTCGTGACTCCCCCTGTGTGGGACCCACGTGGCGGCTCTTACACTGCTCTGTCGTGACTCCTCCTGTGTGCTCACACCAAGCACTCTCGTGTTTGCGTCCCCAACGCTCAAACGTGAGGTTGACTCTACTGTCCTGGGCGCTCAGGGGAGGAACTGGGAACCCCACAGGTTAATTAAGAGATTCATCCAAAATTGAACTCCTCAGGTCCAATCCCAGGTCTTCTGAACACAAGTCGGGCTGTGCGCTGGTCTTACTCCTGTTCCCTTCCCGCTAGGCCCTTCTGTCCTTGTCAGCGTTTATTTGCCCAAACATTCATTCATTCATTCATTCATTCATTCATTCAGTGAGGGTTCCCTAAGTGCCTGTTCTGTGCCAGTCGACGGTTCTGGGTGCTAGTGATCACAGCCCTGAAACACAGCCCTTCCTCCTGGGCTTACGATCTATGGGGGGACCCACAGGCCAGTGGGAACATGGGTTTTTGCCTTTGGCCATATTTCAGTTGGTGAAAAGTGAAGCAGAGGAAGGTGGGGGTTGTGAGAGCCGGGAGGGGGTCCCCCACTCTGTGGCACAGTTAGCTTGGGGAAGTCAGCAGTGGGAACATGAGGAGATCAAGCTGTGGGGCCTGAGCAGGGCCAGCAGCAAAGGGGGTCCCAGCCAGAGGCAAGGTGTGTGCTGGGCATGTGTGGGTGTGTGCTGGGCATGTGTGGGTGTGTGCTGGGCATGTGTGGGTGTGTGCTGGGTATGTGCTAGGCATGTGCTGGGCATGTGCAGGCGTGTGCTGGGCATGTGCTGGGCATGTGATGGGTATGTGCAGGCGTGTGCAGGTGTGTGCTGGGTATGTGCTGGGCATGTGCTGGTCATGTGTGGGCATGTGCTGGTCATGTGTAGGTGTGTGCAGGCATGTGCAGGTATGTGCTGGGCATGTGCCGGGCATGTGCGGGTGTGTGCTGGGTATGTGCCGGGCATGTGAAGGCATGTGTAGGCTGTGCTCCCTGAGCTCTGGCAACAAGAAAGCAGCTGTGTTTGGGTGCAGGGAGTGAGGGGGACAGTGTGCGTTATCCTGACACACATAGGGGCCCCTTCTGCATCCTCCCAACTCACATTTAGTCCCCAGATATTCACAGCCTGTGTGGCTGCTGATCCCAGCCCTTCCAGATGCCACTGGTGAGGAAGACAGGGATGGGGGAAGGGCCAGGGGACAGAGGAAGGCCCAGGGACGGGGCAGGGCAGGACTTGCCAGCACTGTCCATCTCACATGTCACCCACACACAACAGGAGGGCACCTCCCAAGCTCCCAGGGTACGTGGAGAGAACAGAGCTGCACACAGAATAGGAGGTGTCAGGGGATCGGGCCTAGACAGGTGCTGCAGGTTGACCAGACAACCGAACCACCTAGGAGCCCAGAGGAGGGAAGGCTGAGGTGGGCCTGAGGTCAGGGAGTTGGAAACTGGGCAGGTCAGGGAGGAGGCTGCCGGGTGGGGCCTGGGAAAGGCAGGAGCCGGGTGGGGTGTGGGGAGCACAGGGGGCTGCTGGCCTGAGAGGAGCAGCCACTCCTGCCAGGGGCCAGCTTGGACCAGTTAGTTAACAGCAGTCCTGATGTGACGGAATGATCTTTGCAGGCTCTGGGACCTTGTGGTGGGGAGGAGAAGGGGAGGGGGGCACTCTAGCCATCCCAGGAGCTTCCCGGGATACCAGATACAGACCTGCCATTGTCTGCCCGCGCACTCCCTCCTCCCTCTACTAGAAGCGGCTGTTTCTCAAGGTCCCAGCTCATACGTTCCTGGGAGGTTCAGAACCACCCTCTTCGTGCCATTTCTATCTCTAAGAAAAGCTGGAAGTGGCCACTTTAGCTGAATGAACTGGAGCCCTTTAAGAGCCGTTGCTTAGAAGGCCTCAGATTTGTGATTGTTTTCCTCTAAATCAGTCTCTCTAGCAGCAGGTTGCTAGCTCGGCAAATCCCGCAGCAGCTGCATGAGGTGTGCAAGGGAAGGAACTGGCAGACCTGGCAGCCCGTGGTCCCGGCCCCTCTGCAGGTTGATGGACGCCAGATCCAAGGTGCTGGAATTGGACAGCACAAAGAGCCTTTCCGTCAGCTCCTCGTTCATCAGCTGATCCTGCACCTGCAGTTTGGCTGGTCTTGCAAGAAGGCCTCGTATTAGTGGGTCCAAACCACCTGGAAAATACCATGCACAAGGCAAGGACAGCTCTTGGCTCAGTTCTAGAGAAACAACAATATCTCAATTTTTTTTTTTTTTGAGACGGAGTCTCATTCTTTCTGTTGCCCAGGCTGGAGTGCAGTGGCGATCTCAGCTCACTGCAAGCTCTGCCTCCCGGGTTCACGCCATGCTCCTGCCTCAGCCTCCCGAGTAATTGGGACTACAGGCGCCCGCTACCATGCTTGGCTAATTTCTTTTTGCATTTTTAGTAGAGATGGGGTTTCACCGTGTTAGCCAGGATGGTCTCAATCTCCTGACCTGGTGATCTGCCTGCCTCGGCCTCCCAAAGTGCTGGGATTACAGGCGTGAGCCACCGCGCCCAGCCCAATAGCTCAATCTTATCCTCAGCAAACCTTCGTGTAAGTTCATGAATTCAGCTTGTGTGATTCCAGAGTTTCCTGAATGTCCTCAGGACACTGCCCTTGTTGGCAGGTGAACCACTGGGCTGGCACTGACAATGTGGCTCATGGGGGATGGACCCTCAGAAAGAAAGGGGCCTGGAGAAGGAGCCCACCAGTTTTTAAAGCTTTTTGTTTTATTTCTCAGCAACAGAAAGATTACAAAAAAAAGAAGCGTTTGCTGAATTCTAACATCCAGAACAGTGAAAGGAAGACTCAGCTTAGCTGAGGGAGTGGCCAGGGTGCCTGGGGACCACTGTTCCTGTCATCTCCAAAGGCCCCGCATGGAAAGCAGGCCCCACGGCCTGTCAGGGTCGGTCTATCTCAGTGGCGTGTGAACCCACCACTGCATGCCACCAGAGTCTTTAAAGGATCGGTTTGGCCTTAGGATGCCCAAAAGGAAGACTTAGAAATCACGACATGCATCGTCCTGTGTGGGATGACCTGGGTGTCTTCAAATGCCGGGCACCTGCTGAGGGCCAGGCTGGCCCTTGCCCCTCTGGTGCACTGTGCATGACTCAGCTCTCATCTAAGCAGGTATCGCCGGACGCACTGCAGCACCCCTGCCCTCCCCACTCCCCACTACGCCTGGAGCCGGTCAACTTTTGAGACAGGTTAGAAGCTCCCAGAAGGACTTACAGACTACTGGGAAAGGAATATAAAGAAAAAATGGGGAAGCTTAAAAATAACCCTTCCAAAAAACTAATTGGGGGAATAGGATCATTTTCTTCCAAATAATTAACTTCCAAAGGTAACCCATCATTAACATTCTAAAGATGATGGTGCTGATCATAACTATAGAACAGTTTAGCCTTTTATTTTTATTTTATTTTATTTTATTTTCAAATGGAGTTTCACTCTGTTGCCCAGTCTGGAATGCAATGGTGAGATCTCGGCTCACCTGCACCCTCTGCCTCCCAGGTTCAAGCGATTCTCCTGCCACAGCCTCCTGAGTAGCTGACTACAGGCATCTGCCACCACACACGGCTAATGTTTTTTGTTTGTTTATTTTGTATTTTTAGTAGAGATGGGGTTTCACCATGTTGGCCAGGCTGGTCTCAAACTCCCGACCTCAAGTGATCCGCCTGCCTCAGCCTCCCAAAGTGCTGGGATTACAGGTGTAAGCCACCGTGCCTGAGCCCAGTTTAGCCTTTTAAAATGCTTTAAACACATTTATTTTCCCCACAGATATTAAAAACCTTGTGTAGGATCAGCAAGTGTGCCCATACGGAAGGTCTGCACGGCTGCGATGAGTCATAAGAAAGAAGTGAGACCTGATAAACATCGATGCGAAAATCCTTATGCAAAAATTAATTCAAGATGGATTAAAGACTTAAATGTTAGACCTAAAACCGTAAAAACCCTAGAAGAAAACTTAGGCAATACCATTCAGGACATAGGCATGGGCAAGGACTTCATGACTAAAACACCAAAAGCAATGGCAACAAAAGCCAAAATTGACAAATGAGATCTAATTAAAGAGTTTCTGCACAGCAATAGAAACCACTATCAGAGTGAACAAGCAACCTACAAAATGGGAGAAAATTTTTGCAATCTACCCATCTGACAAAGGGCTAATATCCAGAATCTACAAAAAATGCAAACCAATTTACAAGGAAAAAACAAACAACCCCATCAAAAAGTGGGCGAAGGATATGAACAGACACTTCCCAAAGAAGACATTTATGCAGCCAACAGACACATGAAAAAATGTTCATCATCACTGGCCATCAGAGAAATGCAAATCAAAACCACAATGAGATACCATCTCACACCAGTTAGAATGGCGATCATTAAAAAGTCAGGAAAACAATAGATGCTGGAGAGGATGTGGAGAAAAGGAATGCTTTTACACTGTTGGTGGGACTGTAAAGTAGTTCAACCATTGTGGAAGACAGTGTGGCGATTCCTCAAGCATCTAGAACTAGAAATACCATTTGACCCAGCGATCCAATTACTTGGCATATACCCAAGGGACTATAAATCATGCTGCTATAAAGACACATGCACACGTATGTTTATTGCAGCACTATTTAAAATAGCAAAGACTTGGAACCAACCCAAATGTCCATCAGTGCTAGACTGGATTAAGAAAATGTGGCACATATACACCAAGGAATACTATGCAGCCATAAAAAAACGATGAGTTCATGTCCTTTTCAGGGACATGGATGCAGCTGGAAACCATCATTCTGAGCAAACTATCGCAAGGACAGAAAACCAAACACCGCATGTTCTCACTCATAGGTGGGAATTGAACAATGAGAACACATGGACACAGGGCGGGGATCATCATATCCCGTCTGTCGTGGGGTGGGGGTCAGGGGGAGGGATAGCATTAGGAGAAATACCTAATGTAAATTACGAGTTAATGGGTACAGCAAACCAACATGGCACATGTATACCCTACGTAACAAACCTGCACGTTGTGCACATGTACCCTAGAACTTAAAATATAATTTAAAAAAATTAAAAAAAGAAGGAAGAGTTCATGGGGACCAGCTGCAGGGACCGCACTCACTCACCTCCACGGAGTAATGTCCATGGGCTGAAGAAAGCCTGGTGCAGCCACAGCCCGGGCAGGTCGGGGTGCTCCTGGAAGCTGGCGTCCAGCCTCCTCACCAGCGGGTGGATCGTGGCATGGCCGAAGCGGAAGGCGGCTGTGGAGAACACGTTGGACACAGTGGGGTTGGCGGTGGAGTCATAGCCTTCATAGGGACCCACGTACTGCTGGAAGGCCTCGGGTCCCAGGATCCTGGGGATGTAATCCCTCAGGGTGATGATCTGTGCAGATAGGAAAAGCATCTCAGTGAGGCCCAGGATACCAGAGGAGGGTCGCCTCGAGCGGCAGTGTGGAAGAGCATCTTCCTTGACAGCCCCAGGGAACTGGACCCTTCTCGTCTTGTAATAAGGGCCTCAGCTGAACTTCCCAGAAATGCCTTCTTGCTGATTTTTTCATGGATATTCAGGAGGTGCGTTTATAGGGCTGACTAGAGAGCCTCCTTCCCAGGATGGTGATGGGGCTGGCAGTGGCAAGAGACAGCACCTCTGTCGAGCCAACAATGGCCACCGGGCCAGGCTGGGCAGCTAGACTCCTGGCTGGATGATTGACAGTGGGGAGCAGTTCCTTTTTCTACAAAGCAACAATAATACCTAATTCCCAGAGCCTTTGTGAGGATTAAATCAAAGCATGTTGTATGGCAGAGAGCTCTGTCGATGGAAAATTACAGTTGCAATCACAGGGCCTGGAAATTACGATTTGATACATGGTCCCAGGAGAATTATGTACCAAGATTCTACTTTCAGGTTTAACAGTGTTTCTTTCAGACAGAAAAATCAGTGTCAAGTTGTTTTGGTATTTAAGGGGAATATTTTGGTCAATAAACTGCATCCAAATGAAGCATAATAGGAATAATTCTAGAATATGAATCTTCTCTTTTAGCTTACCAGTTTAGGAAGGCAAGTGGATTGTTTAAAAATAACCAATATTATTTACACACTTGTAATATGTTTCTTCCATGTGCCAGAATGCATTTCCTAAGCACGTAATTTGGCCCTTCAGGGAGACCAGGGAGAGCCGTGAGTCTTGTGTGGCCTGGGCCTTCACTGAAGGTGCACCTGCCCTCGCTGTCCCGCTCCACCTCGGAGACCTGGACAGACAAGGAGGAAAAGGCAGCATCCAAATGTTTCCCAGTGGGGTTTCCGTCCCTGTGCTAGTTCATCCATTGGTGCCAAGCACTGTGCTATGGGTCAGCATCCCAGAGAGCAGTTGCACGACTTCATCGTGCAAACAGCCTCTCCACCTCAGGTGCAATTTATGTGGCAACGTTTCTGAACCACACAGGTGTCCAAGGGGCTCCTCCTAACCGCGTGAGAAGGTCCGTGTGCTTCCCACATTCAGAACTCAGGCAGCACCTTCTGTTCCCTGGAACATTCTTTGGTTTCTTCTCACTACAATAGAAAGGAAAAGGCCTCTCTCTTTTTAGCCCAGGGACTGAGACAATTTCAAATTCAAGTGCAAGCTATTTTAAGGAAGACACCTCTTCCCCTTCTTGCCTGCCTGAAGTTTGACTTGTGAGCCAGGGGATGCAGCAAGCACAGGCAGAGAACTGAGGCCTGAGCCTCAGGTTCAGCAGCTCCACCTGTGCCCGGCTAGCTGTTAACAGAGAGGAAACCTGCGCCCTTCATCAGAGCCTCACAGACACTGTACTTCCTCAGTGTCTGATCTTGCCAGAGCTCTGAACAGTGTGTCTCTCCTCTTCCCCACTGCCTCCTCATCTGATCTGAAACATCCCTGGTAAGTGATTGGCTCAGATACTGCAGCCTCCCCTGGGAGCCGTCGAGGTTGGGCAGAAGCACCCATTGTTCTGACCAATGGGGCCTTAAAACTTGAATCTTGAGTCAGGCGCAGTGGCTTGCGCCTGTAATCCCAGCACTTTGGGAGGCCAAAGTGGGAGGATTGCTTGAGCCCAAGATCAAGACCAGCCTGGGCAACACAGTCAGACTCTGTTTCTACAAAAAAATTTAAAAAATTAAAAATTAGCCAGGTGTGGTGGTGTACACCTGTAGTCCCAGCTACTTGGGTGGCTGAGGTGGAGGATTGCTTGAGCCCAGGAGGTTGAGGCTGCAGTGAGCTATGATTGTACCACCGCACTTCCGCCTAGGTGATAGAGGAGATGCTTTCTCAAAAAGAGAAAAAGAAAACACTTGAACCTTGTAAACAGCTCTCTGGAATTTTCATGGCAATTCTTCTGGAAATGCTTCTGGTATTTCTTTACCTGGTCGCATGGGGGAAATGGTTACTCTGAACTATTGGACCTGGGCAGACGCCATACTGTGAGACCGGGGCATCGTCGCTGTCAGGTGCCCCTCCTGCTCACCTCCCAGGTGGGCCATGTCTTCTTCCTCTGCTGGCGGTGCCATGTAGAGGCCTCATCTTCCCAGGCTGCTTCAAGCTGCTCCTCCACGTCTGCTCTCACCCCAGCCTCCTGGTTCCCCACAGCCTCTGCCAAAGCCACCAGGTGCTGACTTGTGGCCACTCTCCATTTCTTTGCCTTCACAACTCACCAGTGGGAATGACTGAAAGGTCCACACTTGGGAAAATGATGGGCGTGAAGGTGACGGGAAGCCAGGACCCCAGCACACGGGGAGACCAGGACGAAGAGACCTGGAGATGCGATCCTTGTCACCGACGGTGGGAAACAGCCGCGTAGCCCCTGGCACAGGCTCCTCTGAACTTTCTGACTCTCGACTGCTTTCAAAGTCACCTACCCTGCTCTACGCAGAACATCACTCAGCATTTTCTCAAACATGCCCTATTAGTCCAATAAGAGGCTCCCATATGCTTGCTGAGGGTGCTCCAGGGAGGAGGCTGAGCAGGCACCCAGCTCCCCAAGGACGTGACACAGCCAGGCCTGGCTTGTGCTCCTCCGCAGGAAGCCCTGCAGCATGGCGCACCTGGGCTTGGTCCAGCCTTGAGGTAGGGGCCTGGCTGTCCCTGCAGGGCAGGGAACAGCCTCCACAGCTACCCCTGGAGAGGAACGACCAGGAGACTTTGTCAGCCAACATTGGAGGCCACTGGGGGATGGGGCCCTGCAGATAAAGGGGCCTGGGTGGGGCAGCAACAGCACCCACTGCAGGAACGGCCCTTTCTCTTTCTTTCCAGCCTTGGAAGCATGACTTTATCCATCTGCTCCTTTGCTCTGGAAGAGCAACCAATCTGAAAAAGTACTCAGCTACAGCAAAGGTCAGCAGCCGAGTGGCCCAGGGATGCAGCCCCTGCCCCGAGACATGGATCTGCCTGCCCGGGATGGGGATGTCCAGGGAGATCTGCAGTCCCTCCGGGGTCTGGTTCTACCTCCACACACATCCAAAGCAAAGCTTCTGTGGGTCCCTGGATATCTGGGGAAATCAAGGCTGTGCTCCAGAAATAGGTCTGCTATCTGATGGCCGGGGCATAGAAAACATCCACGCCAGATATTTGGGATGTCTTTATCTTTTCACCCTGTGGAACCCAAACTCCATGCTGCCTGGATGGCACACCCAGACTCCCCGAGGATGGCTACCTCCTCTCTGCCTCCCTCACACCTGTGCTGGGAAGGGTTTCCTTTCTCATTCTTTTCTTGTCTGTAGAACACAAAAGTTATCACCAAAGTGAGCAACTGATTGTGAGTTCTTGTCTTATGACACACCTAAAGCAGCTAGGGTTTTCTGGGATTGAAGAGCAAGAGCTTCAGTTCCTCCTGGTGGGAAGCAGGGCTTATGGATCCAGGGTCCTGTGGGATCTCAAGCCAGCAAGAGCAACTTTATCAGCCCTTCCTACGTGCGAGTCCCCCGAGAGATGCCGGATCCCAGGAACCAGCACAGAGGGCGGCCCTGCAGATCCCTCCCAAACATGCCCACAGCAGAAGTCCTGTGGCCCAGGGCTGAGGGAGGGGATAGCTCTCAGCTTTCGACAAAAGAAATTAGAGGAGCCAAGATCCTCAGAGTGGGGGCGGCTGTGGTTGGGCCCTGACAAATTAGAGTGGGTATGGTGAGGACAGACGCAGCAGCAGGGACGTGGTGTGGACGGATGCAGCAGGAGGAAGGTGGTGTGGACGGATGCAGGAGGAGGGAGGTGGTGTGGACGGATGCAGCAGGAGAAACATGGTTTGGACGGATGAAGGAGGAGGGAGGTGGTGTGGACAGATGGAGGAGAAAGCTGTGACTCCCGGCTCTGAGATGACCTTTCCTGTCTCTTGCTGATGTGTGCATTAGCCTGGCCCTGGCTGGCTCGTGTGTGTGTGTGTGTGTGTGTGTGTGTGTGTGTGTGTGTGTGTGTAGGGGGTTTGAGGGGTGATAGAGGGGGGGATGCTATTTCTCTTTCATAAGGTTGCCCTGGCATCTCTTTTCATTATCTAATGTTTTTCAGAAGAAGAGAGATTCAGATTACAAAGTTACCAAACTACGAGTCGGTAGAACCAGGGAGAGAAAAATGAGGCTTCCAGGCCCAGGCCACCGTGGATCTTTCAAATACGGCTAGAAGTCGCAGCAGTGGCTCTATCGACACGTTAAACACAACTTATTATTTTAATGTATCAAAGGTTTTTGCAAAAAGCACCAAAGAGGACCTATTAACTGAAAAAAATACAAAAGGAAATTCAAAAGTGAAATGTAAAACCAAGAAGAAAAGAATGTTCACAGTTTTTTAAAAAGCAGAACACACAGAAAATGAATTGAGGAAGGTAAATATGAAACAGAGAAGAACACTTTTCCTATTGGTTGCTGTTGTTATTATTTCATTAATAATAAGAAAAGGCAGCTGGGCGCAGTGGCTCAGGCCTGTAATCCCAGCACTTTGGGAGCCTGAGGCAGGCGGATCACTTGAGGAAAGGAGTTCAAGACCATCCTAGCCAACATGGCAAAACCCCATGTCTATTAAAAATATAAAAATCAGCTGGGAGTGGTGGCACATGTCTGTGGTCTCAGCTACTTGAGAGGCTGAGGCAGGAGAATCGCTTGAACCTGGGAGGTGGTGGTTGCAGTGAGCCAAGGTCTCACCACTATACTCCAGCCTGGGTGACAGAGTGAGACTGTCTCAAAAAAAAAGAAGAAGAAGGAGAAGAAGAAGAGGAGGAGGAGGACGAGGAGGAGGACAAGGAGGAGCAGCAGCAGCCACAGCCGCAGCAACCAAATGTCATTATTTCTAGGTCAGTAGGATTCTCAGTAACTTGGAATTAAACTGTCTCTAATCTACAATGACTGGGCCTGGTAATAATTCACGCCTCTAAATAATCCCAGAACTCCATGGAGAAGAAAGACAACAGGGTGCGTGACAATTGGGCGTTTCCCGCTCTGTGAACGGGCTCCAGGGATCAGAGGCAGCTGCTCTTCTCACAGCTCCCTGGGCTGGATGAGGTTCTCACTCAAAGAAGGTTCAAACCAAATCCTGCTCCTGAGGAGACAGAAGGGGCAGGACTTCCAGAATTATTTTTGAGATTCTACTTCATTCACAAACTCTACATATATTTATGAAGCAACCTGGCAAATTGTGGGTCCTGAGAAACAAGAATTAAATGGATGAACATCTGCCCGTGGAGGTCGCAGTCAGGGAAGGGGCACAGAAGCAAGGAAGCAGACAGGAGCGCCGAAGGCCTCAGGGGTTGAGCAGAGGGGAGAAGGCAGCCGTCTGGGACCTGCCTCCCCACGCGTGTGGCCGGAAGTCCAGACTCATGGAGACGAGGACCTGGATTCCACCGCTCAGCAGCTCCTGGGTTTATATTCCCGTTTGCACGGGGAAGCAGGAAAGTGTCTGAGTCGCTGCTTGAAAGCGACGTGGGTGCCTGATGATTTTTACTTCACATAGTGACAAGGTTCCTGTTTTCATTTCTAACTCGATCTTCTCACCCACATAAGCCTCCTCCGTCCGGCTGATGCTCCCCACCAAGCGCTACTGTGTGGATGTGTGTGTTAGGACAGTGAACTCGTCTGCCGTGTTTGCTGTGTGGATGTGCGTTAGGACAGTGAGCTCGTCTTCTGTGTTTGCTGTGTGGATGCGTGTTAGGACAGTGAGCCCGTCTGCCGTGTTTCCTGTGTGGATGTGTGCGTTAGGACAGTGAACTCGTCTGCCGTGTTTGCTGTGTGGATGTGCGTTAGGACAGTGAGCTCGTCTGCTGTGTTTGCTGTGTGGATGCGTGTTAGGACAGTGAGCCCGTCTGCCGTGCTTGCCGGAGAAGTGTGAGGGCCTGCTGCTGCCAGCCCCTGTTCCAGGAAGCTCCAGGTCCCCTCGCCACCCAGGAACTAAGGGTTAACACCCAGCGCATGGAGGCTTCCCAGACCCTCTGCTCTGACCTTTGGGGCCTGGACCCCAGTGCAGTGAAGGCCAGAAAGCGGCAGGGGCGCATGGTGCCCGGGGGCAGCCGGTGCCACACACAGCCCCTGTGCCTCCTCGGACAAGGCTCCAGTGCCTCCTTTAGAACAGGACTGACGCGCACCTCCCTGCAGGCTCCCGGCTAGGACTGCAGACACGATGCCCAGGCCGCCACAGGGCCTGGTGCAACAGACACACACGGTGACTCGCATATCAAACAGCCCATCCTTCTTCCTAACAACCTGTGAGACCCCTAGAGTCAGGGACCGCATTTCCAGGTGCATAAGTGCTTTTCTCCATCACACAATTAATAAAAGGCCAACTTGACTCTCCATTCAAGACCCTCTCATGTGATACTTAAGAAAGTCATAAAATGAAGAAAGGTTTCAAATAGACTCTAACTTGTTAGTTCAGAATCCTCACACAGAGTCGGTTCTTCATTCACTGCACTGTCTCTGAAATACAAAAACACCAGCACCCCTGGTCCACCCACCTCCAAGGGTTGTTCTGGGAATTATTAAATGAGTTGAAATCTGTAAAGCACGTAGCTTGGCTGTGCGCACCGGGAAACCTGGGTGGTCTGGCTGCCACTGTTGTGGGGCTGTGGTTGTTGGGTCTTGGTGGGATAATCACCAGCCGGCTGGAGGGTAAGCAGGTGGGACAGAGGGGCCCCGGAGGGCCGCCAGCTCCGGAGTTACCCTTCGGCCCCTGCACAGGAGCTCACGATGACCCTCCACACGCCCATGCAGGGCGCCCAGCAGGACTGCGCACCCACACAGGGCCCCACGACCTGGAGCTCACCCATGTGGGCGCCCATGATGGCTGTGCAAGTACCTGGGAGAGAGAAGCCACGATGCTGCGCACCCACACGAGGCGCCCCCCGCTTTGCCCGCAGCCACCCAGGGCGCCCAGGACCACCCCGCGCACCTGGTGCAGAGCGCCCACGACCTTGCGCGCCTCCTGGTACACGGCGTCCGCGCTCCAGTGCGCATTGAGGGCCTTGAGCGCCGCGGCCAGGCGGTTGTGCTCGCGCAGCCACAGCGTGTGCAGTGCCGTCAGGGAGGGGACCTCGCTGGCGCGGCCGTCTCCGGCCAGGAAGCAGGGCCCGCGGGTCTCTCCGGGGATGCCGGGCTCGGGCGCACAGGCCGCAGGCGCGCGTGGCGGCACGAAGGGCAGGTAGGCGCGGCCGGAGTCCCGGAGGCGCGCGTGGACGCGGAGCAGCCCTTCGGCACTGGTCCAGTTCCGCAGCTGCCTCTCTAGGGCCGGGGAGCTGCCATACACGGTGGACGCGTCCAGGAACGAGGTCAACCCGTTCATCTGCTGCCGCGGGTTGGCCGTGGACAGGTTCCCAAAGAGCGCGCCTTGGTCCCCGGTGCCGCAGGCGGCCGAAGAGCGGTAGAAGGGCAGACAGGCGGTGCCCGCGGCCGGCCGGGCCTCCTCCGGGAGCTGCAGGCAAAGGGGAGTTCAAGGTCACCCAGGGCCCCCGTGCACCCTTTGTAAGACTCTGGAAGTTCGAGGCCGGCGACGACCCCGCAGCGCCGCACGTTTCTCTGCCCCTCCAGTCCTCTGTAGGGGTCAGTCCAGCCAGTCCCCTCACCTCCCCCCCCGGCCTGCTTACCGGTGGTCTCTTGCCTGGAAGAGGCTGCAGGGGTTGGTCCAGCCAGCCCCCCACCTCCCCCCTGGCCTGCTCACCGGTGGTCTCTTGCCTGGAAGAGGCTGCAGGGGTCGGTCCAGCCAGCCCCGCACCTCCCCTCAGCCTGCTCACTGGTGGTCTCTTGCCTGGAAGAGGTTGAACCCAGAGGATGGACCCCACATCCTAGGAGTCCACATCTCCCCAAAGCTCAGACGCTCTTGGCCTGAGCCAGTCTCGCTCCTGCTCAGACCTGCTCTAGCTGCTCATGGAATCCCCGGTCTGGTTTATTTTCTGACTTTCGGAAGAGCTGACTTCTTCCTTTCCAGTGCCATGGACTTGGTTTAGGAGCACAATGAGTAAACAGTCTCCGAGTTTTGTGGGCATCACTGTTTAGTGTAAAGGCAGCTTGAGGGGAGTGAGGAGACCTTGGGTGGGATTCCAACTCTGGCTGTGGCCAGCTTCCATCTTCTCATCTGTAACATGGAGATCTAAAATATTTTTTCCAGATTTACAGGTTTCCTGGGAAGAGTCGAGCTCTGTGGGCTGCAGAGAGCATGTGCCCTTTCCCTGTCAGCTCTTCCTCCCTGGTGAGGTGTCACGGGGTCAGGGCCTACCCTGGGCGTTATCAGATTTAGGAGGTTAAATCGCTCATCCAGAATCACAAGATCACCGGGGTTGGACAGATTCCGAAAGAGACTCTTCCTGAAGATCACGGTCTTCTCGTAATAGGACATTATTATTACCAGTGAAAATAAGGGGAAAGCTCCTCTCGGGGCAAAGTGCAGCCTGGGCACTGAGGAGTAGGAAGGAACGGAAGACCTGGGCTGCATTAGGGAAATGCGGCCAGCGAGCCAGCAGCCGCTCAGGGGTTGGCCGCTCGGTGCCGTGCGGTGCAGGGAGACAGGCCGAGCTCCTGATGGACCCAGGCACAGGAGGTGCAGCAGAAAGAATGTAGGTGAGAGGGAGTCGGCCTTGTGGTGAAGCAGCAAAGCAGATGCTGTCAGAACCCCTCTGGGCAGCGCCCAGGCCTGGCAGCTGTGCAGCCCAAGGCCAGCTGGGGGTCGGGGCAGCAACGAGGCCCCAGCCTTGGCTCAGAGCCAGCACAGGGTCCACGTTAAAAAAGATCGTGCATTAAACAAGCGCTTCCGGCCGGGCGCGGGGGCTCACGCCTGTAATCCCAGCACTTTGGGAGGCTGAGGTGGGCGCCCAGCAATTTGGGAGGCCGAGGTGGGCGGATCACGAGGTCAGGAGATCGAGACCATCCTGGCTAACACAGTGAAACCCCGTCTCTACTTAAAATACAAAAAATTAGCCGGGCGCGGTGGCGGGCACCTGTAGTCCCAGCTACTCGGGAGGCTGAGGCAGGAGAATGGCGTGAACCTGGGAGGCGGAGCTTGCAGTGAGCCGAGATTGGGCCACTGTACTCCTGCCTGGGTGACAGAGCGAGATTCCGTCTCAAAAAAAAGAAAAAAGAAAAAAAAAAAGCGCTTCCACTGAGAGCCTCAGGGAGGCCTGCGAGGCTTAGAGTAGACGAGGTGAGTACTTGGGGCCAGCAGGGAACCCAGGGAGGAGCTGAAATTCAGCAAAAGAGTAGGAAAGCCAAGAAAACCGTGACAGCCGGAACTTCAGTGCACGCCCTTCAGAATATACAGGCCCAGAGGCCCCAAGAATGGGAGGAAATAGAGGAATTAAATTGAAGAGCACAAATAATAATAAAATTACAAATAAATAACAAGGAGCTGCAAATTCTCCTACTCACTGATTCAAAGAGACTCTTAAGAAGAGCTGAAAGTGTCTCCAGAAATCAATGAAAAGTTAACTCACTTGTTAAGAAAATTCAAGCACACCAGCAAAGCCTTCCTCAGAAGAAAATCTGTGCTCTTTAAATTGCTTTCATCAAAACAACAAAAACCAAGAAATTAAGTAGCTATTTTAAGAATTTAGTTAAGTAACAAAGAGCTAAAGCACAAATAAATGAGAAAGTTAAATTAATGCATGCAGAAGTTAAAATAATTAACTATGAATAAAAGACCTGGTGGGAAGAAAACATGAAGCCCTGCTTCACAACCCAGTGTGGAAAACAAAGAAAGAGCACCGAGTGAGGCAGGATTTGCCATGAGAAAGGAGCAGGGCTCAGGCATGCAGGAGAGATGAGAAGAACCAGGAGCGACTGTATATGCGGTTTCATGGCAGCACATTGGAAAATGAAGAACAGATCGATGACTCCCTAACAAAATAGAAATAACCACAGCTTTTCCAAGAAGAAATGTAAAACTCCAATGGACAATGAGGATGGAAGAGATAGACAAGGTGATCAGAAATCCAGAGGTCAGATGGCATTGACGGTGGACTTCTATCAAATCTCGAAAGGATAGGTAACTCCAAGGTTGCTTAAACTATTTCAGCCATGGAAAAGATGAAAAGGGCCCCAGTGCACTCTACAGAGTCAGCGAAACTTTTGTATTGGCCTCTGATGAAAACAGGACAAGGACAGGGCATACAGATCAATATCCCTTCTAAATAAAATAATAAAAGATAGGGCAGCAAATCAAAACAGCAATTACCATAGTCAAATAGAATCTATTCACAGAATGGTTCCGTGTTGGAGAATAGAGTTGTATTTTCCAGGGTGTCAGCAAATTAAAGAAGAAAAATTAATATCATAGGTACTTAAAATGCAATAACACAATTTACTATTACTTACCATTCCTGGTTAAATAGAAATAGAATAGATTGGAATTGCTAAAATATAATGTAGAAACAATAACAAATATTATCTCGAGCAGTGAAACAATGGAACAATTTAATTTAAAATTAAGGACTAGCAGAAACTCCCGCTATCATTGTTGGTACTTAGTACTATCTCAGTTAGACCAAAGTCTAGAAAATAAAATAAGAGCTGGTAAAGCTACTGTAAGAGAAAATAAGATTTAAAACATAATAAAATTATTTTTTCTTAATGCTATGTTAGATGTCTACAACATCTAAAAATTCTAAAAAATTGATAACATTTCTTTAAAAAATGTCTTCGATCTGAGGATAAGTATAAAACTGTTCTTTTCCTTCTTTCTTTTTTGTTTTGTTCTTTAGCAAAGTACCATGAATGGTAATGGAGAAAAAAAAATCCCTTTCATAATGACAAAAAAGTTGATCAAAATCAGGTGTGTAAATTTAACAAAATAATCACATGATCTACAAAAAGAAAATCATAAAACATCATTAAATATACAAAAAATTTGGGAAAAGATCATTTCTCTCTAAATGAATGTATAAATTAAATGCAATTTCATTTACAATAATAATGATAGTACTTTTTCATTTTGAAATAGATAAATTAATTTTAAAGTTTATATGAAGATACAAATTCCATTATTTATTTATTCCTTAATAAACTAGGGAAAAGAATGGTGATGCGGTATTGACTTGACAGATAATAGGATATACTATAAGGCCGCTATGACCAAGTCCACACGGTATTGTCAACAAGAACAGATGAATCTGTTAATAAAAGAAGACAGAGAGCCCAGAACCAGACCCCAGTTCTTCTGTGACAAAGTGCTATCTAGGCCTGTGGGGAGAAGGAGGGCAGAACCAGCTGGTTTTCCATCTGAATGGGAATAAAACGCACCCAGACTGTCCACTGTGCAAAATGAATGGAAACCCGTGCTGTAATACCACCCAGGAGGTCACTGTCGACTTCGAGCAAAGGAGATTCCTGAACCAAAACTGAGCCTAGAAGCCATCAACACATAAGTAGACCTGGCCTTATAAAATATGAAAGTGCTTCATGCTGACAGTTCTGTATTGATGGGGCTGTAGAAAAACATTTGTAAGAAAAGTGAGAGATAGAGAGTTAACATCTAGAGTGGAAAGGAGCAATTAAAATCAATTAACAGTCAAATAGTAGAAAAATGGACAAAGGCTATGAACAGATCATTCGTTGAACAAATACAAATTGCCAAAAAAAGATAAATAAAGGACAACTTTAAAATTCACTAATATTCAGGGAAAGCAACTAATGTAACAACGAAATATCTCTCTCTCTCCTTTTTTTTTTTTTTTTTTTTTTTTGCCGCCAAACAAGCAGAAAAAAATGAGAAAAAAACAAGGCTGTTGCCAGTGTGGATGGCGAATGTGAGTAAGGGGTACACTCAGTCGTTGCTGTGAGGGTCACAGAATTTTTAGACAGTAGTACCAGCATAGCAGTGCTAAAGCTGCCTTCCAACCTGGCAGTGTCACTTCTGGTGATCCACGCTGTGGCAGAGGCTGTAACACGGAAGGGCACACCCATGGCTGTGACCCGGAGTGTGGAACAGTCCAGCCGTAAGCAGGGATGGCTTGGCGCTCCACTGGGGGGATTCCCAGGACACATCACTACTGAGTGAGAATCCAAGATACAGAACGTGTACTCAGCATAGTCTTGTTTTTGTTAACAACATTCAAGAGAATATGCTTGTGCATGACTTCTTTAGGTGTAGCCAAGTGAGCATTCATATCATGGAAAGGGCACACCGTGACCACTCATATCGTGGGAAGAGCACACTATGAGCACTCAGATCATCAGAAGGACACACCATGAGCATTTGGATCAAGGGAAGGACATAGCATGAGTATTTGGATCACAGAAAGGACACACCATGAGCACTCAGATCATGTGAAGGGCACTCTATAAGCATTCAGAACACAGGAGGGGCACGCCATGAGCATTCACGTCATGGAAAGGGCATGCCATGAGCATTTGGATCACAGGAAGAGCACTCTATGAGCGTTCAGATCACAGGAAGTGCATGCTGTGAGCATTTGCATCATGGGAAGGGCATGATATCAGCACTCAGATCACAGGAAGAACATACTATGAGCACTCAAAGAATGGGATGGGTATGCTATGAACATTCAGATCATGGGAAGGGCATGTGCTATGAACATTCAGATCATGGGAAGGGCATGTGCTATGAACTTTCAGATCATGGGAAGGGCACACCATGAGCATCAGGATCATGGGAAGGGCACACCATGAACATCAGGATCATGGGAAGGGCATGCCATGAGTGCTGAGATCATAGCAAGGGCATGCTGATTAAAACGGGGTGCCCAGTGAATCCCTTTGAGCCCACTATGCTGTCTACACCAGCTTCTTACTATTCTAGTTTCATTTATCATGCCCCCTTTCCCCTACACACACTTCAAATATCAACATTTGGGAGTCAAATGATTGGTTTGGGGGCAGGGGCATGAGTGGAGAACATGGGAGTGAGCAGGAGGAGAGTCTAGCAAATGAGGGAGGGAGAGGAAGAGACTCGTGTCGGGAGAGTCAGGCACAGTTTAAGTTTTACATTTATGTGAAATTACACTTACATGTGGGTGCTCAAGTTTAATGTAAGAAATTCTTATTTGAATTAAAACCTATTTTGAATTAACATCAATGTAAGGACCATGTATCAAAATTTGTGGGGGGGGGTCACAGGAAAATACATAGTCTTAACTACACTTGTCAAAAAGCACGACACAGTGAACGTAACTCAACTCGCTTTCAGCATAAGAGGGTGAGAAATGTGAAGTAGATGAAAAAGTGTAATAGGAAGGTAATAGAAAATAAAGAACAGGAAAGACTTATGGGCTCGAATAGACTAACTGCACCCAGAACTGAGCCCATAACCAAAGATCTGCCACCCCAGAGGTTATCAGGACCAGAGTCACAAATAAGCTCTACCAGTTATTCAAAACAAAAAGCCCAAATTTGATTTTAGACAAGGTAATCCTGAGCATAGTAAAAGAATGGGCAACCCCTGACCACTGTCAGATGCTGGTGTGTTTGTAACACCCAAATAGGTGCAGCATCGGAAAAGAGCACTGTAGCACAACTCTGCTTATGAAGAGAGAGGCAACATTTCAAATAAAATATTAGCAAATTCAATCCAAGAATAAATGAAAACCTGCATCACCATCATGCAGGCCATGTAAATATGGCACTGCGTTGGAAATCTACCAGTGTAGCTCACACAATAATGAAGTGAAGTGGAAGCCCTGTGGCCTCCTCTGCCGATGCTGGGAAGGTATTGAGTAAAGCTGGAACCCACAAGCCTCATTAAAATTCTTGGGAAATTACAAATAAGATTTTCAAATTTCTAACTGAAGTTGTCTAGCAGAAATTCCTAGTAGACACAGTATGTGAGGAAAAACATCAGAATCATGCCCTTTATCTAGGAACAGAGGCAGATGCTGCTCTCACCATGGCTTTTTTAAATGTTACTCACTAAAGCAGTATTTTATCTACACAAAATAGAGTCAGAATAAAACAAAGTTGTATATCAAGCCCAGTTTTTAATATGTTTAAAATAAAATATAGAAAAATATATTTATATATATATTATTATATATACCAGATAAGGAAGACCTGCTCAGTAAGATAACAATGTAGATGTCATAGAGAAGAAAAAAAATTGACGAAAATCGACCTAAATTTATGAATAATGGCACCGTAAACAAAATGAAAAGCCAAGCAATCATATAGAGTGAAGGACCAAGGCTCACTCCTTGTCCACCTTTTTCGCCTTTGAAACCTGTTTGCAGCAAAGATCTAACAAAGCTCACGTCCAAAGTTATTTGGATCTAAGTATTCCGGGCAGCTATTCTCATTTTGGCTCAAGTAAACTCTTTAAAATGTATTTTGTGCCTCAGCTTCTTGCTTTAGGTCAACAAAAGAGACACAGATACAGGTTTTAAAGCCAATAATGTAAAATTCAAGATTTTCTTCTTTACCGCATTGGAAAATAATAGGAATTATGTAAGATTAATTGTTGCTGAAAAATAATCAATTAGAAAATACAATTCGCCATCTCATTGCTGCAGAGAAATTTGGGAGTACCTATTAAAATTCCAACATGAGGAGGATTTTTTGTGACGGATCATGGCGGACAAGAGGCAGGACTAGGTTTCAGCTCTCACTTGGACAAACAGAGCAGTGTGTGGAGGTTCACGTCGTGAACTTTTGCTCCAGAACGACGGCAGGAATACATTAGGAAAGCCAAGAGAAACCGCAGACCCTCTGAAGAAAGCGGATGGCTCCTGCAGGACTCGGGAGACACCCCAAATACTGTGAGTGCCCAAACTGAGGAAGTGGGAGAGATCGTCCACCCTGAACATGCACCCCCACTGCGGAACCTGAAGGTCTAGATTACGGGAGAAGATTCTGACTTTACCCGGAGCTGAGTCCATTTAGAGAGCCGAGTGGAATACAAGAGTAGAGGAAGCAGCCAGAAAAGCCCTGTGGGATCTCTGGGTCCCCTAGGAAGCCATTTCCACCTTGCCTCACAGGGGTCCTTCAGGAGGGCTGCCAGAGGCACCTGTAAAAGGCCACAGGGAGAAGGAAACTGCCAGCTGAACTTTGTAACAATTTGAACTTGGTGGCTAGATCCAGAAGAGAGATAACAATAACTACACCTTAGCTCTCAGGAAGCCACATCCCTAGGAAACAGGGAGAGTACTAATCACGTCCAGGGAACACCCCCTGGGGCGAAAGAATCTGAACAACAGGCTAGAGCCCTAGACCTTCCCTCTGACAGAGACTACCCAAATGAGAAGGAACCAGAAAACCAACTCTGGTAATATAACAAAATAAGGCTCTTTAACACCCCCTAAAATCACACTAGCTCACTGGCAATGGATCCAAACCAAGGAGAAATCCCTGATTTACCTGAAAAAGAATTCAGAAGGTTAATTATTAAGCTAATCAGGAAGGCACCAGAGAAAGGCAAAGCCCAATGTAAGGAAATCAGAAAAATGATACAAGAAGTGAAGGGAGAAATATTCAAGGAAATAGATATCACAAATAAAAAACAATCAAAACTTCAGGAAACATTGGACACACTCAGAGAAATTCAAAATGTACTGGAAAGTCTCAGCAATAGAATCAAACAAGCAAAAGAAAACTTCAGAGCTCAAAGACAAGGTCTTCAGATTAACCCAATCCAACAAAGACAAAGAAAAAAGAATAAGAAAATATGAAGATAGCCTCCAAGATGTCTGGGATTATGTCTAATGACCAAACCTAGGAATAATTAGCATTCCTGAGGAAGAAGAGAAATCTAAAAGTTTGGAAAGTTTATTTTGGGGAATAATCGAGGAAAACCTCCCTGGCCTTGCTGGAGACCTAGACACCAAATACAAGAGGCTCAAAGAACACCTGGAGAATTCATTGCTAAAAGATCATTGCCCAGGCACATTGTCATCAGGTTACCTAAAGTTAAGATGATGAAAAGAATCTTAAGAGCTGTGAAACAAAAACACCAGGTAACCTATAAAGTAAAAACCTATCAGATTAACAGCAGATTTCTCAGCAGAAACCCTACAAGCTAGAAGGGATTGGGACCCATCTTCAGCCTCCTCAGACAAAACAATTATCCACCAAAAATGTGGTATCCAGCAAAGCTAAGCTTCATAAATGAAGGAAAGATAACAATCTTTCCCAGACAAACAAATGATGAGAAAATTCACCCCTACCAAGGCAGCACTACAAGAACTGCTAAAAGGAGCTCTAAATCTTGAAACAAATCCTGGAAACACATCAAAACACAACCTCTTTAAAGCATAAATCTCACAGGACCTATACAACAAAAATACAATTAAAAAAACCAGCAAAATCACAAAAACCCAAGGGGTACAGGCAACAAATAGCACAATGAATGGAATGATACCTCACATCTCAGTACTAACATTGAATGTAAATGGTCTAAATGCTCCACCTAAAAGATACAGAATTGCAGAATGCATAAGAATTCACCAACCATCTGCTGCCTTCAAGAGACATGCCTAACACATAAGGACTCACATAAACTTAAGGTAAAGGGGTAGAAGAAGGCATTCCATGCAAATGGACACCAAAAGCGAGCAGTGTAGCTATTCTTATATCAGACAAAATAAACTTTAAAGCAACAGTGGTTAAAAAAGACAAAGAGGGTCATTATATAATGATAAAAGGCCTTGTCCAACAGGAAAATATCACAATCCTAAATAAATGTGCACCTAACACTGGAGTTCCCAAATTTATAAAACAATTACTAACAGAACTGAGAAATGAGATAGACAGCAACACAGTAATAGTGGGGGACTGCAACACTCCACTGACAGCACTAGACAGGTCATCAAGACAGAAAGTCAACAAAGAAACTGTGGATTTAAACTATACCCTGGAACAAATGGACTTAACAGGTATTTACAGAACATTCTACCCAACAACTGCAGAATACACATTCTATTCAACAGCACATGGAGCTTTCTCTGAGATAGACCATATGATAGGTCTCAAAATAAGCCTCAATAAATTTAAGAAAATTGAAATTATATCAAGCACTCTCTCAGACCACAGTGAAATAAAACTGGAAATCAACTCCAAAAGGAACCTTCAAAATCATGCAAATACATGGAAATTAAATAATCTGCTCCTGAATGACACTGGGTTAAAAATGAAATCAAGATGGAAATTAAAAAATTCTTCGGGGCCAGGCACAGTGGCTCATGCCTGTAATCCCAGCGCTTTGGGAGGCTGAGCTGGTGGATCACCTGAGACCAGGAATTCAAGACCAGTCTGGCCAACATGGTGAAACCCAATCTCTACTAAAAATACAAAAGATTAGCTGGGCATGGTGGTGGATGCCTATAATCCCAGCTACTCGGGATCCTGAGGGAGGAGAATCACTTGAACCCAGGAGGCAGAGGTTGCAATCAGCCGAGATTGTGCCACTACACTCCAGCCTGGGCAACAAGAGCGAAACTCCATCTCAAAAAAAAAAAAATTCTTTGAACTGAATGACAATAATGACACAACCTATCGAAACCTCTAGGATACAGCAAAGGCGGTGCTAAGAGGAAAGTTCATAGCCCTAAATGCCTACATAAAAAATCTGAAAGAGCACAAACTGACAATCTAAGGTTACACCTTAAGGAATTAGAGAAACAAGAACAAACCAAACCCAAACCCAGCAGAAGAAAGGAAATAACCAAGATCAGAGCAGAACTAAATGAAATTGAAACAACAACAAAAAAAATACAAAAGATAAATGAAACAAAAACCTGGTTCTTTGAAAAGATAAATAAAATTGATAGACCATTAGCAAGGTTAACCAAGAAAAGAAGAGAAAATCCAAATAAGCTCAATTAGAAGCAAAATGGGAGATATTACAACTGACACCACTGAAATACAAAAGATCATTCATGGCTACTATGAACAGCTTTATGCACATCAACTGGGAAACCTAGAGATGGATAAATTCCTGGAAAGATATAACCCTCCTAGCTTAAGTCAGGAAGAATTAGACACCCTGAACAATAACAAGCAGTAAGATTGAAATGGTAATATAAAAATTACCAACAAAAAAAGTCAAGAACCAGACAGATTCACAGAAGAATTCTGCCAGACATTCAAAGAAGAATTGTTACCAATCCTATTGACACTACTCCACAAGATAGAGAAACAGGCAACCCTTCCTAAATCATTCTGTAAGGCCAGTATCACCCTAATAGTAAAACCAGAAGAGGACATAACCAAAAAAGAAAACTACGGACCAATAACCCTGATGAACATAGATGCTAAAATCCTTAACAAAATACTAGCTAACCAAATCCAATGCATATCAAAAAGATAATCCACCATGATCAGGTGGGTTTCATACCAGGGATGCAGGGATGGCTTAACATACACAAGTCAATAAATGTGATACACCATGTAAGCAGAATCAAAAGCAGAAATCACATGATCGTCTCGATAGATGCATAAAAAGCATTCAAAAAGATCCAGCATCCTTTTATGATCAAAACTCAGCAAAATTGGCATACAAGGGAAATAGCTCAATGTATTAAAAGCCATCTATGACAAACCCACAGCCAACATAATTCTGAATGGGGAAAAGTTGAAAGCATTCCCTCTGAGAATGGGAACAAGACAAGGATGCCTACTCTCACCACTCCTCTTCAACATAGTACTCGAAATCCTAGCCAGAGGAATCAGACAAAAGAAATAAAGGGCATCCAAATCGGCGAAGAGGAAGTCAAACTGTTGCTGTTTGCTAATGATATGATTGTTTACCTAGAAAACCCTAAAGACTCCTCCAGAAAGCTCCTAGAACTGATCAAATAATTCAGAAAAATTTCTGGATACAAAATTAATGTACAGAAATCAGTAGCTCTTCTATACGCCAACAGCAACCAAGCTGAGAATCAAATCAAGAACTCAACCCCTTCTACAATAGCTGAAAAAAATAAAATACTTAGAAATATACCTAACCAAGGAGATGAAAGACCTCTACAAGGAAAACTACAAAACACTGCTGAAAAAAACCACAGACAACACAAACAAATGGGACACAACCCATGCACATGGATGGGTAGAGTCAATATTGTGAAAACAACCATACTGCTGAAAGCAATCTACAAATTCAACACAATTCCCATCAAAATACCACCATCATTCTTCATCAAATTAGAAAACAAAATCCTAAAATTCGTATGGAACCAAAAAAGAGCCTGCATAGCCAAAGCAAGACTAAGCAGAAAGAACAAATCTGGAGGCATCACATTACCTGATTTCAAACTATACTATAAGGCCATAGTCACCAAAACAGCATAGTACTGGTACAAAAATAAGCACATAGACCAATGGAATAGAATAGAGAACCCAGAAATAAACCCAAATACTTACAGCCAATTGATCTTCGACAATGCAAACAAAAACATAAAGTGGGCAAAGGACACCCTATTCAACAAATGATGCTGCGATAATTGGCAAGCCATGTGTAGGAGAATGAAACTAGATCCTCATCTCTCACCTTATACAAAAACAACTCAAGATGGATCAAGGACTTAAGTCTAAGACCTGAAACCATAAAAACTCTAGAAGATAACATTGGAAAAATTCTTCTTGCTATTGGCTCAGGCAAGGATTTAATGACCAAGAACACAAAAGCAAATTCAATAAAAAGAAAGATAAATAGTTGGGACTTAATTAAACTAAAGAGCTTTTGCACAGCAAAAGGAACAGTCAGTAGAGTAAACAGACAACTCACAGAGTGGGAGAAAATCTTCACAATCCACACATCTGACAAAGGATTAATATCCAGAATCTACAACAAACTCAAACAAATCAGTAAGAAAAACCAAACAATCCCATCAAAAAGTGGGCTAAGGACATGAATAGAGAATTCTCAAAAGAAGATACACACATGGCCAACAAACATATGAAAAAATGCTCATCACTAATGATCAGGGAAATGCAAATCAAAACACAACACATTAGCACCTTACTCTGGCAAGAATGGCCATAATAAAAAAAATCAACGAATAATAGATGTTGGTGTGGATATGGTGAAAAGGGAACAACACTTCTACCCTGCTGGTAGGAATGTAAATTAGTACAACCACTGTGGAAAAACACCGTGGAGATTCCTTAAAGAACTAAAAGTAGAACTACTATTTGATCCAGCGATCCCATTCCTGGGTATCTACCCAGAGGAAAAGAAGTCATTATACGAAAAATGCATTGGCACATCCGTGTTTATAGCCGCACAATTCACAATTGCCAAACTGTGGAAGCAACCCAAATGCCCATCAATCAATGAGTGGATAAAGAAACTGTGATTTTTTATATACGATGGAATACTACTCAGCCATAAAAAGGAGTGAATTAATGGCATTTGCAGAGACCTGGTTGAGATTGGAGACTATTATTCTAAGTGAAGTAACTCAAGAATTGAAAACCAAACATTTTATGTTCTCACTCATAAGTGACACCTCAGCTATGGGGATGTAAAGGCGTAAGAATGACACAGTGGACTTTGGGGACTCAGGGGGAAAGGGTGGGAAGGGAGTGAGAGATAAAAAGCTACAAATTGTGTTCAGTGTATACTGCTTGGGTGATGGGTGCACCGAAATCTCACAAATCACCACTAAAGAACTTACTCATGTAACCAAACACCACCTGTTCTCAATAACTTATGGAAATAAAAAATTCCAACATGAACATAATTCATAACCCACTAACTCCACTTTGTAATATGTACCTAGAGATACACATTGGTGTGCATGAGGAGGCTTGCATAGCTTTGAGGTTGTCGATACATTCATAGCTACATATTTTCTGCAGTGGATGGGGGGTTTGCAGCACCCAGTGGAACATCATCGGGCTGCCTGCACCCCCACTTAGCCGAGACCAGAAGGAGCAAGGTCATGAAGAAAAGCCCAGTCCTAAAATAGAGGATGCTGCAAAGCTCTCACAGCTCCCTGGGCTGAGTGATCAGTAGTCAGAGACTCAAAACACTTTAATTTATAGTCTCGTGTAGTTGCTGGAAACATGTTTCTCTTAGGAAAACTGAATAAACATAGATATGATAAATTGTGTGGATCATTTTCTGTTTTGCTTTGGGATTCAAAAGTCCCAACTTGCTCCAAGCTCACTAAGAACTTCCACCCTCTCACTCCACCGTAAATACTCAGAGACCAAACTGGATGCTTTGAGTGTAAAGGACATCAAACATTTAAAAGCACTGATTTATGATGTGTCATCTATTGGGTTTATGGAGCTACTCCTAGAGTATACGGTATATTTTTCATCTCACTGGAGTGACTGTTAGCTCAATCACTCAACTACTGAAGGCTGCCCTGGGGATGGACAGGATCTGAATAATTGATGGACACTCTTAACTGCAAGCCAGGAGGTTCATGCCTGACACCAAGAGCCCTGGAAAGTGCCCTGGAGACCCACCCTGGGGCCTCTCCCACGTTCTCACCCACGGGCACGCAGGTGTCCTCCCTGCCAGATGTGGTCTTGCCTTTTATTTTTAAAATTGTTTACAAATAATTTTATTGTTATTTTTCTCTAAGTACAAAGATAATATATGCTCAATAATGAACATTTTGAAATAAGAAAAGTGACAAGTACAATATCATCTAAAATTTTACTAAGCTGGGCAACATTTTACCATTTCCATAATATCACTGTATAACATGATTGTCTAAAGTTGCTTGTGTTTCTCATGCTCATAGCCTGTGATCAACGTTTAAAGTTTTTCAGTATTTTGGTGATATAAACAATCGTGACAAACTAATATATTCACCCACTTTTAAGGGCAGTTTGGACATTGTCCCTAGGGAAGATTCTTGTGGTGCTGTGAATGGGCCTGATTTCATTTCATACCTTATGTCACATCGTGTCCCGAATGTATTCACCAGTTTACTTTTGCACAGCAATGCATGGATGCAAATGATTTCTCAATACCCTCAACAACACTAAATTAAAATTTCATAATTTCTTTCCAGTCTGTATGTTTAAAAACAGCATCTTGCTGTTCATTTATCTTTCATTGATATCTGTGTGTGTGTGTGTGTGTGTGTGTTTACCTACACACACGTATTTGGGTTTTCTTGTAATTTTCTTGTTCACATCGGGTGTTTATTCCATTGGGTGTTTATTTTTTTCTCATTGCTTTATAAGAGCTCTTTATAGAATGAAGATAACAATTCCTTGTGATTCCATATTTTCAAGTCGTCCCCTGAGGGTTTGCCTCTTGTCTGTGCCCTGAGTTTGTGTCCAGGGACCTTAGCGCAGAGCCCTGAGGTCTGGAGTCAGCTCCTCAGCTCCTGGGAACAAGCCCTGCAGGCTCCCCGCCTGAGATGGTCCAGCCCCTCCCCGCCTGCTGCCCGCAGCACCTGCCCCAGCCTCTCTGCCTTCAGGGTCCCACAAGCATGTGCTCCGTGTGGAAGGGAAGTGCTGTCAACCCCAGTCCTGCCCCACGAAAGACAGGCTGGCCCAGAAGAGCCAGAAGAGAAAGTTGAAATAGGGCAGAGAGACGGTACCTGGGGTGACCGGGCTCACTCTAACTGAGCCCTAAAAAGAAAGGAGGACACTGGAGAGTGACATGGCTGATGAGAGCACCCGCCTTTCCCTTGAGATCCAGTAGGGAGCCCCGAAGGAGCCAGTGCCCGGACCCCCCGGAACCTCTGCGGGGGTCTCCACGGGCATCACAGTATCCTGCTCCTCGCCACGGCCCCCCCTGCCCTCGTCCAATACACTCCTGAGTTACACAGGGTCCGCATGTCAGCAGAAGGATCCTGGAGCAGCTGTGTGCATGTGAGGTGTGTGCAGGTGTGTGTGTGGGTCTGTGTGTCATGAGCATGTATAGGTGCGTGTGCCTGTGTGCACGTGTGTGTATGGGTGTGGGTGGGTGTGCGTGTGTGTGCACAAGGGCGTGCACACAGGTGTACGGGCGGTCACGGTCACCTGTGCCTGTGAGTGTGTGCATGCCTGTGGGTATATTTATGCCCGGTGGGGCAGGGGGCCCTGGGGCCCAACTCACTTTTGCTTTTCACTCCCACTCGGGTTCTTCTGAGGAGACTTTTCTTAGGACGAAAGGCCAATTCCTCCCCTGAGGCAGGTGGAAGTCCAGTTTCCCCAGGGCCAGCCTACCCAGGCGGCACCATAGCCACAGTGCCTAGGGCCACAGGAGCAAGTGTGGTCACAAAATCTTTAACTTGCTTTAAAATCAGAAGAAAATAATAAACATTTAGGCCAAAGAACGTTTGAACCCACATTAATATATTTATCTTTATACGAACGCAGCCATCCACATAACTGAGTATTGTGGGTGGAGGAAGGAGCCTCTGGGGGCGGGTGTGTGGGGCTCACCACAACCATCACGTGACCCTGGATACCAGCAGAACGTGCCCAGGATGATGCCCTGGCCAGAGGCCCCCCAACCTCCCCCACGGTGTGTGTGGCCCTGAAGGGCTGGGCTTTTCCTGGGGTCCTTGTCTGGCCTCAGGGCTACCCGTGTCCTTCCCACCCAGATGGTGGCCCCCAACTGTCCCACCTGTCTGGACAAACATAAATTACCCCAATAGCAGCCGCAGACTTGCAAGAACAATCCCTCCTTCTTCCAAGGCTGCTTTTCACCAGCTCTTGCCCAAACCAGCGAAACTCCAGGAGATCCCCAAAGGTGGAGCCCCCACGCACAGTGATTCTCTCAGTGCAGCTCCAGGGGAGCCCAAAGGTGGAGCCCCCACCCCACTACACAGTGGTTCTCTCAGTGCAGCTCCAGGGGAGCCCAACCTCCACACAGAGTAGTTCTCTCAGTGCAGCTCCCTACCCAACGTGCTCCCTCCCTGCTGAGCTTCCCTAATCACCCCACATCCCTCTCAGAGGTCTACGCTTCCAGCAACACAGCAATAACAATACACGTTCATTGAATTCCTTCTCTGAGCCTGGTTTTGCAAATTCGATCTCATTTCATTCTAATTGCTACATTATTAGGTGGGAAATATACTCTTTTTATGGACAACAAACCTATATACATGCAGCTAATAAGTTACAAGGCCAGCCTGGGAAATATACTCTTTTTATGGACAACAAACCTATATACACGCAGATAATAAGTTACAAGGCAAGCCTGGAACCCAAGACCTGATAGATAATAGGTGCCCATCTCCACTGCTTCTCCAGGCTGCATAACTCAGTCATTTTTTTGCACAGATTCTGCTGGGGAGCCACTTAGCTGGGAACGAGGGCCTCTGCTTGGCAGACTGTTCATTGCTGAAGATACAGGTACTTCTGCAAGATCTAACAGCTCTAATGTTAACAGATGAGAACTTTGGGGTCCTGAGTGGTGAAGAATAACACTAGGGCCAGGCACAGTGGCTCATACCTGTAATCCCAGCACTTTGGGATGCCAAGGTGGGCAGATCACTTGAGTTCAGGAGTTTGAGACCAGCCTGGCCAACACGATGAAACCCCATCTCTATTAAAAATAGAAAAATTAGCCAGGCATGGTGGCGCATGCCTGTAGTCCCAGCTACTCAGGATGCTGAGGCAGGAGAATCGCTTATATCCGGGAGGCGGAGGTTGCAGTGAGCTGAGATTGCGCCACTACACTCCAGCCTGGGCAAGACTCCAGCTCAAAAAAAAAAAAAAAGAAAGAAAGAATCCCAGGTTAGAGGTACATGCAGCAGGGAACACATGCAGGGGGCCGCCCTGGTGAGGGGGCTCTGCAGAGAAGAGCAAGGGGCCCCCTGTCTCCCAGGGTCTGAGCCCCAGCGTGTGAGAGAGAGAGACCTCCTCCCAGGGACAGAGGCTGGACCTGGCTGAAATTCAGTTTCTATGATTGACACAGTCTTTATGGTGCTCCTTTTCCACCTTTCCCCCAATATTATTCCTTTTGGGATATTTTGTTTAGATGTCTTGATTTTGCCCACTGGGACCTCCTCTGCAGATGCCCAGAATTTTGTAACTGCTGGTTTATGTAACTGTCCTGCCCACCTTCCAGGGACCAGCCTGTCTTCCTTTTCAGCCTGCCTAGCACACAGCACAGCATGGCACAGAATAACTGCCAGTGAAGTTTTATTGAATGAATGTTAGAGAGGACATGAGATCGAAACCATCTGTGCTCTTAAGTAGAAAATGTCCCTTGTTGGCTGAGCACGGTGGCTCACACCTGTAATCCCAGCACTTTGAGAGGCCAAGGCAGGCGGATCCCAAGGTCAGGAGTTCGAGACCAGCCTGGCCAACATGGTGACACCCCGTCTCTACTAAAAATACAAAAATTAGCCGGGTGTGGTGGCACCTGCCTGTAGTCCCAGCTACTAGGGAGGCTGAGGCAGAAGTATTGCTTGAACCCGGGAGGCGGAGGTTGCAGTGAGCCGAGATTGCACCACTGCACTCCAGCCTGGGCGACTGGGTGAGACCCTGTCTTAAAAAAAAAAAAAGAAAATGTCCCTTGTTAACTTCAAGGCTGGTTTCCAGAGAGAAATAAAATTAAAAATCTACCTATATTGTCTCTTTCTTTTCTGGTAAGAGTGAACATTTGTGCAATATTAATGGAGAGTAATTCTGCAATATTTATCAAAATTCCACAGGCACCTCCACCGTGACTTAGCAATCTTACCCCTGGATCTATCAGGTGTGCACATGGGCACAAAGATTGAGGGCCAAGTGTGCTCTTTGCTTCATTATTTGTGACAGCATAAAAACAGCAATGAAGCAGAAGGCAACTCATGCTCATTAATAGGGAAAGTGGTTAGATAGATTATAATGCACACACAAATGGAATACTAAGTTGTAAACAATTACATTTCTGTTCACTTAATGTTAAGCAGACATGTATAAGAACTATTGCTAAGTGGTCCTTACCAGGCACTGAGCATGCACATGATGTGACACAGAGGATGAGAAAAAGTGCAGGTACACATGGGATAATAGGCTCTATTTACACACGTGCCCACAAACTAATATGCTATAAACACACGTGCCCACACAGTATCTTATATGCCATATACACACATGTCCACACACTATCTTATATGCCATATACACACATGTCCACAAACTGTCTTATATGCCATATACACATGTGCCCACAAACTGTCTTATATGCTATAAACACATGTGCCCACACAGCATGTTATATGCCATATACACACATGTCCACACACTATCTTATATGCCATATACACACATGTCCACAAACTGTCTTATATGCCATATACACATGTGCCCACAAACTGTCTTATATACTATATACACACATGTCCGCATATTATCTTATATACTATATACACATGTGTCCACACACTGTCTTATATGCTATATACACACGTGCCCACACACTATCTTATATCCTATATACACATGTGCCCACACAGTATCTTATATGCCATATACATATGTGCCCACACACTATATTATATCCTATATACACACGTGTCCACACGCTATCTTATATACCATATACACACGTGCCTGCACACTATCTTATGTGCCATAAACGCACGTGCCCACAATCTCATATGCCATATAAACACGTTCCCACACACTGTCTTATATGCCATATACACACGTGCCCACACACTATCTTATATGCCATATACACACGTGCCCACACACTATCTTATATGCCATATACACACGTGCCCACACACTATCTTATGTGCCATATACACACGTGCCCACACACTATCTTATATGCCATATACACACGTGCCCACCCGAGATCATATATGCTAATACACATGCCCACACATAATCCTATATGCTATATACACGACCACACAATATCATACATGCTATATACACACGAGCCCACCTGTGATGTGCCAATACATGTGCCCACACATAATCCTATATGCTATATACTTGTGACCACACAGTATCATACATGCTATGTACACATCTGCCCACACACTATCATATATGCTATATATGCATGTGCCCACAGTATCATACATGCTATGTACACATCTGCCCACACACTATCATACATGCTACATATATGTGTACCCACAGTATCATACATGCTATGTACACATCTGCCCACACACGATCATACATGCTATATATGTGTACCCACAGTATCATACATGCTATGTACACATCTGCCCACACACGATCATACATGCTATATATGTGTACCCACAGTATCATACATGCTATGTACACATCTGCCCACACGCGATCATACATGCTATATATATGTGTACCCACAGTATCATACATGCTATGTACACATCTGCCCACACACTATCATGCATGCTATATATATGTGTACCCACAGTATCATACATGCTATGTACACATCTGCCCACACTATCATACATGCTATATATGTGTACCCACAGTATCATACATGCTATGTACACATCTGCCCACACACTATCATACATGCTACATATATGTGTACCCACAGTATCATACATGCTATGTACACATCTGCCCACACACTATCATACATGCTATATATATGTGTACCCACAGTATCATACATGCTATGTACACATCTGCCCACACTATCATACATGCTATATATGTGTACCCACAGTATCATACATGCTATGTACACATCTGCCCACACACTATCATACATGCTACATATATGTGTACCCACAGTATCATACATGCTGTGTACACATCTGCCCACACACTATCATGCATGCTACATATATGTGTACCCACAGTATCATACATGCTATGTACACATCTGCCCACACACTATCATACATGCTACATATATGTGTACCCACAGTATCATACATGCTATGTACACATGTGCCCACACACTATCATACATGCTATATATATATGTGTACCCACAGTATCATACATGCTATGTACACATCTGCCCACACACTATCATACATGCTACATATATGTGTACCCAGAGTATCATACATGCTATGTACACATCTGCCCACACACTATCATACATGCTATATATATGTGTACCCACAGTATCATACATGCTATGTACACATCTGCCCACACACTATCATGCATGCTATATATATATGTACCCACAGTATCATACATGCTATGTACACATCTGCCCACACACTATCATACATGCTATATATATGTGTACCCACAGTATCATACATGCTATATATATGTGTACCCACACTATCATACATGCTATATATACGTGTACCCAGGGAATTTCCAGTGAGATGCACCAGATATTCACAACTGCTACCCCTGGGAATAGGACAAAGAAACAGACTTTCACATTTTGTTTTATACCATTCTGTTTGACGTTTTAAATAGCACTTAGTTTCATAACAAACATAGAAACGTTTTCTAAAACTTACTTGTATGGGAAAACATGGGTTTTGGTTCTCACAAGTCATCTGGCAGTCAGCCCCTCCCCCGAAGGCAGCTTTGCTGGTGCTCTGTGGTGTGAACGCGATGTCGTGGTCGATGTATTGTCCCCATGCCATCAGGAGGTCAGAATAGCGGTCATCATCTGTGACAACCTCATTTGAAACTTGAATGACATGTCTTGTCACCTCCCGGACCTGGGTAGGAAGAGACCATTGGTCAGGACATAGGAGGACCCTGTGGTAGCAGAAAGATGACCCTTTGGGATCATGCACTTCCTGGTGTGGTTCTTGTTCACAGAGCTCCAGGTGCCCCTAGGAGATCTGTGCCCTGGAGTTAGGGCAGGAGGAGCATAAGCTTTGAAGACAGATGCCCCTGGACTTGAATCCCTGCCTTGATTTGTGGTGGCTGGAGGGCCTGGCATTAACTTCCCTCAGCCCTCACTTCCTCATCTGTAAGTTAATATGGAAAGGTTGAGCTTTCAGTGTTGTTGTGGGGATTAAGTGAAGAGTCATTGACAAAACAGCCAGGCTTTAGGACAGTTGAGTTCATGACTCAGAGGGCAGAGCCTCCAGCCACAAGCGAGTACTCCTTGGCCTTGAAGCCTAAGGGAGTTGCTTGGCTGGATTTCAACGTGGGTTGGGAGGAGTGACTCCCCTTCCTTTCCATTCTCCACGCAGACATCTGTTGCTGTTATGTTTAACACCGTTCCGCCAGGGCATCTGGAGAGCAGACGACAAGCTTCCCTGTCTCACAGGCTAGGTCCAGATGGAGAGGAATTTTGTCCTGGATGGATCTTACCCTGAGCCTGCCCTACCTGATGTGGATGATTTATGTGGTGAGATTTGGATTGGATTTTGGGCCTAGAGTTGGTGCCGTCATGGGATGGGGTTTGGGGGAACCTTGGAATGGGGTGAGCATGTTAGGCATGTGGACTGGATATGAATCTTTGAGGGTCAGTGGGTCATCTGTGGAGGCAGAAAAATGCCTCTCGCACAACATCCATTCGCTAATCCTTGGAGCCTGCTGATGCGATTACATTAAGGGCCTTGAGATGGGAAGGTTGTCCTGGGTCTCCACGAGTGTCCAATCCAGTCACATGGGTCCTTAAAGTTGGAGGCCCTCTCCTGACGGGAGGTGGAGATGTGACTCCAAACAAAGGCACAGAGACAGACAACATTGCCGGCTTGGAAGGAGGTGCCATGAGCCAGGGGATGCAGGCACCTCCAGAAGCTGGAATTGCCAGGAAAGGGATCTCCCCTGGAGCTTCCAGAAAGAACCAGCTCTGCAACACCTTGATTTCAGCCAAGTGAGACATCAGACACTGATTGTGAAATTGGAAGATCACATTTATGTTGTTTTCAGCCACTAAATTTGGAGCAATTTGTCACAGCTGGGTAGAAAACCAACACAATTTCATTTAAAGACACTTGAACTCTGATTTTTCTCAATAGTGAAATAATTCTGAGCAAATATGGGTTTACAGAATCACAATCTCATAATACTGAGAGTTTAAAAAGCCTCGGGGGTTGAACTGGTCCACTGTTGAGCATAAGGTGGGTAAGACAGTCTTATCCCATTTTAGGGATTGTCCAACTGAGGCCAAGAAGGAAAGCGACTTGCAGGAAGCCAGTGGGAGCAGAGCGTGAGCCCAATTGCCTTGTCCCTGCTGCTGGGAGCACCGAGCCGTCTTCAGTGACACAGCCTCCAGCTCTACCCAGGGCTTCTCACGGCTTCTGGGAATACCAGGTCCTCTTACTAAAAGCCCGCCTAGGAAAATTGCCTAGGTAAAGTTGTTGGCTTTTGTAGGGGAACTCTGTGCTGGTGTATCTGTCCACAGCTGGTCTGAGTCAGACCTGAGTCCCACCACCTGCGCTCTTTGGGCTAAACAGAACATCCACTGATGTATTTCTAGATAATTTCATCACTGAACATGGCACAAGAGCAAACAGGCTGGCTTATTCATTGAAATGAGTAGTTAAATTACAGGCAAAATGACCCATTTTTTGACCAAATAGACCAGTAGATTCTACTAGGCTATGAGTGTCCAGCAAATAAATTCACCTCTGGGAGTAAAGCAGTCATCTTTACATCAACAAGTGGATTGCTGAACTCATAATCATCTTGGGATGTACCTAGCCCACATGATGGATAAAGGAATTTATCTGAAAACACTGAAGTGATTTTCAGGAACAGAAACGTTAGGGTTGAGAAAACTTAATTTAAATCTGCAGGGTTCCACTCACTAAGAGATTTCAATCTCCCTGAGCCTTGGCTCCTAAGCCATAGGGCAGAAACAGTGATTGCTACATCAAAGGGAGGCTGGGAGGATCTGAAGGGATTGCACGCAGCACCCAGCACGAGCAAGAACCCAGTAAAAGGCTATTTCCCTCCCTCAGCATCACAGGACCCAATCTTAGTCCAGGATAGTAGCGTTCTGAGTACCCACCGGGGGCAGTGGGAACCCGTTGTACAAGAAGCCGGGGTTCCAGCCTCGGGGCTGACTGAAGCCGTCCTCATAGACTGGAGGGAGCCATCGTGCCAGGGCCGTGTTGGAGGCGCCCCATCTGGGGTGGTCTCTGTGGAGACAAATGCAAGGATGTGTTTGAGATGGGGGAGAAGAACACAGAAGCAGTGAGTTCCAGATATAAGACACCATTCTCAGGGAGAATAAGTGGGGTCTCTCCGGAGGCCCAAGGGGCACAGCTCCCCAGAAGACCCGAAAGGCCTCCTGGAGGCCCAGGTCATGACTGGCTTCAAGGGAGCTCATTCCAGAGGCTTGGTTCCCACAGGCACCCTCTCCCGAGCTCAGCACATGCTGTCTGGAGGTGGCTGCCTGCAGGGTTCCTTCCCACTCCCCTGTTTTCCGAAGGAGGGTCTCCCACCCTTCTAGAATGTACCAGGGGCAGTTCTCTGGAGGACAGAAACTTCTGGTACTCCAAACAAAGAGATCATTTGAAATCCTGTGGCATAAAACATCCTTTAATCAAAGCACCATGAAGCCACCAGGGTGTCGCGCCTGTTCCTGCCCGTGTGATTGTCCAGGCGAACTTGTGGGAACTGAGGAAGTTGCTGGTTTTCTGATTTCAGAAGTGAGCGGGTTGTCAAAGGAACCATTAATAAATGAATTTGAATTAAAATAAAGTAAGTTAAAAATAAAGTTAAGTCTCTCCTGAGAGAGAGAGAGAGTCAGTTGTATTTGGCTGTTTGATTTGGCGATGACAATGGCTTCAGCCAATAGGCTAGATGGTGAAGTTTCCCATAAGTAGGCTGGTCTGCAGTTTTGTTCTATTGGTCAAAATATATTCTGACAAAAATGTATTTGAAGTGCATGATAAGGTAAAGGTGTGTTGAATATTTTGATTTCACACTTAGTTCCGAGTGTACTGTGTTAAGCAAGGTGCCCCTAAGTTGAAGGGGTGTAGGCACAATTAACAGTCACTTGATATGTCTCAGAGCATCTTCTAGAAACTGAGGAAATAAAAGACTAAAGATTGGTAACTAATCCTTTGTGCAAATGAGGTATTTTCCAATATTTTGTTTAGAAATTTGGAGGACAATGTTATTGAATTGATTGCTGATACATGAATAAAAATCATTTTAATGATAGCTCATTACATGTTCATTTTCTTCTATATCTCAGAAGGAGTTTTGAGGGCCAGATGGCATTCCTATGGCAAAACTGTTCCCAGCGACATAGTCACAGGAGCAGGTTTCTAGGCACCTTCCATCTGCAAAGGTAAAAATAATCACAGGGTTGCTGCTGAACTGTCTCATCTATAGTATGTAGGGCAACCGTATAATTCCTAACCAAAGTGGAATACTTTTGAGGAGACAGGAGCACTATTAGTTATTAATAATTTCCTGGGACAGAAGGCATAAATAGGAAGGATCTCGGGTAACCAGGGTGCATGGCCCCTTGGCCCACAGGTGATGTTCAGCCAACTGATGAAGGAACTAACTGGAACTCCACCCATCTCATCAATAAACTAATTCCAATAAATATTTATCTCTATGCATAATAATTACCAACATCTGTCATAGATCCGTGCTTATTAAATCAATTGTGTTCTAATAATGTGTAAAAAATAACTAAATCTTGAAGAAAACAATGAACACTGAGGCCCTTGTGCTCACTGAACATTTTCTAAATATGAAATTTAAATTTATAAAATACATAAAAAGTAACATGCAAAATAAAATACATATTCAAATATATAAATGCATGGTAAGACTATATGAATGTGAAGAATATATAAATGAATGTATCAAATATATAACATGAGCATACATATCTGTAGAGGATAGGTAAAGAAATATGTAAAACTTATTAAAAATAAAGGATTTCTCAAGTATAAAATATTCTACATTTGGAAGAAAATGGCTCAATTTATAAGGCATAAATTATTCTGCATTTGGAAGGAAATATGAGAGAATTAGAATATAAAAGTCAATTCAAAGAGAAAAAAATAGAAATTTTTTGTGGAAAAAAGTAGGTTCCTTTTGTTAAAAATAAATACAGATTGTTTTGGGTCTAACATTGTCATGATATCCGGGTTCCATTGGTATCTGTCAGTCACGCCCGTGTGGGAACAACCAGCACTGAGGTTCTGTGTGTGGCAGCTGCAGAGTCATGCAACACAACCAGGGCTGAGTCTGCAGAGTCTGAAGCTGCATCATGGACAACTGGTATTGGGAGGCTTTGCAAGGCACATGACAAAAGAGTCAGGCGTGACTAGGATGCAGGCTTTGAAAATCCTCCCATGTATCTGATATGTACACACTTAAAAAATACAAGGAGTGAAGTCTACAAGAATCGTGACAAGATAAATAACTTTTTAAAACATTTGGAGTGTTTGGGAATATAAATATTTAAAAATTAGTGGTTTTGTCATAAATTACCATCGCCTTTATGGTTATAACATACATTAGTCATTCGTATTAAATGTGACCGATTTAGATGTTCTGCACAGGAATGAAAGGACTAAGGTTCTACTAAGAACTGTTTGTAACCTGGGCAACATTTGTGAAGGAAAGATCCGTTTTGTCCTTGAGGTAGACTGAAGAGCTGAGACTCTTCCAGTTTAAAAGTCTCTAAGGCCACCACGCAGCTCCGTACATTAGAGGAGAGGAGCTTTTATTCTTACTGTTGTGCACCAGCTGCTACCTCATCCAGGACACATTGGATGATGAGTGGTCAGCAGCGGCAGGAGGCTTGGGGACATGGTTACTTCTCTATGTCTGCAGGGACCATAAGGGGAGAATAATTCTGTTATTAATACTTCATTAATCTCCAGCACACCAAAGTGGCTCAATTTGCAAAAATGTATGGGAGAGTAATGCATATAATCAGCTGCAATACGTCAGCAACTGAAGATTGGAAAGATTGCTTTAATAAAGTGTTCAGATTCGTTATGGTTGGTTTGTCTTTATTGAAATTCCATAAAGTATGGCTCATAGGGAGGTGTTAGATTACTCAATTAAAAATAATGTTAATTTAACTGCTTAAGCAGTGATTTTTTTTGCTGATTGACTTTTATATGTCAGCAGTTCACTAGGACATTACAATGGCTCAAGGGCACTCACAGACATTTGTTGTGGACCCTCCGCAAATGTGTCACCTGACCTTCACGGTCAGCAGGTCAGCAGGACTGAGAAGGGTCCCTCTGAGACTTTGATCAGCTCCTGTTGGAAAGATCCTTTCCCAGTGGAAATCTATTGTACCACACTGTTCCTTTCTTAGATCTGAATTAATGGCAGCATTGGAAAAAGGCTCATAAAGCTGACAAAATGAACAAAGAGAAACATTTCTGGAGGAGAGTTTTATGAGGGAGACTGAGGTCTGTGCTCCTGCTGAGGCTCCGAGTCACTCTGATTTCCCTGGGACCCTAGTTCCCCTCTCCCAGGCACCTGGCACTGGAGACTTTGTGATTTCTGAATTCCAAAAAGAAGAAATTCTAAACTTCCATCTTGAAGAGCGCTTGAGCATAAAGCTGTGGACTGAGGCCGCAAGACACAGGTCAATATGTTTGCCAGGTATGGCCATCCAGTAACAGCACATGGACACGCTGAGTGCCAGAGATGTGTGCCGCCCATGAAAAGAAGCAAACAGCAATGCAGTGTGAAATGCTGGGAGAGAAACTGTGGACGAAGTCAGCTTTCCACTCCTGTAACGGCACCTCTTTCTCAGCGGGGCAGCAGCGGGACACGGGATGCCCTCATCCTGCTGGGCCAGGTGTGCGAGGATTCATTTTGTCCCCAAAAACGCCTGACACCCTGTCAGGTGGCCAGAAGTATGAGGAAACTCAGCGGTGATTTTTCCCGTCTCCTGCTGGAGCTACTTGATTGAAGGCAATTAAGACCAGTCAGTTTGTGAGCTGGGATTATCACCAGCATGATCCCTGAGGGACATTTGAACCCTCAGAGGAAAACCCTTCAAAAGATGCAAATGCTTTCTATAATCGGCATGAGCTCAGCTTTTTCCAAAAACTTTGAAAATCTTGTTTATTCTGGCATTGTTTATACCCATCATATGTTCTGCGATTTCATAAGACACCAAGGTCAATTCCACCTCTTTTTTTCTTAAAGACTAATACATTTATTTGACGTCAAAGGTATTTTCTGTTTTTTTATCACTTCAAGTGTCAATATTGCTAAATGATATCTTAGTGCCATTGGTGGATTTACAAGTGCAACTTAAACTCTTAATAGACACACATTTGTTCTTTAGCAAACTGTTTTGAGCAATTGAACTTTCAATCTACAGGCACTTCTAAAAAGGAGACGATTGTGTCAAGGAGCTTCATTCCAGCAAAACTCCATCAGGTCTCTCCCTGCTGGATAATTTCATGAATTAGGTCAAAATGCAAATGAAAAACAAAGTGAGAGGGAAAAAAGGTGACTACGAATGTGAATTCAAGGCAAATACATAGAAAAAAAGAAAATAGCTGTCAGACATCAGATATGAGGTGTTTTTAACACAAAATATCTGGATGGGAGATGCAACATTGAATTTATACTTTTGATGATTTTTAGGCAAATGACTATAGAGAATGATATACCAAGTTACATATAGCAAATTCTATGTTAAACCCAGGTAGATCTTAAGGGTTCTTCCAATAACTTAAATACCCATATGGAATTTTCCTTTCAGACCTGATCGTCTCCCCCAGAATTGTTCATGGGCTTTAAGGCTGTATTGGACAGAACGTGAACTCCACGAAAGAGGCTTAGTGCAGAATGGCCGCTGGAGGAAGTTGGCTTTTTGATCCCTGGTGGGATCGCTTCCTGCAGCTCACAATGTCCATGCCACGTTCGTTCTCTGTGCATCCGGGAGGGAAGCACATTTGGGAAGCCGGGCGTCAGGGGAACCCAGTCCCGGCTTGAGTCTGTCCCGCCTGGATGGAAATTTCACCTGTGGCCTGGCTCCATTCATCATCGAGGGTGTGAGCTACCTCGAGGGCCAGGTCCTTTAGAGCTCACCACTCACTTGATGTTATTCCTGCACCGTGAACAAATGTGCTCTGATTCTGTGATGCCGTGATATTCCCACGTCAATCAATCTCCAGCCATTTACCTGCAGGAGCCTCCGACCACTGCTCTCGTGGAAAAACACACTGGGCTGTTTATGACATTCTGTGGTCAATGCCATGGCCAGGAGCCAAGAGGTCCGATGCCGAGGAGTGGCTGAGAGGTGACAGTCGCCGTAACTCTTACGATGGCCGGCTGTGGACAGCGTGCAAGGAGCCTGACAAGTGCTGCCTTTCAACCAGAAACAACCCTGCGAGGTGGGTGTTCTTCCCACATTACAGATGAGGAAGGGGATGGCTCTGAGGATGAAGAGAGTCACGGAAGTGACTCAGGCGGGGAAGGGAGCAGCCGACCCTCGGGTCGGGAGGGCTCGGCAGAGGCTCAGGGAAGAGGAAAGGAGGCGGACCTGACATCTGCGAGCCCAGCCGATGCGTGCAGGAGCTGCATGCAGGAGCTGCGTGGAGCACAGCGAGATGCAGACCACAGGCTCGGCTCCCACGCGAGGCCGGAGGAAGTCTATGAGTGTCCTTGTCTGGGAGTGGGTACTACACAAATGTGTGGATGCCGGCAGGGCACAACATGCAGTCTCCTGGAAACCTCTGGAGGCAGGAGCAGCCCCTGCCTCCAATCCCGGCTCCTCCCAGGCCAGGCAAGACCCCTGTGCTGTCAGGCAGGAGGGGCTGAAGCCGGCCTCTCTTCCTGCTGTACAGAATCCCGTGAGGCTTCTGCCACCTGCGCCCCAGTGCGAGCTGCCCCAACAAGGTGTTCTGATGTCTGCTGGGTCCCTGTGTCTTTTTCTCAGTAGGCTTAAAGAGAAATGTGGCTAATTGTTTAACTCAGGTTCTCTCCCTCTCTCTCATAATTGTATACATAATGGTAAGAGTCTAGCAGTCCTCGCCCACACACATGTGGCTACTCGATTCATGATATAGGCATGGGTGCAGTTCACTGGGTAAAGGATGGTTCTGAATAAATATCATATACACATGCTTTCACACACACATATCTATACATACATACACACACACCCCTCTATATAGACCTGTGTTTATTATAGATATATACACACACACATACAAATCTACCTATATATACATGCCTCTATATATACACAAACACTTATAGATATTGTCAGTGAAGAGTCAAGCTCTGTAAAATAGTTGAAGAGATTTATTCTGAGCCAGATATGAGTGACCAATGGCCAATGATTCAGCCCTCAGGAGATCCTGAGAACTTGTGTCCAAGGTGGTTGAGGCACAGCTTAGTTTCATATATTTTAGGGAGACACAAGACATCAATCAAATACATGTAAGATGTACACTGGTTCAGTACAAAAAGGCAGGACATCTGGAAGCGGGGGCTTCTAGGCCAAAGGTAGATTCAAAAATTTTCTGAGTGGCAATTTTTTGAAAGAGTAAAGTTATCGTCTAAGGACTTAAGACTGTCTGGGTTAAGACACAGGTTGTGGAGACCAAGGTTTCATCGTGCAGGTGAAGTCTCCAGGCAGCAGGCTTCTGAGAGAAGAGACTGTAAATGTTTCTTCTCAGAGTTAAGAAGTCTGTTCTAGCAGAAATTCCAAAAGGGAGGAGGGTGTCATGAGGCACGTCTGACCTCACTCTCCCCATCACGGTCAGATTAGTTTTTCAGGTTAGCTTTGGAACACCCTTGCCAACAGGAGGGGTCAATTCAGATGATCGCAAGACTTAGAATTTTATTTTTGGTTTACAATACACACACACACATACACACACACACACCCCTCATGGTTGCCACCTCGTATGTTGCAGAAAACATAAAATGAGATGGGTCACAGATCTAAATGTGACATGTAAAACAATAACATTTTCAGCAGAAAACACAAGAAAAATACCTTCACATTCTTCAGAGAAAGCAAGATTCTTAAACATAACAAAAAAGTTTTCTTTCCATGAAATAAGTAATTGATAAAGGGGACTTCATTAAAAATATGAACAACGTTTCTTCAAAAGACAGCATGGAGAGTGAAAAGGCCAATCTCAGCTGGGAGAAGACATTTGTAAAACATATTTCTCACTGAAGACATATTTAGAAAATATGAGCATCTATAAATCAAAAAAGATTCATTAAAAAATGGGAAAAATGTTTGAACTGGCACATCCCGAAAAAGAGTCTCCAAATGGCCAATGAATGTATTTTAAAAGTGCTCAAGACAATTAGTCACCAGGAAAATGTGAAGTTAAACCACAGGAAATGCCACCCTCCCCTCAAGAAGGGCCAAAATGAAAGGGATCACAGTGACGGGGATTGGTGAGGGCTGTGGGGCTCTTACACTTTGCTCCTGGGAATGCAGATTGGAGCAGCCACTTGGAAGCATTGACCAGTGCTCAGCAGAGAGGCGCCCATGCCTGCCCTGTAACGATGAGTGTCTCCCTCAGCAAGGCAGGAGCAAATAAATCCTGGAGGTGGAGAAGCCAGGCCCAGGGGTTACCATCTAACTTCCTTCCTATAAAAGCCAGGTCAGGGAAAACTAACTATGGTGATGAAGATCAAAGCAATGGTCACCTCTGGGTAGATGTCAAAACCTAGGAGGGGCCAGAAGGCAGCCCTCTGGGGTGTACAGTTCTCGATCTGCACCTGGGGGCTTCTCATCTGGGGGTGCAGGCCCATGGAAGACTCGGCCACCTGTCCCTCCAGATTCACCCCCAAGCCCTGCATAAGTCGTACCCCAATTTAATAGCAGGAATCCACTCATGGTCACTATGGCGATGGATTCTATCCACTGTGCCACTTATCCAACATGGTACCATATCCAACATGGTACCTCCTGCAGCAATGACGGGATCATACAAACAGGAAGGAGCCTGCCCCATTCCCTTCCAACACGGTGCCTCCTGCAGCAGTGACTGGATCATACAAACAGGAAGGAGCCTGCCCCATTCCCTTCCAACATGGTACCTCCTGCAGCAATGAGTGGTTCATACAAACAAGAAGGAGCCTACCCCATTCCCTTCCAACATGGTACCTCCTGCAGCAATGACTGGATCATACAAACAAGAAGGAGCCTGCCCATTCCCTTCCAACACGGTACCTCCTGCAGCAATGACTGGATCATACAAACAAGGAGCCTGCCCCATTCCCTTCCAACATGGTACCTCCTGCAGCAATGACTGGATCATACAAACAAGAAGGAGCCTGCCCCATTCCCTTCCAACATGGTACCTCCTGCAGCAATGACTGGATCATACAAACAAGAAGGAGCCTGCCCATTCCCTTCCAGCATGGTGCCTCCTGCAGCAATGACTGGATCATACAAACAAGAAGGAGCCTGCCCATTACCTTCCAACAGGGTACCTCCTGCAGCAATGACTGGATCATACAAACAAGAAGGAGCCTGCTCATTCCCTTCCAACACAGTGCCTCCTGCAGCAATGACTGGATCATACAAACAGGAAGGAGCCTGCCCATTCCCTTCCAACATGGTGCCTCCTGCAGCAGTGATTGGATCATACAAACAAGAAGGAGCCTGCCCATTCCCTTCCAACATGGTGACTCCTGCAGCAGTGACTGGATCATACAAACAGGAAGGAGCCTGCCCCATTTCCTTCCAACATGGTGCCTCCTGCAGCAATGACTGGATCATACAAACAAGAAGGAGCCTGCCCCATTCCCTTCCAACACAGTACCTCCTGCAGCAATGACTGCATCATACAAACAAGAAGGAGCCAGCTCCATTCCCTTCCAACATGGTACCTCCTGCAGCAATGACTGGATCATACAAACAAGAAGGAGCCTGCCCCATTCCCTTCCAACATGGTACCTCCTGCAGCAATGACTGGATCATACAAACAAGAAGGAGCCTGCCCATTCCCTTCCAGCATGGTGCCTCCTGCAGCAATGACTGGATCATACAAACAAGAAGGAGCCTGCCCATTACCTTCCAACAGGGTACCTCCTGCAGCAATGACTGGATCATACAAACAAGAAGGAGCCTGCTCATTCCCTTCCAACACAGTGCCTCCTGCAGCAATGACTGGATCATACAAACAGGAAGGAGCCTGCCCATTCCCTTCCAACATGGTGCCTCCTGCAGCAGTGATTGGATCATACAAACAAGAAGGAGCCTGCCCCATTCCCTTCCAACATGGTGACTCCTGCAGCAGTGACTGGATCATACAAACAGGAAGGAGCCTGCCCCATTTCCTTCCAACATGGTGCCTCCTGCAGCAATGACTGGATCATACAAACAAGAAGGAGCCTGCCCCATTCCCTTCCAACACAGTACCTCCTGCAGCAATGACTGCATCATACAAACAAGAAGGAGCCAGCTCCATTCCCTTCCAACATGGTACCTCCTGCAGCAATGACTGGATCATACAAACAAGAAGGAGCCAGCTCCATTCCCTTCCAACACGGTGCCTCCTGCAGCAGTGATTGGATCATACAAACAAGAACGAGCCTGCCCCGTTCCCTTCCAACATGGTACCTCCTGCAGCAATGACTGGATCATACAAACAAGAAGGCGCCTGCCCCATTCCCTTCCAACATGGTGCCTCCTGCAGCAATAACTGGATCATATAAACAAGAAGGAGCCTGCCCCATTCCCTTCCAACATGGTGCCTCCCGCAGCAGTGACTGGATCATACAAACAAGAAGGAGCCTGCCCCATTCCCTTCTAACATGGTGCCTCCCGCAGCAATGACTGGATCATACAAACAAGAAGGAGCCAGCTCCATTCCCTTCCAACATGGTGCCTCCTGCAGCAGTGATTGGATCATACAAACAAGAACGAGCCTGCCCCGTTCCCTTCCAACATGGTACCTCCTGCAGCAATGACTGGATCATACAAACAAGAAGGCGCCTGCCCCATTCCCTTCCAACATGGTGCCTCCTGCAGCAATAACTGGATCATATAAACAAGAAGGAGCCTGCCCCATTCCCTTCCAACATGGTGCCTCCCGCAGCAGTGACTGGATCATACAAACAAGAAGGAGCCTGCCCCATTCCCTTCCAACATGGTGCCTCCCGCAGCAATGACTGGATCATACAAACAAGAAGGAGCCAGCTCCATTCCCTTCCAACAAGGTGCCTCCTGCAGCAGTGACTGGATCATACAAACAAGAACGAGCCTGCCCCGTTCCCTTCCAACATGGTACCTCCTGCAGCAATGACTGGATCATACAAACAAGAAGGAGCCTGCCCTTTCCCTTCCAACATGGTGCCTCCTGCAGCAATGACTGGATCATACAAACAAGAAGGCCCCGGCCCCATTCCCTTCCAACATGTTGCCTCCTGCAACAATGACTGGATCATACAAACAAGAAGGAGCCTGCCCATTCCCTTCCAACACGGTGCCTCCTGCAACAATGACTGGATCATACAAACAAGAAGGAGCCTGCCCCATTCCCTTCCAACATGGTACCTTCTGCAGCAATGACTGGGTCATACAAACAAGAAGGAGCCTGCCCCACTCCCTTCCAACACGGTGCCTCCTGCAGCAATGACTGGATCATACAAACAAGAAGGAGCCTGCCCCATTCCCTTCAAACACGGTACCTCCTGCGGCATTGCCTACACCATACAACAAGAAGGAGCTGGCTCCATTCCCTTCCAACACTGTGAGACACAGTGGTTTACTGCAGTAGTTCATCAGATCAAAACTCAAGAAATAACACAATTTTTTGTTTGTTTGTTTTAGAGATGAGGTATTGCTTTGTTGCCCAGGCTGGTCTTGAGCTCCTGGGCTCAAGCGATCCCCCGACCTCAGCCTCCGAAAGTGCTGTCTTTACAGGCGTGAGCCAAAGTGCCCAGCAAGAAATAATGCAATTTTTCAAAGAAAAATCACACCTCTTCAAGAATCAAGACTCAGACTCTTTGAAGAAAGGGGCTTCAAAGGTGGCCATTATTTACATAATCAATCACTGACCTTTGTATCATTATTGCTCACAAATTATTTCTGCTGCATTGTCTCACTTCAGCCTCATGACAACCCTAGAAATGAGCATCACTATCTTTGCCAGTTTCCAGGTGCAGAGAATTTGAGAAACTAAGCAAGACATGAAGTCTAAGCAGCTTGTAACTGACAAAGTGGTGGCTGGAATTTCGTCTTCTATTTCAAAATACAATGTCCTTTCCATTATGCATGGGAATGTGAGCACTTTCTCAAGAACACACAGAGAAGTTCTTATCACATGTATCAATCTAAAACTGAAGGCAAATTCTATATGAAGTATCTAGGTGAATTCATCATATTTATCATATAATGAATACTGTCTTACAGTATATAATATATATTTGTATTTCTGCTTATGAATAATCATATGTAATACACTGTCTAACATTGCATGTGGTAAGATAGTCCATTGATTTAGACCACAGAGCAAACAGTGGCTCGTGGCCCCTTTGTTTTCTGGCTGTTGTGGCACACAGATCTCCACAATGACCCCACTGCCTCTGGAGGACTGTCCGTGAGTAATTCCACCCTGATTGCATCTATTTCCAGTAGCTGAGAGGCTTCATTTCTTCAGTAGCCCTCCCCTACTCCATCTGTATTAGTCTGTTTTCATGCTGCTGATAAAGACATACCTGAGTCTGAGAAGAAAAGGAGGTTTAATGGACTTACGATTCCACGTGGAGGCCTCACAATCATGGTGGAAGGCAAGGAGGAGCAGGTCATGTCTTACATGGATGGCGGCAGGCAGAAAGAGAGCTTGTGCAGGGGAACTTCCCCTTATAAAGCTGTCAAATCTCGTGAGACTTATTCACTATCACGAGAACATCACAAGAAAGACCTGCCCCCATGATTCAATTACCTCCCACCTGGTCCCTCCCACAACATGTGGGAATTCAAATGAGATTTGGGTGGGGACACAGCCAACTATATCACCATCCCGCCATGGAGCACTTGATTTTTAAAATAGAATTTGTCTTATCTCTAGGCTGATGCCAAGCTACACACTAAAACCCAAATTTCTGCAGGACATCCTCAGGCCCTGGGGATTCTGTTCTCAGCCAATGTGACTGCTTCTAGCAAAGGCAACCTGCAAGTGACGTGACCCCTGCCCACACCCACCTCCTACCCCCCAGCTCCTAGACTTCTATAAAAACACACAGGTGAGGAACAACAGCCTCAGCTGGCTGGGAGCGCAGCAGAGTCGAGGACCCTGATCTGAGTCCAGGATGATGAAGAGGTCTCCACAGGTTGGTAACAGAAACAGAAAGAAGCTGGAAATCCTTTAAATGATACTACCAAAACACCTTCACCCCAAATGCACAGTTATCAACAGCATTCCTAATATCTTAAGCTTTATATTTAGAGATTCTAAAATGTTTAAAGGGACCAGCTTGCCGTGCATGCACACACACCCCCTTGTTAAAAAATAGGGGCTTATGCAGAGAACTGATAATTTCCTTTATGACAAAGTGTAAAGCAAAACAAACTCAAGCCCCATTCTCTTCCAACATGGTACGTCCTGCAGCATTGGCCACACCGTACCAACAAGAAGGAGTCTGCCCCATTCCCTTCCAACACGGTAGCTCCTGCGGCACTGACTACACCACACAAACAAGAAGGACCCTGCCCTATTCCCTTCCAACGTACTGCCTCCTGCGGCACTCACTACACCATGCAAACAGGAAGGAGCCTGCTCCATTCATTTACAACTGGTAGCTCCTGCAGCAATGACTAGATCATACAAACAAGAAGGACCCTGCCCTGTTCCCTTCCAACATAGTGCCTCCTGTGGCACTGACTACACCATGGAAACAAGAAGGACCCTGCCCTATTCCCTTCCAACATAGTGCCTCCTGTGGCAATGACTAGATCATACAAACAAGAAGGACCCTGCCCTGTTCCCTTCCAACGTAGTGCCTCCTGCGGCACTGACTACACCATGGAAACAAGAAGGACCCTGCCCTACTTGCTTCCAACGTAGTACCTCCTGCGGCAATGACTACACCATAAAAACAGGAATGAGCCTGCTCCATTCACTTACAACATAGTACGTCCTGCGGCACTGACTAGATCATACAAACAGGAAGAAGCCTGCCCATTCTCTTCCAACATAGTGCCTCCTGCGGCACTGACTACACCATATAAACAAGAAGCAGCCTGCTCCATTCCCTTCTAAAGTGGTAGCTCCTGTGGCACTGACCACTTCATACAAACAAGAAGTACAGGTGTGGCATTAGCTACACCACACAAAGGAGAAGCAGCCTGCCCCCTTCTCTTTCAACAAGGTAGCTCCTGCGGCACCGACTACACCATACAAACAAAATGTCCAGGTGAAATGGTGAAAGAAAAATCATTCTTTTCCACTACTTGTTAAGTAATTTTATGTGATACGTCCTAGGCAATTAGGAAAATACCAACAAAGGAAAAACAAGCCTTAGAAACCCTGCCATCCACTTGTGACATGCAGACATCACACCATAAAGCAAGAAAACTAGTAGAAATGGATGAGTTTTAAAATCCACCATTTCGACATTTAGAATTTCAAAAGTTAATTCCAACTAACATTTGTCTTAAAGATGTCATTGCAGCCAACACCCAAAGGTCGCTTTGGAATGCAGGAAATGCAGCACGGTGGAAACGCAGCACGGTGGAAACGCAGCACATTGGAAACGCAGCACAGTGGAAATGTAGCACATTGGAAACGCAGCACAGTGGAAACGCAGCACATTGGAAATGCAGCACCAGCCCAGACAAGGATGGGAAGGTGTGGGTGGGGAACCAGGTGCTGGTGACTGAGAGGGACGCCGAAGCGGCTTAGGAGACCGCTGGGGGGGAACTTAGCAATTTAGTGGGTGTGGGGAAGCTCTGGGAACTCAGGGCTGAGCAAGGCAAAAGTTAGGATCGGGGAGGCAGAGACACACACATGCCTTTGGGGTGGTTCTTGGGCACAGGTGCAGAAGAGGGGACATCCCTCAAGGCAGGGGACCATCCAGAGGCTAAGGTGAGGGACCGCCACCCAGATGGGGAGGATGGCGAGGAACTCACAGTGGGGCATCAGAGGGTCTCCATGTCTGGTGACATTACTCAGCAACATGGTGAGGGGGAGAGGGGGAGTCTCTGGGCAGGCAACTCCAGAGACAGCAGCGACCTGGGGTCTGATGACCACGAGGCTGTATCTTACCAACGGCCTGAGATGCTGGGAGAGGTTTTGTGGAAGATGCAAAGAGGTAGGCTCCAAGTGGCTAAAAGTCTGCTTGTTTGGGCTATTTTTATCACAATTGGGCATGAGTAAATTTGAGCTTGGTCTTGGTGGGCTTTGGCACTAACAGGCCTGCAGAGAAAAAATAAACCACCCAGGGGCCAAGGGTCAGGGGCCCTCTGTGGCTCACTTTTATAACAACAAGTGACCGATTTCTGAGCAGATGTTTTATTTTTGGTGGAATACAATGTGTGAAGCCTTGAACGTAGGAGATTTTAGATCCAGATGCTGTGAATTCTTAATGAAAACTGTAGCTGTTACCACAGAAGGAGAGAAACCAGCTCAGATCTAAGTGTCCCCAGATCACAGCTCCCAGTGCCAATGTCATTGTGTGGTCAGCAGAGATTCTCCCAGGAGCGTCAGTGGAGCCCGCCCAGCAGCTGGGGCAGAGGCGCCCAAGACAGCAGCAGGGCCTTTCAGAAGGGCCGAGCAGGAACTCACTGCTGCCGGCTGAGGCCCTGGTCTTGAGGTTGTTAAAATGTAAACTTAGGCACAATACATTTTTTAAAGAGTTTTTTTTGAGTGATCATGATTTATGAATCAGGAAGCATCAAACCAAAGAAAGGTTCAGGCTCTACTGCAGGACCCAGGGGCAGGCTTTGCAGGTGGATGTAGACGTCATTGGAGAAAAGCTTTGACTGGCTTCAGTTTCGCATTATTTGGTCTGTCCTGCTGGAAGGTTCCTAGTTAAACAGGTTAGTTGGCAGTTTCGGAATGGTCGGGCTTATATTTCATTTTTCTTTAATCCAGGCATTTGCAAAAAAAAAAAAAAAAATCTCCAGTTAAGTTTCTCTTCTGTTTGCAAATCAAGCAAGATTTAGATCATGTGTGAGGCCTACTGGCTTTGCTCAGGGATTCCCCAAGCACTGTAATTCACCCTCCACTGCAATTTGCTTTAAGGATGCCCACGATGTTGCACATGGCTGAATTCATCATCCCCCTGACGTGGAGGAGGGACGTGGGGCAGGGTGGGGGTGGGTGGGGGGTGGCCCCTGGGTCGACCTCCGTAGGGAGAGCCATCAGAATGCACCTGAGGTCTGGGTCATGGCTGACAGACAGAAGGCAGCAGGCAGAAAAGGAAATGGAAAAAAGTTAGGAGGTCTCAAGGAAAACCTAGAACCCAAGGAGCTCCATCACGGACCCCTCTGGTGAAAGTGCTTCGGGCCACGGAGAGTCCCAGACTTGTTAACGCTGTTTAAGACACGCTAGAGGTGTTGAAAACATATGGAAAGTATGACTCGCTGATTCTTAAGATAATTGTGCTTAGGAATGCAGAATTCAATGTCTTATATTTCTTTAATAAAATCAGAAGTATGAAACCCATTCAGAGAGCAGCCCCGCCCCCACATCTCCAACGCCACTGTCCCCCGGGATCCCCACCCTCAACATGTACCTGCACGTTAGACCCCACCCTGTCCTTCTGAAGACCCTGCTCCTCCCCGTGTAGTCCAAGCCATCTCCGCTCCGGCTTCTGACTCAACAGTGCACCTACCCCCTGCCCTCCTCCACCCAGGCCCTCCAGCCCCATCCCCTCCTCCATCCAGGCCTGGTCCCTCCAGCCGTGCATCCCACCAGCCATCTCAGTGTCCCCATACTCCCAGGCATCATCTCCTGTGCATCCTTTGTCTACATCTATGTCTCCCACTGAGCTCTGAGGACAGGACACATGCCATCTCCACCTCTGAGCCCACTTCCACGGGAAGGCACAGACCCCCCCCCAGGCTTCAGGGCAGGAGGGGTGGACAGCAGCCTCCTGTGTGGCCCTGACCCATCTCTGTGTTCAGCACAGGCTGCCTCTTCCAGCCGGGGCTCCGCAGTCCTAAGATCAGATCCTCACACATGGCCAGGTTATGCATTCCTGCTGTGGGCTTAACAAACAAGCTCTTACAGCTCAAAGAATTGAAACAAACTGCCCTCTGATAGGTGGTGATTCCAGGTTTCAAATCCAGGGCTGTCCAGTTGCAAAGCTGTTGTTCTTAACCATCATCATATACCCAGGACCCCGATTCCTGTTCATTGTCGCAAAGCCCCTGCTCTCTGTCTCAGGACAGGGCCTGTCCAAGCCAGGGCTCTGCCTGGGTCCCGCTGATCCCTCTCTCGGGGGGGGCATCTTCCTTCTGACCTCAGCACACCCAGCAGTGAGGAGCTCGAGTCCCTTTGAGGAGTTCTTCCATGCTAAGCACCTTTGCTGCCTGCATCGGTGAACATCAAGCCTGCAGCCATCCTGGCGCCACACTATTGTGACAAAGCTTCTAGGTGACCACCGGGCACACTGTTTCCCCCAGACCCCACAGGCGCCACAATCCCGGCTGCTCTCCCTCTGCCCCTCTGTGTGCCAAAGGCTGCACGTTTCAGCCCAAACGCATCTTGCTCTTTCCGGCCTTTGCAAAGCCCTCTTCTCTACCCTGTGGACCATTTGAGAAATGCCCACTCATCCTTTAAGATTTGGCTCACTCGCATATCACCTTCTTCAGAAAACCATTCTGAACCCCAGACTGAATCACATGCCTCTGTGTGTGGCCAAAGCTCCTGTCCATCTCCTGCCATTGTGGACCAGAGGAGGTGGGCAGTCACCACTGTTGGGCGGATCTGAACTCACTCTGAGTGCAGTGGGGACTGAGGGAGGAGTTGAGAAGGAGGGTGCTGAGATGGTGTTGGCCATAACAGGGAGCGTGAATGGGGAAAGCAAGAGTTAAATTAGGAGAACCAGTGAGGGGACCACCACGTGATGGCAGCTGGATGGTTATTTTGGCTTCAGCTAAGGTGACAGGGAGTGGAGAGGACTCATTTTGGAGGTAAAAGTGACAGTCTTGGGGGTGCATTGGAAACAATGGGTAGCGGAGCTAGCGAAATCAAGGATGGCGCCTAAGCACGTGGCTTGAGCTCTTAGGTGAAGGGCGGTGGAATTTGTGGGGTTAGGAAGTTAAGAGTCACCTGTAAGCACCTATGTGGATGGGACGTTGTGGCTGGGAATGACAGTACTGCTTGGCACGCTGCTTGAGGCACCACCAGGCATGCAGGAGGCCATGTCGGGGAGGCCAAGGACAGGAACCAGGGGCTCAGGGGTGGATACAGATCCACCAGTGGTGGTAGAAGTTCCTTCATGATGGCATCTAGTCATGTTCAGATCCAACTTTCACGAGAAGATTAAGAAAATCCACAAACAATACCTGTTGTTGCAAGCTCCTGTGATGGGCCTGTATTTGTTCGCCAGGCAAGTGTTTGGGCATTTTGGGGGCAGCATGTAAGGGAGACATCCAGACATGTTTGCAATGATGCTCAGCAGATCTTCTGATAAAGCATCTGTGAAAAATAGGAAACCATGAATTCTGTGCTTGTAACCACAAATCCACCTAACAAATATTCTATTGCAGTCTCAAAAGTGACTCCAGCATCTGAATTTGGGATTCATATGTAACTGGGGTCACTGTTTTTGAGAAAATCTGCCTTCTCCCTTTACATCAAGTGCTCACTCATTTAATTCCCTTGAGCTTCCTTATTGCTAGAAATGTGGGGGTTTTAAAATTTATTTTTGCTCTGTGATCTTTCAGAAAAGCAATCTAGGAGCTCTCAGCCCTCAGGGGGATAAGCCAGCAAGTAACTTTGCAGTTACCATCAACTCTCACTAAGCACATCTCCAGGGCTCATTCATCATATTCGAACAGTGAGGCATGTGTGCCTAGTAATGGCCCCAGTGCTTTAGAAGACAGTGAGGAGTAGAATTTATCCCGAACCCTAATGTAGAAAAAATCTTGCCTTGATGAAGATGGTACGCTTATCTATAAAACCTTTCGTTTTTCCTTTGTATTGATTTTTGGTTCCCTTGTAAATCTTTCCAGATGAGACGAGAACCCAGGAAACAATTTCCTGTTTTTCTTTTTTTTGGATTAATTCTGTCACTATAATTTATATGTTATTCAACAAATCAAGGTGAGAGTGGCTTTATTGTCCATTAGTAGAGGTAATCATCGATTACTTCTCCAATATGGTTTATATAAATCTTTGAGGATAATGCCACAAAACTTTGATTAACAAGATACCAGTGAAATTGAGATATTCAAAAGAAAAAAAAGCCAGGAAGGAATGCATTCCATTTTCAGATATGAGAGAAACAAACTAGTCTTTCAATCATGAATGCTCACTAACAGTCCAACGGGAATGGCTCTATGGGAACAGTTAAGTAAACCTTGGACTGCAGTGTGCATTCAGTTAGTGGAGGATTACGCATTCTTCAAAAAGCTGAGCACAGATTCTTCTTGACAGGAATGCCCTCAAGCAGGTGCTTGCAGACAACAAATCATGTGCGATAGAAAAGAACCATTGGCCGGGTACGGTGGCTCACGCCTGTAATCCCAGCACTTTGGGAGGCCAAAGAGGGTGGATTACGAGGTCAGGAGATCGAGACCATCCTGGCTAACATGGTGAAACCCCGTCTCTACTAAAAATACAAAAAATTAGCCGGGTGTGGTGGTGAGTGCCTGTAGTCCCAGTTACTCAGGAGGCTGAGGCAGGAGAATGGCGTGAACCTGGGAGGCGGAGCTTGCAGTGAGCCGAGATCGCCCCACTGCACTCCAGCCTGGGCGACAGAGGGAGACTTCATCTCAACAAAAAAAAAGAAGAAAAGAACTATGAGGTCATAGTCATGTAACACACAAGACCAACATGAAGGAGCAGCCTAGAAGGACAGGCACTGACCTTTAATGGAATTCTGTCTTGGTGATGAAGTAATGGGAAACCTTTTTAGGTTCCTCGTGTTCTAAATTTTCAAGATGGGCTATACTTACAACGGAAATCATTTTAAAAAATTCTAAATTATGGAGTTCTTAAGTTCTACATTATAGCCTGGACCAAATACCTCAGCCTATTCTCCTAAACATCGATGTCTACAGACCCGGCAGTGAGCATGTGGCTCTAAGGCATGGACCAGAAAGACCCACATCTTCTGACGTCAGGAACTGCCATTTCCATAGGAGGCCTGACAGGACAGTGGACAGGACAGTGTCCCGTAACAGGACAGTGGACCGAGAGTTCTTAGAAACATCGTTCAGCCATATGGTTTGAAAGAAAGGACATTTCAAAGTGGTGAATCTTAGCTTGCTATGAAATTAATTAAACTTCACTGTTAAGTTTAGGATTTGAGAATTCTGGTCAATACTGATTTAGCCAAGTTTGTCTTATTCTAAAAGCTAAGTAACCAGCACCAAATTGATCTATAGCTAGTTAGAAGGAAGAACTCAGAGGCCAAGTAGCTCATGGCGCTGCAGAGAAAAAATTCTTGATAAATTAATTAAAAAGACATTTCGCTTACTTGCTCTGCATCATAGGAAGCACCAATATGACTTTTGAATGCCTGCATTACCATCTCAGTATCTTATGCCCATAGAGTGCTTTAGAGCTGAAGAAATGACGACATTTGCTCCTGGTTTATGCACTGGTCTTCTGATAGCCATTGGAGTGAGCAGTGCCACTGTCCTCATTTTAGAGATGAGTAAATTGGCTCTCAAATGTCCTGGGTAGTTCTGCTGAGGCACCAGCAACTCAGTGGGAAGATGGGGCTCCCTGCAATGCGCTGCCTCACACATGAAGTCCTTTCACTGTAGAGGTTTTATGAATGAGCTTGCCAAGTTTTAACTAAGAGGGGGGCTATGGGAAAATTCCTAAATTATTTTATACCATAAAAAATGGATGTTTAGCTTATTGAGCTACTTCTCAAATTTGATTTGGATAGGAGAGAAATGGCTATTTTCCAGAGTAACAAAAATAAGATATTGAGACTGTTTGGTAAGCATTTTTAAAAATTGCAGCTTGTATGCTTTGAAAGAGCTGGAGTCCCATCCTGCTTGGTCTCAAGTAAAAAACATGCCCTGAGCAAGCAGCCCCTGCACAAAGTCAAGGTGTCCTCCTTCGGGAGTTGCCGCTCCTCAGTGGGGAGAGGGGCACACATTACCCGTTGGATGCTGTGATTGTTGAGTTTTCAGGTTGACTTTTCTTTTCATCGCTTGTATTGATGTTTCCATTATCTCTGCTGCTCGGGCAATCACTCCGCTTGTTGGCTCAGGAAGTTTGGAAAAAGACAGAAGCTGAGCTGGAGAAAGGATTCCTCTTTTCTTGAGGTTTCTATGGCACATAAAGAAGATATAAAATAGATTATTTGTCTATGGTATCTTTGGTACTTAATTACTAATTAATTAAGCAGACATTTATTGAGTAACTACTGTGTCCCAGACAATGTGACAGGCACTGCGGGGTGTGCACAGGTAAAACATGTGCAGTTGCTGTCCACGGGGTCACTGGGTTTAGGAACAGGAATAGGGTGTAAGTGATGCATCAGTATTGAATGATGAGGAAAATGGCACAGACTTGCCCTTTACAAAACTGCCAAATCAGAATGAATTGGATTCTCATAACAATTGCGGACAGGCCATCACATCCAAACCAAGATATGATTTGTTTACATCCCAGCTAATGAAACAGGAGACTGGGAAGCGCACAGCCCTGCCCTGATCTCAGAGCCAAAGCCTGCAGAAGCTGCATGTGTCCCAGCTCCAACTTCTTCCCTTCCCACTCCAGTGCAGAGCATTGGCTCAATGCAGCCCTAGAACGGGGCAGCAAAGCTGTTCACAGTGAGAGCTAAACACACCCTCATAGAATAAGAAATATGTGAAGCCTGCCTCATCTGAATGCCTCTCCTCATCTGGGGCCTCCCCTCACCTGCAGGCCTCTCCTCACCTGCAGGCCTCTCCTCACCTGCAGGCCTCACCCCACCTGCATGCCTCCCCTCACCTGCAGGCCTCTCCTCACCTGCAGGCCTCCCCTCACCTGCAGGCCTCTCCTTACCTGGGGCCTCACCTCACCTGCAGGCCTCACCCCACCTGCAGGCCTCACCCCACCTGCAGGCCTCTCCTCACCTGCAGGCCTCCCCTCACCTGCAGGCCTCCCCTCACCTGCAGGCCTCACCCCACCTGCAGGCCTCTCCTCACCTGCAGGCCTCACCCCACCTGCAGGCCTCTCCTCACCTGCAGGCCTCCCCTCACCTGCAGGCCTCTCCACACCTGGGGCCTCCCCTCACCTGCAGGCCTCCCCTTACTCCTGGTCTCCCACACAAGCACCTGGCCTTTTTAGATTCTCAGCAGCAGCAGCTACACGGAACCAATCCAAGGTTTCACAACTGGCTTGCCTACTAGCATTTGAGGACCTGGGGAACCTGGAGAGAAAGCACAGAGGTGACCTTTGCAACAATGCTGCCAACACCTGGGTGGATCAGAGCATTGTCCAGGCACCTGCAGAATGGAATTACTGAGTCCCCAGGACCCAAGGGAGGACTACATCAAGTTCACCATCCTTCTTGTCTGAATGTTGAGTCAATCACCTTTGGCAGCAAAGCTGGCAGGGCCAGGCCTCAAAGAAGAAGCAGAGTGACCACAGCGGACTGTGCTCTGGGGGCTCCAGACAGCTGCCCTGGCTGAGTCGCCTGCAGGGCGGGGCCTCTCCAGCTGACAGGAGGCCAGCACTGCCCAAGTGACCACGGCAGGTGTGTGAGTGGACAGGTCCTAGAGCAAGAGCAGGAGCAAGAGAGTAGAGTTGGGGAGGTGTTGGCAGGTGTGCGAGTGTCAGACGCCAGACAGAACTACAGAGCTGGCAGGAGAACCTCCTTCCCTCTGCAAGTTAGACATGAGGCTCAGGGCTCAGAATCACCTACTGTGGCTTTGGGAAAAGTGACCTAGTTGTTCTCTTCAGTTGTTCTGCCATAATTAAATGCATTGTTTATATTTTTGTTTATTAATAATAACCCCAAAATACATAGTGCTTACTGAGTGAAAATAAAGTTTTAGGTGCTGTGCTAAGCACTTGTATTCCTTCCGTAGTTAATAATATTGAATACTAAAAACTAATGTGCTAAGAGAGATTTTAAGTGCTCTCACCACATGTACACACCAATCACTACGGAAGGTGATGGGTATGTTAACTTTGTTTGACGGTAGTGATCATTTCATTATGTATTTGTATATCAAAACATCATTTTGCACATCGGAAATACATACAATAAAAATAAATTTTTAAAAAGCTTACTTGTTAACCTATTTTTTGCATTGCTGTAAAGAAATACCTGAGAATGGGTAATTCATAAGGAAAAGGGATTTAATTGGCTCAAGGTTCTGCGGGCTGTGCAAACATGGACCCAGGATCTGCTTGGCTTCTGGGGAGACCTCAGGAAGCCACAGTCATGGTGGAAGGTGCAGCAGGAGCAGGTGTCTCACATGGTGAGAGAAGGAGCAAGAGGTCAAGCGGGCAGGTGCCACACAACGTAAAACAACCAGGTCTCACATGGACTTCCTGGGCAAGAACTGACTCATCACCAAGAGGATGGGGCTAAACCATTCATCAGGGATTTGCCCTTGTGATCCAATCGCCTCTCACCAGGCCTCACCTCCAACATCCAGAATCACATTTTAACATGAGATTTAAGGGGGAAAAGCATCTACACCTTATTATTCTACCCGTTCCCCCAAATCCCACACCTTTCTCACATTCCAAAATACAATTGCGCATTCGCAACAGTCCCCCAAAGTCTTAATTTATTCTGGCATTAACTCAAAATCCCAAGTCCAAAGTCTCATCTGGAGATGAGGTCCTTCTACCTATGAGCCTCTGAGATAAAAAAGCAGTTATATGTTTCCAAGATACAATGGGGGCACCAGCATTGGGTATATTTTTCCATTCTAAAAGGGAGAAATCAGCCAACAGGAAGGCTTGATAGGCCCCACACCAGTCTACACTCAGCAGGCAATTCATTAAATCTTAAAGCTCTGAAACAATCTCCTTTGACTCCGTGTCCTGTACCCTGGTGTGAGGAATGGGCTCCCATAGCCTTGGGCAGCTCTGCCCCTGTGGCTTCCCTGAACACAGCCCACCTGGCTGCTCTCATGGGTTGGAGTTGAGCACTTGAGGCTTTTTCAGTTGCAGAGTGCAAGCTGCTGGTGGATCTACAATTCTGGGGTCTGCAGGGCGATGGCCCCCTTCCCACAGCTCCATTAAGCAGTGTCTCAGTGGGCACTCTGTGTGGGGGCTTCAACCTCACATTCCCCCTCAGCATGGCCCTAGTAGAGTCATTCTGAGAGGGCTTTGCCCCTGAAGTAGGCTTCTACCTGGGCACTAGGCTTTTTCATGGATTCTCTGAAATCTAGGGGAAGCTACTAAGCCTCCTTAACTCCTGCATTCTGTGAGCCTGAAGGCTGAACACCGTGTGAAAGCTATAGACACTTACGGCTTGGACTGTTCAAGCTGTGGCTTGAGTAGTACCTGGGCCCCTCTGAGCCAAGCCCAGAGCCAGAGTAGCTGGGATACAGGGATCAGTGTCCCTGGGCTGCACAGGACAAAGAGGCCCAAGGTCTAGACTCTGAAGTCATTCTTTCCTCCTAGATCTCTGGCCTTGTTACAGTAAGGGCTGTCCTGAGGACTTATACCATGCTTTCTTCGAGGCCCTTTTCCTGTTGTCTTGGATAGTAGCACTTGGCTCCCTTTTAGTCATGCTAATCTCTCTAGTAAATGGTTACTCCAACAACCCCCTTTAATTCTTTCCCTGAAAACAGGATATTGTTTTCTATCAAGTGGCTAGCCTGCAAATTTTCCAAATGTTTATGCTCTGCTTCCCTTTTAAATATAATTTCCAAATACAAATCATTTCTTTGCTCTCATATCTGATGGTTGGTTGTTAGAAGAAGCCAGACCACCCCTTGAATTCTTTGCTGCATAGAAATTTCTTCTGCCAGATACTCCAAGTCATCACTCGTAAGTTCAAATTTCCATAGATGCCCACGACTTGGACACAATGCAGCCAAGCTCTTTGCTGAGGCATAGCACAGGCGGCCTCTACCTCCAGTTCCCAGTAAGTTCCTCATTTCCATCTGAGACCATGTCAGCCTGGCCTTCACTGTCCTTATTTCTACCAGCGTTTTGGTCACAGTCATTTGGCAAGTCTCTAGGAAGTTCTAAACTTTCCCTTGTCTTTCTCTCTTCTTCTCAGCCCTCCAAACTCTTCCAACCCCTGCCATTACACAGTTCCAAAGCCACTGCCACAATTTCAGGTATCTTTATAGAAACACCCTACTCCTCAGTACCAGTTTTCTGTGTTAGGCCATTTTCACATTGCTATAAAGAAATACCTGAGACTTGGTAATTTACCCAGAAAAGAAGTTTAATTGGCTCACGGTTCTTCTGGCTATATAAGCATGGCTCCTGCACCTGCCTGGCTTCTGGTGAGGGCCTCATGAAGCCGACAACCATGGCAGAAGTTGAATGGGGAGTGGTCAGGTCCCGGAGTAAGAGCAGGAGCAGGAGAGTAGAGTGGGGGAGATGCCACAGACTTTTAAACAACCAGATCTCACGTGAAGTAACTGAGCAAAAACTCCCTTATCACCAACGGGATGGGGCAAATCACTCACCATATATATTAGAAATAACTTCATGTACATACAAATGCGTATGACATTTAACTTAAAATATAAAACACGTGTTTTATATCGGCTGACATGTTTGTAAAAGGTACTATATAGTCATGAACTTTGAGGACACTGAGATTATAGCTACTTACAACTAACACATTAGCCAGCCATAGTTCATGGATGCCAGCCAAAGACAGGAGACTCTCGGCCCAGACACAAGTGACATTGTCAGTCACAGCAGCAGCAGAGCCAGAGTGTAAGCACCTGTGCAGGTTCCCCAGGACTCGCCATGGTAGACAGGATAGCAACCCTCCCCAAAACGCGTGCTTTCCTTGGAGACATTTATCTAAAATCTATCTGAGCAAGACATTTGGCTAATAGGAAGAACAAGAATTCTCTGGAGATCTGAAGGCCAAGGGTGCTCCTTTTGATGAAATCCACTTTCTCTGCTTCCTAGAACATCACCTGCACCCACTCGAGGGCTCACCTGTCTCATCCCTTCTTTTGCCTGGCACCCATGGGACAACACAATCTGGGCCCAAAAGGGGTACGTCAGGAAAGCAGGGGTCTGGGAAACTGAGCTCAGCTCTTGACAGTGACGTGGAGGGTATCACCCAGTGGATCCCCCGGATAGGTCCCCAGGCCATGCTGCCCATGCCAGCCCTTCCTGTCCCTGCAACTGCCGTGTAGCTCAGAGGACTCTCCCTTGCTGGCTGGTCACTTTCCCGTCATGTCCATGTTCTGCAGAGCCCAGCCTGTGGGGAGCTCAGTTCAGGAGAGCCTGGAAAGGTGCTTCAACCACCCCACAAGCCACAGTCTGCTCTGTTCATCTGCTGCTATTTCCCAGGGGCCCCAGCCATGGGTCATTCCGAATGCAGACAGTTTGCAGCCCAGCCCAGGGCTGCATGTTACTTTAAGACCTCAGCTTCAGAACATAAGCAAGGTATTAATAGGTGACACTTTCAGGCTCTTAATTGCAGCAAAATATCTGAAAATCAAACTCAAATTAGGGAAACTTTGACTCTAGCTGGTTTCGCATTCTTAATGTGAAGAGCCCACACAGAGCCATGCATCAAATGTATGTTCCCACGAATTCTCTGGATCGCTCTCGGTTTGGGGACATCATCCAATAGCTTCATTTGATTAAATAATAACACTCCTTTAGCTCTTCTGTCTGTCATCCCAGTAATGCCCAGAGTGTTTCACCGTGAACAGTAAACAGACTCAAATGGTATCACCAATCTAGATGCAGATATTCCAGGCTGAATACACCCTGGAACTCACAGCAAATTGTGAATATTGGAAATGGTCCCTGAATGCTAAAAGGGAATGAATTTACTGCTCAAGGAGTGTGAGCCCAGACAGATCATGGGGTGAGCAACTGAGACTGATGGGAGCATTTGGTTCCTCGGCCTCTGGTCTCCCGGACCCACAGCCTCCTCATGCAGACGCTTCTTCTGTCCATGCCGAAATTATAAAATTATGAAGCGGAGAAAGGGAGACAGTTGCTCCCACTCTCACGGCAGGTGGAGGGAGCAGATCTGCAGTGCCCGCTCTTTGCCATGGTGGGAGAAAAGCACACTGCCCTGTCCGAGGGGTGCCTGCCAGGTCAAGGGCACACTCACCCTCACCCCCACACACTCATGGGGCCACTCACTACCAGCCACACCTGGCCAGGTGGCCCAGACACAATGCCTGCCTCCCTCACAGGGTCTGGCTGCTGCAGGTGAACCTGGTTGCTGATGCAGCCTGGGCCGCAGGCCCCAGAACCCTCCCCTGCCTCCCTGGACATCATATCTTCCTTCAGAACACACTGCACTCTCCAGTCAAACAGGGATGCTCTTCCCCAGAGCCTGGGCCGGCAAGCTCACTGCACATCATAAAGATCTGGGTCCCCAGGCACAGGGCCCCCCTCCCCAGATGTGGCCCCTTCTGTGTGCAGCCTGCCCTGGTCTCCTTTCCATTGCTCTATGGGAGCTGGTCTCAGGGAATGAGCGTAAACACTAAAACTCTGGCCCCATCTACCTTGGGAGCAAAGTCCCTTTGTCCCTGGCCCCATGCTATCCAGGTAAGTGAAGTGATGAATGAGGGGGTAGGGTGGTCTCAGACTCTCCCTTTTCGTAAACACTTCCGTAGGCAGGCTCTGTGCTTTCCTATCACTTTCCAAAAGCCTAGGGCCATACCACTGTCCATGAGTGAGTGGAAGAAATGATTTAGGCACACTCTAGTTTTGGATATTATTATTTAGAAAAGTTATTTTTTTTCCTTTTCGGCTCTAAAGTAACTAGATGTGTTTTGAAGGATAAAAGTATTTTATTATTATTAAAACTTTTACTCAAAGTAAGTCAGTTCTCCAACCAACAAACCATCATGTTTCCTGATGATCTAATAAATTCATCCCTAAATGAAGTGCCTTCTTCAGGTGTCTGTCTTTACAGAAGGAGCATGGACTTTTCAGAATATGAAATAATCTAATGCATTTCTGTATCCTGGCATCTAAAACAATGACTTTACAGAAGGAGCATGGACTTCTGAGAATATGAAATGATCTAACTTATCTCTGTATCCCGGCATCTAGAACAATGACTTTACAGAAGGAGCATGGACTTTTGAGGATATGAAATGATCGAACTCATCTCTGTATCCCGGCATCTAGAACAACGACTTTACAGAAGAAGCATGGACTTCTGAGGATATGAAATGATCAAACTCATCTCTGTATCCCGGCATCTAGAAAAATGACTTTATGGAAGGAGCACGGACTTCTGAGAATATGAAATGATCGAACTCATCTCTGTATCCTGGCATCTAGAACAATGACTTTATAGAAGGAGCATGGACTTCTGAGTATATGAAATGATCAAACTCACCTCTGTATCCCGGCATCTAGAACAATGACTTTACGGAAGGAGCACAGACTTCTGAGGATATGAAATGATCGAACTCATCTCTGTATCCTGGCATCTAGAACAATGACTTTACAGAAGGAGCATAGACTTCTGAGGATATGAAATGATCAAACTCATCTCTGTATCCCAGCATCTAGAAAAATGACTTTATGGAAGGAGCACGGACTTCTGAGAATATGAAATGATCGAACTCATCTCTGTATCCTGGCATCTAGAACAATGACTTTACAGAAGGAGCATGGACTTCTGAGTATATGAAATGATCAAACTCACCTCTGTATCCCGGCATCTAGAACAATGACTTTACGGAAGGAGCACAGACTTCTGAGGATATGAAATGATCGAACTCATCTCTGTATCCTGGCATCTAGAACAATGACTTTACAGAAGGAGCATAGACTTCTGAGGATATGAAATGATCTAACGCATCTCTGTATCCCGGCATCTAGAACAATGACTTTACAGAAGGAGTACAGACTTCTGAGGATAGAAAATGATATAACTCATCTCTGTATCCCAGCATCTAGAACAATGACTTTACAGAAGGAGCATAGACTTCTGAGGATATGAAATGATCTAATGCATCTCTGTATCCTGGCATCTAGAACAATGACTGCATAGAAGGAGCTCAGACTTTTGAGGATATGAAATGATCAAACTCATCTCTGTATCCCGGCATCTAGAACGATGACTTTACAGAAGGAGTACGGACTTCTGAGGATATGAAATGATCTAACGCATCTCTGTATCCCGGTATCTAGAACAATGACTTTACAGAAGGGGCACGGACTTCTGAGAATATGAAATGATCTAACGCATCTCTGTATCCCGACATCTAGAAAAATGACTGCACAGAACGGGCATGGACTTCTGAGAATATGAAATGATCTAACTCATCTCTGTATCCCGGCATCTAGAACAATGAGTTTACAGGAGGAGCATAGACTTCTGAGAATATGAAATGATCGAACTCATCTCTGTATCCTGGCATCTAGAACATGACTTTACAGAAGGAGCATGGACTTCTGAGAATATGAAATAATCTAACTCATCTCTGTATCCCGGCATCTAGAACAATGACTGCATAGAAGGAGCTCAGACTTTTGAGGATATGAAATAATCAAACTCATCTCTGTATCCCAGCATCCAGAACAATGACTTTACAGAAGGGGCACGGACTTCTGAGGATATGAAATGATCAAACTCATCTCTGTATCCCGGCATCTAGAACAATGACTTTATAGAGGGAGCATGGACTTCTGAGGATATGAAATGATCAAACTCATCTCTGTATCCCAACATCTAGAAAAATGACTTTACAGAAGGAGCATAGACTTCTGAGGATATGAAATGATCTAACGCATCTCTGTATCCCGGCATCTAGAACAATGACTTTACAGAAGGAGCACGGACTTCTGAGGATATGAAATGATCGAACTCATCTCTGTATCCCGGCATCTAGAACAATGACTGTTCCACAGTAGAAACAGTATTTCTTAAGGAAAGAAACATAGTTGGAATAGGTGTATAGTATAGTGTATTTTTTTGAGAGCTATCAAAAGGCAAATCTTTCCAATAGTCTCCCCAGTTGATGCCTCTCCTGGTCTTCCCTCACTCTAATGCATCCTTAGGATCAAGGCATTGATTTCAAAAGGGTTCTGTTAACATGCAATTTGTAAACCAAAAATAAAATTCTAATGTCCTCGCCTAACCACCTGAGTGGATCCCACCTCTCGGCCAAGAGCATTCCAAAGTTAGCCTGAAAAGCTGGGTCAGGTCACGATGGAAGGTGGTGGGTCAGACACACCTCCTTCTACCCCTCCAGCATCAACATCAACACAGACCTTAAGTCTGATAAGAAACATTCACCATCTCTTCTCTGTGAAGCTCATAAAACCTTGGTGTCCACAACCCCTTAACATAACCCAGACATTCCGTCCTACTGATAATAATTCCTTCAGCTGATTGTCAGTCAGAAAACTGTTACATCTACTTATGACCTGGAAGCTCCCCACCATGTAAATCTGACACGTATTGATTGATGTCTTATGTCTCTCTAAGATGTGTAAAAGCAAGCTGTGCCCCAGCCATCTTGGGCACATGTCCTCAGGACCTCCTGACACTGCGTCACAGGTGCATCCTTATCCTTGTTAAAATAAACGTTCTAAATTGACTGAGATCTGTCTTAGATACTTGGGTTCACAAATTGTTACTAAGAGAGCAGCACACACTTCTTACTACGCACTTGGTATCCACCCCCACTGCCATGTCTTCCCCAGGAATTCCTGCCCATTTTAGACATATTAAAGTGTGCGTGAGTTTATGAGAAATAGTGTTTCTCTTTCTTTTCCCTTTGATTCAATTTTTAGAAAATAAATAATAATTTGTTTGCAGCCAATATGAACAGTAAGGTATTTTTCTGGCTGGAATAATAGAAATTTGGAATAAATTAACTGCTGTCTTTTGATATTTTGTATCTCAAGAACTTATATAATTATTAGTCAACTTCCTACAAAATAATAAGCTTGGGAGGGCAAACTGCTTTACAGGTTTTTTGTTTTTTGTTTTTCTTTTCTTTTTCTAGACAGGTAATATGAGACCACAATATTCTTAATAGTGGTGTCTGTTATATAATTACAAATGCTAATTATTTCAAAAATGGGGGAGAGCCCCATTTAATTCTTTATTCTATGCCACAGGTAATGTTACAGTTATATCACAACACCAAAGATCTGGGATCTAGGTCTCTCTTTTCCTCCTTAATCTGTCCTAATCCTGGAGAAGAGAGGCTGGTTTTGCTATCAGGACGTCAGCCTCTACTGTCTTTTAACCAGGGTATACGTAATTGCTAATTGCATCAGGGTGCTCCTCCTTTGTGTCTTGCTTAAGAAAGGATTGGAGATTAAATACCAGTTCTGTCTGCTGCTTGCACATGACACTGGGGAAGTAAATTAACAATGGCAAGCTTCAGGTTTTCATCTGCAATTGCGAAAATCAGGCCACACGTGTGTGGATGTCAGGGAGGATGCGCCTGTCGGTGGCATTTGGGGCGGCGGCCCCTCCGCAAGGCTCACCTCTGCATCGTGGCGTACATGGCGGTGTCCACCAGGCGCTTGCTTTCCTCCAAGACGCTAGAGACACGAGACTCCTCAGGCTTTCCTACGGAACAGAATGTCACACAGTCAAAGCGCAATGACAGTTCAGCGATTCACTGACAGTGTTGCTTTGTTCCTCAAGCCCATCTTGCTGCGGTGATGCCCACGTGGCTTCCGGGACAGGCAGGCAGCCAGGTCCCGGGGTCGCTTCCCTCCACAGGCCTTCACTTCCCCGCTACAGAGGGGCGTCCACCCCCACTGCACGGAGCTGCCTGGAGGATGGGATCAGAGCTACTCACCTTAATTTCGCACTTGCCCAAACCACTTCAAATGATTCCGAATAACTTTTGTTCTGAACATTCATCACTGGTTACCTGAGCCAGTGGTAAAGTTGATAAGATTTGCCTATCTTGTGTATTTAATAAAAGATAAAATAATTCCACTATACCAGTAGTTTCCAATGAAAGCACTCCTGTGTTATTTGTTTTAGCACCTGGAATGTGTAAGAGGTTAAGATCCCATTTCTGGGTATCACCGTGAAGTTCCGGACGCGGTAACAGGAAGACGGCAAGTGTTTCCGGCCATGTTCACACGTCAGTCCTGTTACTAAATTCACCTGCGTAGCATCAATACTTCACCAAAGGAATGAATTGGCTCCTAAAAGCAAATAGAAGTCCCTGAGGGGCACACCAGGCTCTCGCTCTCCCCATGGCCCAGCGCGGCGCCTGCACGAGGTCGGTCCAGCGCGGCGCCTGCACGAGGTCGGTCCAGGAGAGGCGCCTGCACGAGGTCTGTCCAGGAGAGGCGCCTGCGGGGTCTTCAAGGCTTCAGTCCCACGCGCCTTCCATGCTCGTCCCCACCCAAGGAGCACACAAATTCCCCAGCATCATTTCTTCCTGCTCACTCTGCCCTGCTCCGTCTGTTCCATTGGCCACCCAGTTTCTTACAGTGTGATACAGCAAAGTTAAGAAAACCTCCGTGCTGGATCTCTCTTGGGTTCTGGGATGAGTAACCAGTGGTTAAGCACTTGGGGCAGAGGGTGACCCCTCAGGGTTGGGCAGAGAGCAATGAACAGAGCCCCCCGGTGTGGGGCTCCCTGGGGCAAGGGCAGGAGGGAGGGAGGAACACCTAGCACGGGCTCACAGCTCGCCGGGGACCCCCAGCACAGCCGTCAGAGCTGCAGGCTCTGGGTGTGGAATCTGAAGAGGGGACCTGGCTTTACGCCAATGTGTGCGTGCTGGGGACAGTGCAATGTGGGACGATGCCACCAAGAGTGAGTAGGAGCCGAGAGGGGAGGGGCGGCCTGGGCGTCGCAGGATCGGTGGCAGGTGTGGACCTCAAGGACCAGCATTCCGGGCTTTATGGAGATTTCTTTCAGCTCTCAAGAATCAGGGAACCTCCTGTTCCCACAAAAGCTTGAGATATAAGACACCTGGAATTTTCCTTTATTTTCCTCTTATTTCCTTCTAAACCCACTGCAACTGCCCAGGCAACTCAACTCACATTTTGTATTCTGTGGTCAGTCACGACCGCTTATTTGCCAAATGCAGTAACCAGCCCCGCCCCCCACCTCCCCAGGACTCTGGTGCTTTTGGGATGTTGCCGGCATTCTTAAGTGGCAGAGGGGTGACGGCCATGGGCTCTGGAGTGAGACAAATCAATCTCCGAGTGACGCGGCAGCTCACTTCACCTGGCGCGGTTTTCTCTCCTAGCTGCAGAGTTACATCTTAGGATGGTTTTAGAGAGAAGTTTGCACAGCTCTTGGCCGAGGGCCTCGCAAGTGTGCTCTGAAGAGAGAAGTTTGCACGGCTCTGGGCTGAGGGCCTGGCAAGTGCACAGAGTTACGTCTTAGGATGGTTTTACAGAGAGGTTTGCACGGCTTTTGGTCCAGGGCCTGGCAAGCGTTCAGTGCTCCCGGCCGTCGTGCCTTTTGCTTTCAGTCTCTGGCCACTCTCTCTCTCAGCCTCGGTCACTGTGGCTCTCTTCTCTCCATGGTCTCCCTCCTGTGAGTGTCACCTCGGGTGCATTTCTGGCTCCTCTGATCTTTGCCCTCTCCTCTCACCCTCCTTTGGTCCTCTCCCAAACGCCCGTTTTCCACTTGAACTTCTCTCCTGAGTCACGCCATCCTCCTCTGTTCCCTGTTGAGGGGTGTTAACAGCCTGAAATAACCACCCTACCAGCTCAAGTCCCCAAGCAAGAAGCCCAGCCGTGGCTTTCCTTGCCTTTCACTCACCATGTGGTGTGAATTTCCCCATAATGTCTCTGGGAGAACGTTCTGCTCCTGCCTGGCCGTTGTCAGTCTCACTTTCTACTGCCTTAGTAGAAGGAGCTCTTGACTGGCTCCTGCACTGATCTCCCCACCATCCTTCTGTCCCTCCTGCTGTCACCCAAGTGACCTTTCTAAACCAAGGCCTGCTTGTGCCTGTGCCTTTGATGAAAGCATCTGAAGGCTCCTGATGCCCACTGAATTGCGTGCAGGTCTTCCTCAGAATCCAGGACGTCCACCACCTGCCCAAGACCAATCTCCATGTTGCAGAGCTGTGGAGGTAACGCACAATTTATCCTTCATCTCATGAAATTGTCAATCTCAAGCTCCCAGCTCTTCCTTTATGAAATTTTGATCCTGCTGATCTTTAGGTACCAGAAAAAAAATTAGCTCTGTCACTCACACCACCTGTGTATATGCATCCTATCACTGAGAGTCTCTTCAGGGCTCTGCAAAGTTCTGCGCTATTCACGACCAAGACCAAAGGCTGGTTTTCAGCAGGCACTTGACAATTATTTAAGAACCAACTGATTAAATATAAAGAAACATGCTTATCCTTCTCTACTATGCTTGGAAACGGCAGTTACTAGAGAGATCATTCCTTGTTATTGACCAATATTAATATATTGTTATTCAAGTTTAACTGATCATATGTTGCTTAGTCTCTAGTTTCTTTTCTTATTGTAAAATATTTTACAGAATTAAAACATTCTTATAGGCTTGCAGATTATTAGTCTTTTAAGTTTCATAAAATAAATCCATTTCTGTATTGAAAACTTCCTCCCAGAGACACATAACTCTCATCAGATAGTCTCAAGTCTCTACTGGAACCGGTGGTGTTTTCATTGTTTAGGTTAACTACTTCTTGGCTGAATAGAGATGACTGACATCCATCTGTAGGGGAAGAAGAAACCTTTTCTCTCCCTGCATCTTAGATTAATTTTCTGGGGCATTGAAATTAGACTGACAAAAGGCAGAGTCACAGGAGGAAAACTCACAGGGGTTATTAGCCTGGACTCCTGCTTCCACGAGGGAGCCCCCTGAGCGCCCCAAGATGGAAACTCGAATGGATCGTTAGAACTCTGCTGCACAGCCCCTCAGCAAAAGAACAATCATTTTCCAAGAAGCTGCAAGACCAAAGCAAAGGACTTTGAGTTCCCAGGAAACACGTTTTGAGGAGGCCTCTCTGGGGCAACTACAGGAAGGGAGGCCGGGGCTGCAGAGGTTTGCCACACAAATGCCTCTGGGGCTGGTTCCAGGCTGTTGAGGGCCTGGGGTCCCTGGTGATGAATTTCTGTCCTTTCTGTTGGAGAGGGAAATGGTCACTTTTGCGGATTTATGTTCTACTTTTAGGCAATAGAGGCAGGGCAGATGGCTTTTCCTTTATCTGCTGCTTCTCAGTTTCCATCAGCTCACATTAGCTCTCCTGCCACCAGGGAGCTGGGGTGGCCAGCTCTGAGCCCCTTGCTATCGTTAGCTCTGCAGCGCCCTTCCTTCCTCAGTTCCCAGCAATCCCAGGGAAGAGGCGTCTGATGCAAGGACCATAGACTTAGGGAGTTTGAACCCGAAGTTTTTTTTCAGAACTGAACACTGAGTTCTAGGGAGTCACGGGACTTAATTACTTGCTCTGGAGAAGCCGCCCGCTGCTCTCTGCCTGCGCCTTCTCAAGATTGCTCCTGCTCTGAGGGGCGCATGGCACGGTTCCCCCAAATTCTCCTTTATGCATATTCATATTGTTCATAAAAGAGGTGGAATTCAGGGACACATTAGGCAAGAACATACCACATTTCAGAAAGAAGAAGGAAGTTGCCTTGTTCCAAAGGCTGTTTATGTTAAATATATATATGAAAGCCAAAATCTTTCTTCTCCAAAACCATAAGCCCCCAGGGCCAGAGCTTTGCTCCTAATTCTAAGCGCTTGATTCCTGTTTAGAGTTGTGTGTTGATTCTTACTTTAATCCTTGCTGTTTGTTGAAATTTAATGAACTGGAATAAGGTTTGCCAACTTTCCTTTTAAAACAAATTCACTCATTAGGCTAGCTTCCCAAATTTTCCCAGGCTGCAGGCAGCGCCTCTGCTTCTTCTTGTTCATTTGCATCTTATTTTCTTTTAACAGCTATAACTTGTGGAACATTTGCCATAAAGATAATTGCACATAAATCTTGATGTTGCACAAATGCTGGAATGCCTCTCAGCCTGTGTGGTGATGAATACACAGGGTTCTGGTGAAGAACATTCTGTTCAGGGCGTTAGAGGAGGGATTGATAGCAAACTTCTCTTAGACAACAATGGTCAAGCATAGATTTTTTTTCCATTTTCAAAGACTCTTATTACAGAATTTTCAGGTGCTGAAGTTTATTTCTCTTTGTGCTTTGACCCTAGGGGATCCTGCTCTGGAACAAGAGTCTCTCCTGCACCCACCCAGTCTGAGCACCAGCCAAGATCTTTCCCTTCTTATTCTCACCTTCCTACAGTTTGCAGGCAAGTTGATACAACCTAAACTCTATCCAGGACTGATGCTTTTCTTTTTTTCTCTCTCTCTCTTTTTTTTTTTTTTTTGAGATGGATTCTCACTCTGTCACCTAGACTGGAGTGCAGTGGTGTGATCTCGACTCTGCAACCTCCACCTCCTGGGTTCAACTGATTCTCGTGCCTCAGCCTCCCGAGTAGCTGGGATGACAGGTGGGCACCACCACGCCCAGCTAATTTTTTTTTGTATTTTTAGTAGAGATGGGGTTTTGCCATGTTGGTCAGGCTGGTCTTGAACTCCTAGCCTCAAGTGATCTTCCCGCCTCGGCCTCCCAAAGTGTTGGGATTGCAGATGTGAGTCATGGCACTGGCCTGATACTGTGTTGGGATTGCAGATGTGAGTCACGGCACTGGCCTAATACTGTGTTGGGATTGCAGATGTGAGTCACGGCACTGGCCTGATGATACTGTGTTGGGATTGCAGATGTGAGTCACGGCACTGGCCTGATACTGTGTTGGGATTGCAGATGTGAGTCACGGCACTGGCCTGATACTGTGTTGGGATTGCAGATGTGAGTCACGGCACTGGCCTGATGATACTGTGTTGGGATTGCAGATGTGAGTCACGGCACTGGCCTGATACTGTGTTGGGATTGCAGATGTGAGTCACGGCACTGGCCTGATGATACTGTGTTGGGATTGCAGATGTGAGTCACGGCACTGGCCTGATACTGTGTTGGGATTGCAGATGTGAGTCACGGCACTGGCCTGATACTGTGTTGGGATTGCAGATGTGAGTCACGGCACTGGCCTGATGATACTGTGTTGGGATTGCAGATGTGAGTCACGGCACTGGCCTGATACTGTGTTGGGATTGCAGATGTGAGTCACGGCACTGGCCTGATACTGTGTTGGGACTGCAGATGTGAGTCACGGCACTGGCCTGATGATACTGTGTTGGGATTGCAGATGTGAGTCACGGCACTGGCCTGATACTGTGTTGGGATTGCAGATGTGAGTCACGGCACTGGCCTGATACTGTGTTGGGATTGCAGATGTGAGTCACGGCACTGGCCTGATGATACTGTGTTGGGATTGCAGATGTGAGTCACGGCACTGGCCTGATACTGTGTTGGGATTGCAGATGTGAGTCACGGCACTGGCCTGATGATACTGTGTTGGGATTGCAGATGTGAGTCACGGCACTGGCCTGATACTTTTCGCTGAGTACTTATCATCGAGCTTCAAGTATGAGGATGTGTGTTGGTTCTCTGTAAAGACCTGGGACGTGAGACTGTGAGACTGAGCGGCCACAGCCTTGCTGCTTCTGAGACTTCCAGACCTCTACGTTTTGATCTATAAAATGGGTGCCTGACACATAAGGGTGAGCCACCCACCAAGCAGGACCCCCCGGAGCACCATGTGCTTACGGTGACCGTGTGTGGTCCAGGGGGAGCCTGGATCCTCTTGGCCCTGCCGCTGCCTGCTCTTTGGCTTGTCCTGCACAGAGGCTGGGGAGCAGGCCAAGGTTTTTGCTTCACATGTCTGTGAGCACAGGTGACATAAACCCACACACAGTCATTGGGCATCATTTTCCAAACAGATTTAAAGCTGCAAAACAACTATTAAAGGCTGTAAAATAGAAATACTGTGAGACACATAATATTTTTTCAGTAACTCATTCACATTTCAAGCAAACAATAAGTCAGCTTTGAAATATTGGAGCAGGCAGAAGCATGTGCCCAGCACGCGGGGCAGTTGTCAGCTGCTGTCCTGTGCACTCGTGATGTGTCAACCAAAAGTTTAAGCAAAACGAAAAGGTCAAATCTCCCAGATATGGAAAAATAATTTTTAAAAACTGTTTTAGCAAAAGCTGTGGCTACTGCATTCCTGATGGCTTTTTAAATGTGATTTTTAAAATTAAAAAACATGTTACAAAGTTTTAAATATTTTGTTGAATAGCTCTCATGTATCACAACTTGCTCAGAACTAGCTCTTGACTTCTAACATGTTTTACTCTGGTTTTATACAACCAGGTCCTACTAAATATGAAATAAAATAACAAAGTAATTAATTTACAAACCATTGGCTGAACATCTAGCATGTTCCAGGTGATAGAGTGACTGATTTATTCTGGGAAGATGCAAAATCACTTTTTCCTGAGGTTCTTTATATTGTGACTCCATTTTTATTTTTTGTTTTTTGGTGATTGCCGAGGTACTGCATTCACCGCTTTAAATGAAGTATCTCATTCTTGCTCACAAATAATGACTGCGATGAGTAATTTTCCAGTGTTCTCCATTTGCAGGGGAGGGACAGGAATTAGGGGTGAGTAGCCCATCCTTGGGGCATGGATGGAAGCTGGCAGGGAGAGGCCCCACGGCTTCCCTGATCTCAGAGCGGGCAGTGACCAGGAAGTCCTGGGGGCTGTGGAGGGAGAGTTTTTTTAAGGAGCCTACGAGTCTGTTATGGACTTCACTGCCACTCCTAATATGGTTGTGAAGTCCTGAGATGCAGAAAAATTGGGGTAAAATGTGGCCCCCAGCAGGAGGCTGGGCTGGGTGTGGCTGGGAACAGCGAGGACTCCAGATTCTGTGACCCTGAACGACAGACAAGGCCTCCAGTCCTGGGAAAGGCTGGTGAGGGCAGAGGTGCCAGTGCTGTGCCATGGCCCCAAGACTGTGTCCAGAGACCCAGGGACCTGCCCGGCAAGGTGTCACCTGCTCCAGGGGCTCCGGGACTATGTGCAGAGGCCCAGGGACCTGCCCAGTGAGGTGTCACCTGCTCCAGGGGCCCCAAGACTGTGTCCAGAGACCCAGGGACCTGCCCGGCAAGGTGTCACCTGCTCCAGGGGCCCCGGGACTATGTGCAGAGGCCCAGGGACCTGCCCAGCGAGGTGTCACCTGCTCCAGGGGCCCCGGGACTGTGTGCAGAGGCCCAGGGACCTGCCCGGTGAGCTGTCACCTGCTCCAGGGGCCCCGAGACTGTGTCCAGAGGCCCAGGGACCTGCCCGGCGAAGTGTCACCTGCTCCAGGGGCCCCGGGACTGTGTGCAGAGGCCCAGGGACCTGCCCAGTGAGGTGTCACCTGCTCCAGGGGCCCCGGGACTGTGTCCAGAGGCCCAGGGACCTGCCCGGTGAGGTGTCACCTGCTCCAGGGGCCCCGGGACTGTGTGCAGAGGCCCAGGGACCTGCCCGGCGAGGTGTCACCTGCTCCAGGGGCCCTGGGACTGTGTCCAGAGGCCCAGGGACCTGCCCGGCGAGGTGTCACCTGCTCCAGGGGCCCCGGGACTGTGTGCAGAGGCCCAGGGACCTGCCCAGCGAGGTGTCACCTGCTCCCGGGGCCAGCGGTGTCCATGGGGTAAAATGTCCAGGCAAATGCCCCTGCAGTATTCACTCCAGTGAAACTTGTTCTCAGGGTTTGGAACTTTATTTATTTTATTAAAAGAAAAGCAAAGAGCTTGATCTGTGATTATTTTAACCACTGCATCTCAGTAGCTTTCTTAACTTGTTTTCACATAGTAGCACACTGATTCCAGAAAATACATCACAGAAGTTATTTAATAAAAAATAATTCTGTAGCAAAGGAAGAAAAACACTCCCAAAGAATTTTTTTTTCAGTTATATGAATAGGTAAAAGTGAAAATTGTCTATTGTGTCATCCAAGGAAAATCAGCTCTTTTTTAAAGAAAGAAATGTACATATTTCAATCCTTCTAAAATCAAGAATTACAATTTTTTTTTCTTAAGCATAACAAAGCATACACTACAGGGGCCTAAAGTGACTCTCAGGAGCTACCATTATGCCCTCTATTTTAGTAAGTGTGAAAAATAACTTTATAAGGCCAGAAGACCGCAATGTGTTTGCTACTTACCCCAAAGGAGTTCTTTCCCTCTCGAGATGAAGGGGAAGAAGGCTTCTGTGCAGGCCATAACCAGCGTGACAGACAGCACAGCGAGCGCTCTCATTCTAAAATTAACGGAAGGAGACAGAGTATGTAATCAAGCACTGACAAGGCCATGGGAACCGCTGTGTCCTTGTCTCCCTGCTGAGGGGCTCCCTCCACTGACTCCACGCAGCCTCTACCGCAGTGAGCGACCCTCACAGGCCTGGGGTCTGCGAGACCAGAGTCGCCGTCCATGTCAGGAGGTTACAGAAACTGCAGCGCTGAGCAGGCCTCCCAGGCCCCCATTATTCAAAAACAGAGTTTTTATGTTGGCAGCTCCAGTTGCCAATATATCTCAGTAATAACCTATTTAAATTTTTGGTAATGTCAAATAGTGTAACAGTACTGGGAATAATTATTGGGAATGAAAAAAATCTGTTTCCCCTAATGCATCTATGTGGCAAAAAGTGAGTACTATTAGAAATTTAGTCTTTATAAAAGTGATAAATAAAACCCCTAAATGCCTATTGAATTTCTTAAAGCATTCTTATGTCCATAAAATGATTTTAGAATTCTAGTTGTTAAGACAAAACAGAAGATTCAAAATTCATCATTTCTACTTTCAAATCCTTGTTTTCTTCTCTTAGGCTTTCTGTGGCTATTTTTGAGCCACTAATTTTGTTAAGCAGGATAGCACCAGTGAGTCCATGCTGACAGGAATGTGTCTCAGTAGACGGTGATCTAGGAATCGACCCTACAGGACTCACATGTTCCAGCGGAGGTCATTGCAAACAGCACTCATCAGTCAGTCAGTCAGCTTTGCTGAGAGACGCCACCCATACCTGCTATAATGGCCCAAATTACAGCCACTCTTGGGCCACTTTACAAGTTCCAATGATGAATTTCTCTTAGAAAATGGAAAAATAAAAAGCTTTACAACCTGACCTTTTTTCCTCTTCTCAGCCAACTGCACTGCTGAGTAATTTTCACGGCTGTAACTCTTCTGAAATGGGCGCCTTAATTGCCTTCCAGGGACTTGGTTACCCACCTTATAAACTGACTCCGCGCTTGGATAGCCCGTCAAGATGCTAGGAAGTCGAGTGGCGTCCGTTCTTCGTGGGGACAGAATGTCTGCGGGCTTTGTTGTGTTTGCGCCGGGCCTCTTGTGTGTCCTGACTGGTCAGAAACAAAGTGCCATGTCATCGGGGTCCACATGCAGTCCAGCCTCTGGCCGAATGAGTTAGGAAGAAGAGGGGAAAAATTATACAGGGAGAAAGAATAAACCAACTAAATCCAGACTTGTGACACTTGCATTTTCCTCCCTCTTACTTTCACAGTTAAATACCCTGTGAAAAAGGGGCTGTTAATCTTCCGAGGATTGGGTTGGGTGCAGCTCCCAGGCCCACCGATGACTCGCTCTACAACTCTGAGCCTTTTGCTTCCTGTCCCCAAGCCCCTAGTTTTCTTATCACTAAGAGGTGAATAAAGTACACTTTTTTCCAATTTGTTGAGGTGAAAAATGAGCACAGTTCAGTGTGTGTTCACCAGCATGCATTCTCCCCTCAATCCTCATCATGCACCCATCAAAAGAGTCCCCACAAAGACAGAGATGTTCTGTAGGAAGGTCACCATGACTGCATTCCGAACACTGGGAGATGACATGTTTTCATGGGTGATCTGCTTTCAGGCTGTATCTCATCATGAAAATGATAAAATAACACATCTTCAATGACCTGCTCCTGAGACTTGGAGCCTCTTCATGCCCCCGGAAGTCCTATGGGTTTCTAGTTTGTGAAAATCATCTTCATCTTTCTCCTTTTCTTTCCCTTCTCCAAATGTGACTGATGCTTCCTCTAGGTAATTTGAAACCAAATGCTAAAACACGATGCAAAGGCTTCAGAACATTAATCTTTGTTAGAAGATGTTCTGAAGCCCAAGAATGTGATGATTTGCCTTTAACATTCTCCCCTCAATCCTCATCACTCACCCCTCAAATGGGTGAAGATAACAAATGAGTTAGACAAGCTCTGAAGAGCAGGGAGGAGATCAGCCAACAGTGATATAATCCCCCCACGCACCCTGAGAATGGTCACTAGGAGGGTGGGGTTTGGATAGAGAGGAAGGACCAGACTCGGTGGCTCATTAAAGAGGATTCCATGGCTCAATGATGAGTTACTGTTGGGAACAGAAGAAAAGCACAGAGCCTCTGAGGATTCAGCCATCCTCGGTTTGATGCCTAAGCAAGTGAAAATCTCATGTACTGGCCCTAGGAAGGCCAGAGAAGAAAGGAGACTGGCTGTGACAAGCAAAGGAGCAGCAGACTCAGGCTTGGAATTGTGTTGGAGGTGCCCGTGGCACAGGCGGGCAGTGAGCTCTTGGGCATTTGGAAATGTACTTTCAGCTGTTGGGTGAAGTCCAGCTTAAAAAGACACATTTGGGAGTCCTGAGGGGGGATACAGTAGTGGACTGTGAGTGAATGGGATTCTTCTTGGGAGAATGTGGATGGAAAAGACCTCAAGAGTAGCTCAGAGCACCAGCGTCTAGGGGACACAGTCCCCCAGCCTGTGACTGCAACCTGCATGGCAAAAGGGGCTTTGCAGATGGGATTCAGTTAAGATTTTGAGGAGGGGAGATTAGCCTGGATTATCCACTGGCCTTAGTGTTAGCACACAGCTCCTTACAAGACAAAGGTGGGAAAGTCTGAGGGGAGAAAGGGGGAAGTGATGATGGAAACTGAGACTGGAGGGCCGTGGCCATGAGCCTCCAGAAACTGGAGGAGGCCAGGAGCAGGGCCTCTGGGGTCTCCAGGCACAACCAGGCCTGTCCCTGGACCTTGCTGCCAAAAGTCTCATTTGGATCTATGACCTCCGGAGCTGATGGAGTAAAGCCACTAAGCACGTGGCCCTTTGTTAAGGCATTCGCAGGAAATTCACACAGCCAGAAAGGTGGGTGGTAAAATGAGACAGCGTGGGGCAAATACTCAAGGAAGAGTTTGAAGAAGAAAGCATTAAAATGTAAAGTAAATACTGACTGGATGCTCTTTTCATCACAGAAGGACGCTTGAAAATGCCGAGTGCCGATGGAGACCTGGGAAGAGGGGGTTTGCATGCACAGCTGGGGGAGGCCGAGCCGGCACATCAACTCTCCAGGTCGTTTTGTAGCCTCTCCTCTAAGTTGCTGTTACCATTTGACCCCGCACAAATATGAGAAATGTATCTATCATTTGAAAATACATATTTTAGCTGGATTACATGATGTGCTTATTTTAATACTAATTAAACAATATAAATAATGCATCAAGTACAATGGAAGCTGTTACACTGGAAATGTTGAGAGGGGAGCGGAGAAAAGTCTGAGAATGGCGGGTTTGCAGGAGGCCCACTGGATAGCACACACATTTTTGAGAAAGAAGACGGGGGACTTGGGAAGGAAGATTTCTGCAGGGGGACGTGGAAAACCCGAGGCTATCACATAATGGGAGAATGAAAGAGAGGCAACTAAAGATCTGGCTGAAGCCCCCAGTCTCTGTCAGAAAGGAGCATTGGGAAGACGTGGCCACCCAGCAATGGAGAGCAGAGAGATTGCAGGGGAGACTCAGTGAGAAAGAGGACAGTTTTAGCCATGAGAAGGAAAGAAAAAAATACACGTCTTCTCCCATTATGAGAAAAATCAAGGAGCTCCAAAGAAGACAGAAATCTGCAAGGAACGCATGATACAGTAAGAAGCCAACTCACACATGGCAGGATGGGGGAATGCAGGGCCCTGCTACAAGCAGGTCTCAGTGAAGGAGTGGCACCAGCCCTGCGGTCCAGTCCCGGGCCCACCGAGAAGACAAGCACGCTTCCATTTTTTGGCAAGTGCCAATGAACTATTTGATATCCTGGGGAAATCTGATTACTGAATACCTTGATCAATGCATGAGAAACAGCAAATCACACATTTTGCTTGATGTCTCCATAGAAAGGCCACCTTTCTCCCTGCAGACATCGTGTGTTCTGTCCACAGACAAGAGGCTCTCCCTAACCGAGGCCCAGGACCACCTGTAATAGGCCCTTGCCTGTGACTGTAACAGAAAAGGGATCCAGGGTGGGCTCACACTTGACTCACCTGACATGTGGCCAGGGCCTGACTGCCTTGTGTTCTTCAAACTACAGCCTGATGTTGCCTTTTTTACTTGCCATTCACTTTTTAGTTTTTGTTTTCCTCGCCCCCAGCTTCATCAAGCTATCATTAACAAATACAAATTATACATATTTATGTTCACATGATGTTTTCATACATGTAAACACTGTGGGGTGATTAAATCAAGCTAATTAACATATACAGCACCTCACGTATTCATCCTTTTGTGTGTGTGATAGGAACATTTAATATCTATTCTCCTAGCGATTTTCAAATAAACAATAGTCATCAAGCTATACATTAGATCCCAGAACATTTTTATCCTGCAACTGAAACCCTCACTTTTGACCAGCATCTTTCTGCCCCTCACGGCACCTGTCCCCCCCATGGCACCAGCCCCCACCACACCTGCCCCCCACCGCACCTGCCCCGTAACCCTAGGTGTCCACCATCCACTCTCTGCTTCCATGAGCTCGACACTTTTAGATTCCATATAGGAGGGAGATCATGAGGTGTTTGTCTTTTGGTGCCTGGCTTGTGTGTGTATGTGCACGTGCATGTGTGTGTGTGTGTGCGCGCACTGTTTTTTGTATTTTTAAATTTGTAAGTTTATTTTTTAAGAGATGAACATGGATGAGAGGAGACTCAGGGACCTGATGACCCCCGACGGCCGTGGGCTGCACAGTGCCAGGACTGGATCCTGGAAGAGGAAAGGATGCAGATGGAAAAGCTGGGGATACCAGGGTGAGCTCTGAGATGTAATCACCAGCATTGGATCCACGTCCACTCCCTGGTCCTGGTTGCTGTGCTGTGGCCGTGCATAGAGTTAACACTGAGCAGGTGGGTGAAGGAGGTTTGGGAGCTCTGTGTTATCTTCCAACTCTTATTACAGCTCAATTCATTTTAAAACAAATTTGGAAAATAAAATGCTGTCATTCAAACTTAATTAAATTCCCCTGTAAAATTTGAAAAATTATTCAGCTTTGTTCAAACTCAGGTAGGTAATTTCCCAGTTTATATGAGTCAGATAAAACTAAAGACAAATACAGGAGGGTTTTTGTTAATTGAAATTCAGGAAATAAACATGGGGCTCTCTCACACCACAAAAAGCTCCACATTCAGCAGTAACCATTTTAATGGCTCCAGTTTTTCTGAGTAGGAGGTAGGAGTCTGGAATCTGGGGACAGCAGTCACGTCCCCGTGCGAGGCTCCTCTCATGGACTCTGGGGACGGCAGTCTGTCCCCATGTGAGGCTCCTCTCATGGACTCTGGGGACCGCAGTCTGTCCCTGTGCGAAGCTCCTCTCATGGACTCTGGGGACACCATTCCCCTGTGCTTTGCGTTTCTACAAGCTAAGGATGTAAAACAGCCTCCTGACCAGGGACCCATGCCATCGGGGGTGACTTATATCAGCAAAGAGCCATCTTCTCACCAAGGGTCACCTCTCCTGCCCTTCAGACATTTCAGCCACGTCTTTCTAAAGGTGGAGATGTGGCTCTAACTTCGACATTACACTCTTCACAAGAAGGAAAAGTGGACAAAACAAGGCATTAAATTGCTGATGGATGCTTCATTGAAAAGTTGCATTTCCCCGTGTCCTTCCTACTTCTATTTGGTGAGGAATGTCTGAGTAGGCCGATTGAACATCAAAAGTTTTTATGTTATAAGATTAATTAATTAATGAATGTACTTTTCTTGAGCCCACGGGTCTCTGCGGCTCTTCCGCCTCTGCTATTGCAGGCAGAGTGACTGCACGTGCCCACCCACTCACAGGAGCACATGGCTTTAACTACACATCTTTTTTGCGTTTCAGTTTCCTCATGAATTATGCAGTAGATTCTCCTGTAAAACTCCGTACTCTAATTACCACCCTGCCTAGGCAGCTAAGCTCACTGAACCAGGATTCATCAGCAGCCCACGCACAACTCGAATGTCAGTGCTTCCAAGGCTGGGTGAGGATGCTCTCCCCACGTGAAAACAGGAAGCAGGTGCAATTAACTGGGAAGTGCAGAGGGCAGATCATGACCACAGTTAACTACTTCACAGGGAGAGGAGCTGATTCCAGTAGTGACCTGAGAGCTCTGATTTCGGTCATTAACTTAGTAAAATGCTCTAACTAGTTACATGCATCCACATAGCCTCAGCTATCCGCTCAACTCACATAAACGATATCCAGCACCAGGCCTCTCTGCACACGGGGACAAGAGGATCCTGAATATCTGTGTGCTCGAGTGGCCATCCATGATTTGGCAAAAGAGCATTCTGTAACTCTGGCGTCAGAAGGCCCAAGTAGTGCTCAAGTCCCTTTCAGCTGCTCTATGAAGTGTGAAGAATCCCTGGTTCCATTCAAGAGCCTTCTAGTAGTTTCCAAATTACGTGTCAGTCCACATCACATTCCTGTAAGGAGGATTCAGAATACAACCAGATCAAGTATGCATTAGAATAAAAGATGGAATCCCAGATCTGAATTCTTTGCATTTGTGTAGAAATCTTCAAAGTTTTAGTTCAATTTGTCTTTACAGTGTAATCTTGAAGATGTGGGTTTCATAGAAATGGAATCTTCCTTGATGTAAGCCAAAAAGAAGGTTGCATGATTGTTCTTATTTTAGTGAATTTAAATTGCCACAAGGGATAATGGAAACATTAGTGATCATTAAGAGGATGTTGTGCTCATCTGGTTTATTAAATATTCTGATAGCCTCAGTTTTATATTGTGTGTTAAGAATACTGATATTTGGTGAGGTATGACCAAGTAACTTTGTGACTTTCCTGAAATGCCTGCATCACCTAACAACCTGCTAAGAGACAAGAAAAGGGGGTAGTTTGGAAGACTTCTTAGAAATAAATGTGCCATTTCTAAAAAGAAAGAAAATGAAACATTTGGCTTTTGTTAGATTGACAACTACACAAAGGACACATCTGCTTGGTCAATTCGAGAAACAATTCAGAGATGCACTTTGAAAAATGTTTCACCAGTTTTCAGCTGTCTCCACAAGCCCCATAACACACCCCTTTTCTCAATGTTCCAGTAGAATATTCCACAACTGCCAGTAACAAACTTCAGGTTTTGGCACTTTCCCCAGGTACAGATCTCAGTTCCTTTACGAACAAAGTGGTATTTAGAAAGATACTTTGCTGACTTGAATGTATTTCTAAGGGTATTTGGAAAGTAATAGTACACATACAATTTGTCAATATTAACATAAACAGAAATCAAAGCCACTGGTAAACCCGGTGGAAACGTTTGTCTTGAGGGCTGCATGTCTGTGTTGCCATATTTTCCTTACAAACCCTTGCAGTCACAATACTTACATTGCTCACCTTCCCTCACTTCTCCATCAATGTCCAGTGCCTGTGTCTGCCTCTCAACCTCCACCTGCAGCAAAATAAATTTTTCATTGTCCTGCACATAATACATTTATGAAACAGTGTGGTGAGGACTAAATACATACTCATGTTCCCTCCAGGCTGATGATCTTTCAAATAATGATCTGGTCCAAACAAGTACTTCCTTCCTTTGAGAAACATCCTGTCTAAGGTGCAAGCTCATCTCATTCCAAACCCTTGGCCTCTCCCATAGTCTTCACCTTCCACTTGCTAATGGCAGAACAGGAGCTTGTATTTACATTACTGAAAGGAAAATGACTCCAGTCCCTGAAGGAGTTTCTAGGGGTAATATTGTGAATGGCATTTGGTCCTTTGTTTCACAGCATGTTGTGACCCTAAGTGAGATTAATAGAGAGGAAGATGCCCTCAGGCCGATGAGCTCTGTAAAACACAAGGCAGAGCCATGGCCAGCAAGAGCATCTCAGAGGCCCAGGGCTGTGTCTTGCTCAGGGGTGATGGGGGCTGCAAGCCAGGCATGGCAGGTCCAAGCCAGACCATGTCTGGAAGCAGAGAAGGACCTGGTTAGTGGACAATATTCACGTGGATAATAGGATGGCTAAGCTAAGTTCTTTGTGTCTTACAATAGTCACAAAAAGATAACAAAATGTAACACAGGTGCCCTGGAAAAATAAATTTTAAAAAATGGTACTTTTTTAAGCCCAATACTTCAATCAGGTTCAAAATTGTTAGTTTCTATAAAAGGCCCTAGCATCTATACACATTAGAATGCATGGCTTCCCTTGCCAAGTGGATTTCCCTAATCTGAGTGGTGAAGGTCGGTAAATACACTTAAGTAATTTCTAGAGGAGGATGTGAATATCACTAAACAGCTCCCAACTTGCAGGCATTGAGCTTCCCCAGAAAATGATGCAATGTGCGTTCCTGTTGAATTAGAGACACAGGTTACAGTAGGGTGAACCAGCCAAGTCAATCAATTTAGGGAAACAACAAAACAAAACTAAAAATGAAATAATGTTGTTTTGACCAAATTACAGTTTGAAAGGATGCGTGTTTTCTTTCTAGCTGATTTGGGATTGTATTGTGGTGACTGTAGAAAAAACCACAAAGGTCTAAAAAGAAGCCTAATCTAGAATATCGTCCAGTGGATATTGCTTCTATTAAGTAAAATAAATGACTCATATTTCTTTTTGAATAAACCAAATAATTACTGAGAACTTCTTTAGGGTCAAGTTCTGTGCTTGACAAGTGTGAACATGAATAAGATGTTCTTCCTAACTTTGTAAAAGTTATAGTTGAGTTAGGAAGATAAAGAAGCAATTAATTTCTGTGGAGTGGGAGACATTCCCTATTAGAATCTTGGGGGTGAATCTGTGAGAAAACAGAAGAGGGCACCTGACAAGCTGAAATAATGAGGAAATGTTCTGGGGGAGATAAAAGGTCGGTGGAAAGAAATCTGGGAGAGTGGGGTGGGTTCTGATTATGGATGGATGGGCGGGGAGGTGGTGGGTGGATAGATGGATGAATGGGTGAATGGATGGATGGATGGAGAAACTGATCAGTGGATGGATAGATGAGTAGATGGGTGGATGAAGAATGGATGGATGGGTGGGTGAGTAATAAAAGGATGGATGAGGGGGTGGATGGGTGAATGGGTGGATGAACGAGTGGGTGGATGGATGATGAATGGATGGATGGGTGGGTGCATGGATGAGTGAATGGATGATGGATGGATGGATGTGTGTGTGAGTGATTAATGGGTGGGTGGATGATGGATGGATGGATGGATAAATGGAAGGATGGATGAATGAATGAGTGGATGGATGAATGGATGGATGAATGGGTGGATGGGTGGGTGGATAATGGATAAATGGGTGGGTGGATGATGAATGGATGGATAGGCGAATGATGATTGAATGGGTGGATGGGTGAATGGGCCGATGGATGACTCGATGTCTATGCGGGTGGGTGGGTGGGATGCATGGATGAGTGAATAAAGGAATGGATGGCTGCGTGGGTACATGTGTGAATGGGTCGATGGATAAAAGAATGAAGTGAATAAATGAATGACATATTTAAATAACTGATTGAATTATTGTAAGGGTGAACTACAGATAATAACCAGCGCTATAAAATTAATCTTGAAAGGTAAGAAAAAAGGACTGGATTATAAAATACCTTACTTTTTGTGATAAATTCAATAGAATGATTTAATAGAAAACCAATGCTGCAGCCTTCTAGAAAGAAAGAAATGACCGTGTATGAATTTCCTGGGACTGCCATAACAAAGTACCACAGACTGGGTGGTTTAAACCACGGACATTTGTTTCTTCACAGTTCTGGAGACCAAACATCCAAGAGTCAGATGTTGGCCGGGTTGTTTTCATTCTGAGGCCTCTCTCCCTGGCTGGTCACCTTCCCCTGCGTCTTCACACAGTCATCCCTCTGTGTGTGTCTGTGTCCTAATCTCCTCTTCTTATTAAAGACACCAGTTGTATGTAACTAGGGCCAAACCTAATGGCCTTACTTTAACTTAATTACCTCTTTGACAACCTTATCTCCAGGTACATTCTGAAATGCTGGGGGTCAGCCCTTTAACTTAGGAACCCTGGGGACACAGTTCAGTCCCAAACAGGCTGCAGTAAAAGAGAGCAGGAATCTTCCTCTCACTGGGTCACAGCAGAGGAGGCCCTGTCTACTCCTCTTTGGGTACCAAAGATGTAGAATGGGCTACTGCATTACCACAATTGGCTAAGGAGAACACATTTCCTCCCTTGAGACAGCGTGCAACACAGGTGATAGGAATCTAAGGAGAACACCTGGCAAGGTCTGTACATGTGCATTCCAGGGTGAAAAAAATGCTTGCCTGGTGTCTCTTAGCCCCTCCACTTCCAGTTTCAGAATCACATACAACACGGGTTTTACCTTTGGCATGATCTGTGCTCGGGAGATCCATAGCTATGGGTACATTAGATTCTCCGCTCCATGCATAAGTTCACGCAAGATTGCATATATCCAAAACTGAAAGTTGAGAAGACTCTGAATTGGTGCAGGCTGGTTAATGCAGTAACAGACAGGCCCCCATCCCAAGCTTTGTCAAGGGGCTGTGCTCATCCTGACCATGCAGGGTCCCAGGCTGATGGGGCAGCCACCGTTTCCATGCTGCCGCTGCGTGCAGAGGGGAGATTTGGTGGGGCCCGGCGTGCTCTGGTCACACCACTCCCACTAAAGCATGCCAGGTGGTCACACCACAGTGAAATGTGAACCCACGGTGTGCTCGGAAGGAGGGAGATGGAGCCATCTGTGAGCCGCTCTCGGGACTGTCACGGGACCACGTTCTTCTAAGAGCCTTGCTTGACAGAGAAGCGTCCTGAAGTTCACATGGTAAGGGGGCAGCTGCAGCCACAGGTAGTTCCAAAGAACTCTGAGGGTCACCAGCCCATTGTTCCCCAGTGTCCCCCACCCACGGTGCATGGCATTTTTGTGAGCACAGCCTCCTGCAACAATTCTGAGACACAGCAGGCACCACTGCTATGGAGGTACCACTGCTGAGGAGGGCTGTGCTGTGGCCCCACTGTGTCCTCACAGCTGAACCACGGAGAGCCCAGAGCTGCTGCAGTACCTTTAATTTCATTCTATCTCACGATGGTAGGAGGAGGGAGAGCAAGTGGTGTCCATCTGGGCCTCCAGTGGGACAAGGGGACTGACCCAAGCATCGCCAGGCTGCCCGGGCATGGCCTGTGTCCAGCAGAGCCCCCGCTGGCTCTCACATTGCCTTGCCCTGCACCCCGGACAAGCTCCCACACACCCCAGAAGAATGGAGCTGGGCAGTCCATCTGCGGGTTACAGAGAAACACAAAGTAAAGGTAGTCACTTAAATACACCACTTAAAAAAAGGGCTTAGGTCATGAGCAGGCAATTCATAAAACAAAGGAAAAAATGCAAATATATCTTTCTAAAAACATAGTGATACAGGAAACGCAGGTTAAGTATCAATGAGACATTATCTTTTCCCATATTGCGAGTGACTAAAGATGCAATAATGGTGGCTCCAATGAGGATGCCGGAAATGAAGGACTCACACATTCACCACTGGTGGAAATGCAGATGGGAACCTTTCTGGAGAAACAAACTGGCGCTCAGTTTCCAAATTCAAGATGTACAAAATATGGGGTGATATGGTTCGGATGTGTCCCCCCTCAATCTCATCTTGAATTGTAGCTCCCATAATTCCCAGGTGCTGTGGGAGGGACCCAGCGGGAGATAATTAAATCCTGGGGGCAGTTTTCCCCCTACTGTTCTCCTGGTTGGTGCTGAGTAAGTCTCATGAGATCTGATGGTTTTATAAGAAGTTTCCCCCTTTGCTTGGCTCTTATTTTCTCTTGCCTGCCACCATGTAAGACATGCCTTTCACCTTCTGCCATGATTGTGAGGCCTCCCCAGCCATATGAAATTGTGAGCCCATTAACCCTCTTTTCCTTTATATAAATTGACCAGTCTCGGGTATGTCTTTATCAGTAGCACGAAAATGGACTAATTCACTGAGGAAACAGGAAATCCCCCACCCCCCTTGGCTCCGTGTTGGCTCCCAGACTGGCTGGCTCCCTGCTTGCTCTGTGCTCCCGTCTCTTCCTAAGCAGGTCCTTCGGGGTCTGGAGATTCCACGGGGCCAGGCATTACCAGCAGTCTTGCTTCCTGTGCCTTCCCTGTGGGATTTAGGGGGTACTCTTCCTCTTTCACTATCTGCCCCCAGAGTCAGGGAGTCCTCCCGTGGATGCCGACCGCAGCTCACTGGGCAGGGTGGCCTTTACAGGTGGTCCCTGGATGAGCCCTGGGCCACTTGCATCTGAGGCATTGGTTAGGTGGAGAGGCTTGGGGCCCACTTGGCTGCATACGGAATCCACAGGATGGAGATGTGGCCAGAGGTAACCGTCAGCCCTTTCATCCTGAAGTCTGTGCAACATTCTCTGATCCAGATGAGGAGCAGCCAGGAAGCAGCATTTGGGTGCCCTCCACCTGCCCACTCACACAGCCTGCGTGGGTCTGGCTGGCTTTTGTCTCATGGCTTGCTCGGTAGGATCTCTGAGTAAATGGCTGGCTCGCGGCACTCAGTGCCCTTTGACTCCTAACCTATACCCTTGGACCCACAGTTCCAAATCTGGAATTTATCCTAACAGTCAGACAAATACCCACAGGGGTGTGTACTTTCAGGATGTGCTGCAGAGTGGCTTTGCAGGCTAGAGTTTCCTGGGAGGTCATCACTGAGATATTGGTTCAAGGCACCTGCTCAGCCCACACTCTGGCAGAAGACACTGAGGCAGGATTTGAGGTACAGAATGCTTATTAGGGATCAAACCCATGCCAGGAGGAGGAGGTAGCAGGATGGGCAGAGGGAGAAGCTCAGGGCTGTGCAGGCTCTGCTTGTCTGGTCCTGAGGGGAGCTATGGGGCTGTAGCTGGCCTGGCTGGGTCATGGGTGTAGCTGCCTGGTGGGTAGTGTCAGCATTCTCGCTGGGAGGACACTAGGCTGGGAAGGCTCCAGGGCTGGGGTTCTTGAGTGAGCAAACCAAAGCCCATTGTAAACAGAAAAAGAGAACTAGCGACTTTACTAATCAGAAACCACCAACTCCCCTGTGGCTGGGGCTCCTGCTCTAACTGATTGGGTGCATTGTCTCTGTCTTCCTTCCCCATCCATCTGAGAGGTCACTGCCCTCGCTCTTCTCTGAACCTCCTCTGTTTCCGAGTGCTGCCCAATTCACGAGTCTTCTAATGGTCAAGTAAACTCACTTCAATGTGTTTTGCCTAAAGTTTTACTTTTATCAGGGTGACTTTCTTTCAGCAGGGTGATTGTGATGTGCACGCTGCCTACAGCTCAGGCCAACCTGCAGGCACAGATATGGGAGGCTCTGCTAATGGGAGCCTCAGTCTCCTGGAGGGGACTGGAGGTGAAGCTCTCTGAGCTTACAGCAAGGTGAGGAGTATCCAGACCTACAAGGACAGACATCAGGTTGGAAAGTCAGCACAGGAGACTATGACGCACAACAGTTACTTCAGGCCACGAGGAAGGCTTGGAAAAGGAATGTCCTTTTTACTTGTATTGCTGGATTTTTTGCCACAAGGATACATGATTAGAAAGGAATCCAGCTTTTGAGATTTTTGTAAAAAGAAAAAGGCATTTTAAAAAGATCCCCTTTGGCTTACCCATTAATGTCTGACTTGACAAGACATGAAGACTCCACATGAAGTTAATTTTCAATTCTTGCTGATAAAAATCTTGGATAAACTAACAGCTACAATAAAAGCCTGCATCAGTTCCACTGAAACGTGAAGGAAATTTACGTTTTCATTTGTGCTGCTTGGGCAATTTTGCACATCATAAGTGAAATTTGTTTTTTTTTTTTTTGAGACGCATGTAATGTAAAGTCACAAATATTTCTTTTTTTTTTTTTTTTTTTTGAGACAGAGTCTCACTTCTTTATCCAGGCTGGAGTGCAGTGGTGCAATCTCAGCTCTTTACCCAGGCTGGAGTGCAATGGTGCGATCTCAGCTCTTTACCCAGACTGAAGTACAATGGTGTGATCTCAGCTCACTGCAATCTTTGCCTCCCAAATTCAAGCAATTCTCCTGCCTCAGCCTCCCGAGCAGCTGGGATTACAGGCACATGCCAGAACGCCCAGCTAATTTTTATATTTTTAGTAGAGACAGGGTTTCACCATGTTGGCCAGGCTGGTCTCAAACTCCTGACCTCAAGTGATCCACCTGCTTCGGCCTCCCAAAGTGCTGGGATTACAGCCGTGAGCCACCGCAGCTGGCCTATTTTTGGTTTTCAATTAATAGCTGGTTGCAACTTCAAGTATTTTTTTATAACCTAGGAGCCTCTCCCCTATCTTTGATAATAACATTTCAAACATAATTTTTTCTAAATGCAAGAAGCTACTGCAGAAAATAGACAGGGACAGTGCCACATGAGGGCTGAAAATAAAGGTCAAGAATGTCCACACTGGGAAGGGGAAGAGAGCCCAGGGGCGTCTGGCTGGAGAAGAGGGAAGGGTGGCGGCCATGGGTGGCAGCTCCCATTAAGTGGGGCTACCAGTAAAATGCAGGACACTCACCTAAACATGAATGTCAAATAACAAGTAAGATTTCCATGTAAGGATTTTCCTGTGCACCCGTTGATGTGCCTTGTTCCTATTTGCAGAACCTGGTGCTCCTAGAGAGGTGTGAGTGAGTGAAGACAGGTGTCCTTCAGAGAAATTCATGCAAGGAAGGCAGATTGAGGCCACATGGGGAGGAGGCAGGAGCCCCAGGCCCTGGGATGGGAGAGGCTCCCGAGGCACTGGAGATCTGCAGAGATGGAAAGGGTGGGCAACAGGGCCTCTGATCTTCAGATTTGCTTTCTGCAGTTTCAGTTCCCTGTGGTTAACCTCAGTCTGAAAATATTACATGAAAAATTCCAGAAATAAACAACTCATCGGTTTTAAATCATGCATCATTCTGGGTATTGTTATAATTGTTCTGTTTTATTATCAGTTATGGTGGATCTCTTACTATGCCTAATTTATAAACTAAGCTTCACCGTGGGTATGTGTGTAGGAAAACACAGCATACATAGGACTTGTTCTCTCCATGGCTTCAGGTGTCCACTGGGGTCTTGGAAAGATTCTCCTTTGGATAAGGGGGCTGCTGTATTGGAAAGGCCAGAGTTGGAAGCCCATCGTCAGGCTGCTGATGCTGCTGGAGAAGCTCCGCGCAGAAAATGCAATCTGGTGATGATGCCCAGGAGGGCTTGGAGAGCACGTGGCTCTGCCTCCCTCGGGGGGGCTGGACATTTCATGAGGACTCACCTGGGGCAGACAAGGGAGGGATGGCTGAACAGAGGAGGGCATGGGTGAACCCAGAGTCCTGTCCTGCAGAAACAACTGCAGCCGCCACCTGGGAAATGCACCTGCAGGGAAGGTGGGGCTGGTCTCCAAGAAACAGAAGAGGGAAGAAATGTCTCTGGTCTGGTTCCTGGAAAGGAGAATGTGAGCGTGGCTTGCAGAGGAGGTGAGGGCCTGGCTGCAGGGAGAGCCCAGCCTCCTGGGCCTGGAGCTTCCTCAGGGGCCTGGCAGTGGCTGCTCAAGGAGTTTGGTGCCAGCGCCCCCCACCCTCTGTCAGTCCTGGGTCATGGCTGCAGGTGAGGGGGCACAACCTTCCAGGCACCTTCTCTGCACTCCCTGGCCCCTGCAATCCTCAGCTGGGCTGCAAGGAGAGCCTTGGCCCCAGCACCCCATTCCTTGGGGGAAGGGCACCCCCACAAAGCCAGAGATAGAGACCCCCACGCAAGCGGTGCAGGAGGAAACCAGGGCTTGCCTGCACATGAACCAGGTGATATTCATGACCTCTCCCACTGCAGTTTTGTCCAGACCCTCCCTGCCCAGCTAGATAAATGCTGAGCTGTGGGGAGGCAGAGAAGGGACAGAGGTCTCCGCCTGTGATGTCTGCAATGCTGGGGCCACAACAGGAGCCGCCCACTGGGTGAGGTCTGAGAACCCATGGAGTGGTCTTTGCTTCTGAGCTGGTGCCGGGTGGTGGCCAGCCTTGTTTGCAGTGGGAAGCCAGGCAGGCGTGGGGTGTGGGTGTCTGGGGAGATGGCCTGATTGAAACCCACAAGTTTCCAGCCGTGCCAGAGCTGGCATAGAAGTGATCCAAAGGCAACAGTAGTTTGTGGGCAGCGCGGCAGTCAGGAGATGGGCCCCAGGCTGCCTGCAGGATACAGGGAGGCCACCACACATCACTGGGTGCCAGCAGGCATCTGTGGTTCCCCTAGGACTGATGGGGAGATGCCAGCAGAGAGTGGGGAAAAGACAGAAGCCCTGGCCACAGTCCTGTCCCTCACCGGAGTCATCCCTGAGTGAGGGAGGAATGAAAACTATGCCTGGTTTTTCTTGGAGTTGACTGGATTTATTTTCCTTCACTGTCTGGAAGTGGAGCTTAACCAAGAGATGAAGTTGCATGCCTGAAAATGTGCGGAACGCTACTTTTCTTGTACCCTTTGTTTGTGGCATGGGAAGTACTTTTTTCTGCACAAGGTGCATATTTGGAACTCTGGAAGTTTTGACCCCAGGTACGCCCCATGGGAGCTGGATAAAGGAGCTTCTGACATGTGTCTGGGTTTGAAAATGCTCTGCTGGGGGCTGATGGAAGGAGAGACAACATCGGGGGTTGTGCAGAGAGGATCGGAAAACACACACCTCTGATGGGCAAAGCAGAGGAGCCAACTGCCAGGCAGAGAGAGGAGGATGGAGGAGCCCCTTCCCCTGCATCAGGACCCGGGGGTGGGAGGCTTGGAGGCTGGGAGAGCAACAACAAGGACCAGAGATGCAGCAGGGCCTCCCAGCTCTGCCTCCACAGGCCACACTCCAGCACAGACTAGAATGAGCCTCTGTGCTTTTCCTCAGACTCAGGAACAGCAGAGGGCCGAGAGCTGGCTATGTCTTTCCAGCCTGAATTTGAGCTGCAGCTGGAGCTACAAACTTTGAGATGGGAGTCCCTCTGCACTGGAGCACGGCTCTGCCAAACTTTCAGGGCTTGCCTGGGGAGGGAATGGTGTATCTTCCTCCTGGGCCACGGCATCTGCAGGCACTCAGGGCACTCAGGGAAGGCATCCTCACATACCTATGGAAGTCAGTAACTCCCATGTCATGCCCTATGTTTCAGATTTGTGCTTCTTGTGTTTTCCTGCAGTAAAAATGGGATAACTTGGTTGGGAAGCAGTGATAATCTCTGAATTGAGGGAATTTGCAGAGACAAGATACTGTGGCAAATATAAACAGAACTGGATTTTTTCCTCAGCTGAGGCTCCTGTATGTGAACTCTAATTATCAATAGATCTTAAAACAGATAAAGCTGGCAGGTGTTGAGTCCTTACGGCATCTTTATGAGGCACCTACTATTGTTTCCACCTTTCAGATGACGAAAATGAGCCTTGATAATGTTCCAACAGCAAGTGAGTACAGGGTCTGGAACGGATAGCAAGTCTCATTTGGAAAATACACATTATTTGAATACATTGAAAACAAGTATGCTGATGTTTATATACCATAGAAACATTGAGTCCAAGTTCTATGACTTACTCCTACATAATGCATTAACTATTTAACGCATCTATTAAACTTCTGCGGCTTTATTTTAAAATTGCATGTTTTCCTGAGGCACAACGGAGCAAGGATGGATTCATTTGCCCACACATAGCTTGCAAAAAAGCCTGCCTTGGGTCCTAGGCGGGCCAGCTGGACGTGATTGTTAACAGACACTGACAGCTTCTAACCTGGGGCTCATGCTCCCTACCTGATGGCAAAGGTGGGATTTGGGATGAGACTGTCTCCCCGTGACGCGATGCCCATCCTCACGCATCTGAGGGAAAGAACAGCGGCTCATTCTGCAATTTCCCTCCATGTTTATGTGGTGCCAGAACATAACCACACCTGTCCTTTCTGCAAGTCAATGGGCTCCCTTAGAATGTAAAGTTACTCCACTGCTGAATCAAAAAATATTCGAGCACTGTCAGATTTGCAGATGGCTGACACATGCACGGAGACCCTCTCAGCTGCGGAAGACATTGCTGTGAACTGCGGGACGTCTATACTTCTGCCAATCTCAGAGCTGGGAGCTGTCCTGAGACCCAGGCCTCCTGCCCTGGCCCCAGTGGGTAAACGCTTCTTGGGATGTGGTTTGCTCTTGGTCTAGTGTCTGTGCCCTTCAACTCCCAGAATTCTTGGGGCAGGTTTGAGTTTCCCAGATTACTTTTTAGCTCCTCCGTCCTGGGGAACCCCTGCTGGCCTCTGTGGCCATGTGGCTCCCCTCTGCCTCCTCCCCAGCCTTGGTGTCTGCCCTTTCCAAGGGGAGATGGGGCCTGGGGAAGCTGTGCCAGGCAGACTCTTCCCACGTGAGCTTCCAGCAGAGCAGAGCTTAGTGGCAGCTCACAGGAAGCATCTGGATTATGTAGGAATTCAGCCTCTTCTTACTTCCTCATTGTATTAGTCTGTTTTCACGCTGCTAATAAAGACATATCCCAGACTGGGTAACTTATTAGAGGAAGAGGTTTAATGGACTCACAGTTCCACATGGCTGGGGAGGCCTCACAATCATGGCAGAAGGCTAAGGAGAGGCAAAGGCACCTCTTACATGGCGGCAGGCAAGAGAATGTGTGCAGGGGAACTGCCCTTTATAAAACCATCAGATCTCATGAGACTTAGTCACTATCACTAGAACACACTATCACTAGAACACACTATCACTAGAACACACTATCACTAGAACGGCATGAGAAAAACCCACCCCCATGATTCAATTACCTCCCACCAGGTCCCTCCCTTGACATGGGGATTATGGGAGCTACAATTCAAGATGAAATGTGGGTGGGGACACAGTCAAACCAGACCACTCATTAACGACACTCAAACCCACTTCACATGGAGAGATATTTTTATGTTTTTTATTTTATTATACATAAAATTAGGAAATTTATATCTTAAATCTATCAAAAAATACGTAGCATTATTTAACAATTTTTTATGTTAGACATAAAAGAAACTTGGGCCTTGCTTCCTTTTGCCATTTAAGTTTCCCCATGACCTTTAAGTGCAGAGCTTTTTAATAATCCAAAGCAAACTTGATTCTTTAAACTAAAGGAAGAATATTAGTGTGTATAAAATCTTGAATGGTCACATGGGAAATCTTTGTGTCAGAGCTGTTCTGCTTGGATTACAGTGTGGCTGGCTGGTTGGGGAAATGAGTTTCTTATTCTGAGTTATGCCAGAGCTTCTGTGCAGCAAACTGCACCCCTTCCAAGGGCACACCTGGGAGTGGAGCTGCCTGGAGAGGCAGGGCTTCCTGGAGATTTAGAGAAAGAGAAGTGGCTGATGCTTTGTTTGTGTTTGTTTTGCACTGACAGGCAATGGAGGAAAAGTAGTAAGACATTTAAATTCAAAGAAAAAACTGCAATTTTTTTTCATCCTAGAAAACTCTTGTTCAACTAAAGCTATAAATTATGAAGGAAAATCCAACATATGGTGTGCAGGGAAGCGGAAGCCTCAGGGTCAGAAGAGGCCCTGCGCGGTGACTAGGAGCCTGGAATCACGTGGGGGCACATCCTGAGTTCCGCTCCTGCAAATCTAACCGCATCTCAACACTCTCATGGCCCATCCAATGCGGCTTGCAAACCAGCTACAGAATGTGAAGGGCTCAGTGCAAATTAAAAACCCATGGCCCCTTCTCAAAAAATTATAAACCATTTCAGACCAGTGACAGCAGAGCATTAGACCAGGCAGGACTCTCTGGGCAGGGCCCGGGTGACGCTCGGTCCATGCGTCCAGGACAGTGGCCCTGAAGGTCACTTTCTCACGTTTGCATTTGCCTGTTCCATCCTCTCCAATCCCAGCCCCACTGGCCTGGGAGACACACTTTCTCCATCTCACAGGTGAGACATGCATGCTTCAAGTGTTAAAGGAGCATTCCTGGAGACGTCTGTTCGGCGGGTCTGGATCCAGGCACCTGCCTGACCATTCCACATCCTATTCAGAGAATCCAGCCTTCCCCATCCTGTGGTGGCTGGGCCAGCCCGTATTTTGAGGTCTTGGCAGATCAAGGTGCTTCTGCTCAGTGCAGGCGGCATCGAAGCCCGATGATGTACCCTCCATGGTCGTCAAAATGAAACTGTCTGAGAGTCAATTTCCCCTTTATACGTTCCATTACAAGGTTCTTATATTACAGGAAAAAATAGCTGAAATGTATAAGATGTCAATATTTGTGTTTTCCTGTAAACTTTAGCTTTAATATTCCACCGTATTCACAGTCTTCAAGCCTGGGACAACTCCATATCGTGCTAAATGCTTCAATGTGGAAGGTGATAGTGGATGTAGTGAAATATTTGGGGGCTGCTGGACATATTTTGTCAATGATTTCTAGGTAAAACTCTTACTTTGGAAGTATTGAAAATTGTCACATGGAGGAGATAGGTGGCTTAAGTTGAAAGTGGTATTTGAAAGGTTACTAAAGCGCCCTTGACACATAAACATCAACGAATTACTTCACGGTCTGTTTTATCTTTCACAGTCTACTTAAAATATTGAAATAAATAGTAGCTCCACTTTTCAGATAGTGTCCTTATAGCAATAAATGCGTAAAGAAGAAGTGAAATATTTAGAAATGTCACCATGATTTAGCTAATTCTCATGTATTCTAATATATAATTGGAAACATAAAAACATTATTTGTACTCCAATAATCACGCATGAGCATTTTTTCCTGGATAAAGTATTGACATTTCCAGTTAGGAACTCTCTTTTTATTTCCTGTATATCTATTCTGTTGTATTTCTGCAGTTTTTGCCTTGTTTTTCTCATGAGAGTTTCCACAGGCCTTATTTGGAAGAGCATTGAACAGACTTCAAGGTAGGCTTGCTATCAGCGGGTTCACAGGTGTCCCTGAGCTTGATATCAGCAGGTTCACAGGGTGTCCTTGGGCACAAGGGTCCCCCACCTGACCAGCCCAGGCCCTCCCCCAACACCCACCTCTTCCACCCAGGTGCTGTGTGGACCTGATCTTAACTCTGCAAAGTCACTGATATGGCTTGAATCTGTGTCCCCACCCAAACCTCACGTTGAATTACAATCCCCAGGGTTGGAAGAGGGGCCTGGTGGGCCTGGTGGGAGGTGACTGGGTCATGGGCGATTTCTCACGAATGGGTTAGCAGCATCCTCCTCATAGTGAATGAGTTCTTGTGAGATCTGGTGGTTGAAGTGTGCAGAACCTCCCTCTCCTCTCCTCTCTTCCTCCTGCTCCCACCTTGTGAGACGCCTCGCTCCCTCTGCCTTCCGCTACAATTGGAAGCTTCCTGAGGCCTCCCCAGAAGCAGAAGCTGCTGTTTCCTCTACAGCTTACAGAACCACAAGTCAGTGAAACCCTTTTTCTTCATAAGTTACCTTGCCTCAGGTATTTCTTTATACCATTATGAGAATGACCTGAGTCAGTCACCTTTGCCTTAAAGTAAAGCCAGTGATGACAAAGAGTCTATATGACTCTTTACACACTCATGAATGTAAAACATTACACATATTTCATTTTCATCCTAAGTATCTGTTTAAGAATAAAGAAGAAAAGAGAGAAGAATCAAATAGATGCAATAAAAAATGATAAAGGGGATATCACCACCAATCCCACAATAATACAAACTACCATCAGAGACTACTATAAACACCTCTACACAAATAAACTAAAAAATATAGAAGAAAAGGATAAATTCCTGGACAAACACACCCTCCCAAGACTAAACCAGGAAGAAGTTGAGTCTCCGAACAGACCAATAACAGGCTCTGAAATTGAGGTAATAATAGCCTACCAACCAGTCCAGGACCAGAGAGATTCACAGCCGAATTCTACCGGAGGTACAAAGAGGAACTGGTACCATTCCTTCTGACACTATTCCAATCAATAGAAAAACAGGGAATCCTCCCTAACTCATTTTATGAGGCCAACATCATCCTGATCCCAAAGCCTGGCAGAGACACAACAAAAAAAGTGAATTTTAGACCAATATCCCTGATGAATATAGATGCAAAAATCCTCAATAAAATACTGGCAAACCAAATCCAGCAGCACATTAAAAAGCTTATCCACCATGATTAGGTTGGCTTCATCCCTGGGATGCAAGGCTCGTTCAACATATGCAAATCAATGAACATAATCCATCACGTAAACATAACCAATGACAAAAACCACAGGATTATCTCAATAGATGCAGAAAAGGCCTTTGATGAAATTCAGCAGCCTTTCCTGCTAAAAACTCTCAATAAACTGGGTATTGATGGAATGTATCTCAAAATAATAAGAGCTATTTATGACAATATCATACTGAATGGGCAAAAATTGGAAGCATTCCCTTTGAAAACTGGCACAAGACAAGGATGCCCTCTCTCACCACTCCTATTCAACATAGTGTTGGAAGTTCTGGCCAGGGCAATCAGGCAGGAGAAAGAAATAAAGGGTATTCAATTAGGAAAAGAGGAAGTCAAATTGTCCCTGTTCGCAGATGACATGATTGTATATTTAAAAAACCCCATCGTCTCAGCCCCAAATCTCCTTAAGCTGATAAGCAACTTCAGCAAAGTCTCAGGATACAAAATCAATGTGCAAAAATCACAAGCATTCCTGTACACCAACAACAGACAAACAGAGAGCCAAATCATGAGTGAACTCCCATTCACAATTGCTTCAAAGAGAATAAAATACCTAGGAATCCAACTTACAAGGGATGTGAAGGACCTCTTCAAGGAGAACTACAAACTACTGCTCAAAGAAATAAAAGAGGACACAAACAAATGGAAGAACATTCCATGCTCATGGATAAGAAGAATCAATATTGTGAAAATGGCCATACTGCCCAAGGTAATTTATAGATTCAATGCCATCCCCATCAAGCTACCAATGACTTTCTTCACAGAATTGGAAAAAACTACTTTAAAGTTCATATGGAAGCAAAAAAGAGCCCACATTGCCAAAACAATCCTAAGCAAAAAGAACAAAGCTGGAGGCATCACGCTACCTGACTTCAAACGATACTATGAGGCTACAGTAACCAAAACAGCATGGTACTTGTACCAAAACAGACATATAGACCAATGGAACAGAATAGAAGCACCACACATCCACAACCATCTGATCTGTGACAAACCTGACAAAAAGAAATGGGGAAATGATTCCCTATTTAATAAATGGTGCTGGGAAAACTGGCTAGCCATATGTAGAAAGCTGAAACTGGATCCTTTCCTTACATCTTATACAAAATTAATTCAAGATGGATTAAAGACTTAAATGTGAGACCTAAAACCATAGAAAATCTAGAAGAAAACCTAGGCGATACCATTCAGGACATAGGCATGGGCAAGGACTTCATGACTAAAACACCAAAAGCAATGGCAACAAAAGCCAAAATTGACAAATGGGATCTAATTAAACTAAAGAGCTTCTGCACAGCAAAAGAAACTACCATCAGAGTGAACAGGCAACCTACAGAATGGGAGAAAATTTTTGCCATCTACCCATCTGACAAAGAGCTAATATCCAGAATCTACAAAGAATGCAAACAAATTTACAAGAAAAAAACAACCCCATCAAAAAGTAGGCAAAGGATATGAACAGACCTTTCTCAAAAGAAGACATCTATGCAGCCAACAGACACATGAAAAGATGCTCATTGTCACTGTTCATCAGAGAAAGAAATGCAAATCAAAACCACAATGAAATACCATCTCATGCCAGTTAGAATGGCAATCATTAAAAAGTTAGGAAACAACAGATGCTGGAGAGGATGTGGAGAAATAGGAACTCTTTTACACTGTTAATGGGAGTGTAAATTAGTTCAACCATTGTGGAAGACAGTGTGGCGATCCCTCAAGGATCTAGAAATAGAATTACCATTTGACCCAGCAATCCCATTACTGGGTATATTCCCAAAGGATTATAAATCATGCTACTGTAAAGACACATGCACACGTATGTCTATTGCAGCACTATTCACAATAGCAAAGACTTGGAACCAACCCGAATGTCCATCAATGATAGATTGGATTCAATTCTGCCACAAGAAAATGTGGCACATATACACCATGGAATACTATGCAGCCATAAAAAAGGATGAGTTCATGTCCTTTGCAGGGACATGGATGAAGCTCGAAACCATCATTCTCAGCAAACTATACAAGGACAGAAAACCAAACACCACATGTTCTCACTCACAGGTAGGAAATGAACAATGAGATCACTCGGACACAGGAAGGGGAACATTGCACACCGGGGCCTGTCAGAGGCTGGGGAGCTGGGGGGGGATAGCATTAGGAGAAATACCTAATGTAAATAACGAGTTGATAGGTGTGGCAAACGAACATGGCACATGTACACCCATGTATCAAACCTGCACGTTGTGCATGTGTACCCTAGAACTTAAAGTATTAAAAAAAAAAAAAAAGAAAAGAAAGAAATAACCACTTAACCTCTTGTATGCCAGGGGACACCACAGTAAAAAACCAGGCGTGGTCCCTGGGAAGAAAAGGTGGCTTATTGGAAAAGACAAACAGCAAACCAAAGACAAATAGCAATTTGATCTAAGTGTCCTGGTTGCTCATCACTGATGAAACAATTCTAAAATACTACAATGTGAGAGCTGACCCAGTCAGGTAGGTCAGAGGAGGCTGTGTTGTGGAAAAGGCTTTTAATCTGAGGTGGAAAGAATTCCTGGAAACAAGCAAGGGAGGAAAAGCCACACATCAGATGCCAGGAGGGGAGGACAATGGATTATCAGTGGCAGGAGTGGCTCTGGGGACAGAAACGGCCCAAGTAAGAGCATGCCATGGCTTGGGAGGAAGCCCTACTGAGCAAATCATTATCACCATGGTAAGGACTAACATTTGCAGACATTTCCACCCACCAAGACTGTTTAAATATTCTACTTGTATTAATTAATTAACAATCTGATGAGGAAAGTAGTGTTATTTTTCCCATGTTACATGAAAGGGAATTAAGCACAGACACATGGATGAGTAAGTGAAACTGAGATTCCAATTACAGTTGGGAAGTAGAACTCTTGTCTCTGAACATGACTTTACTCTCTGGGAAACACTTGCCCAGGAAGATGAAGTTGCAAATACATTTGTTTGTTCAATGAATGTCCTGAAAATCAATAACCCGGACACCAGATCTCACTAGACTTGGCCACGACAAGAACTGGCAATGGGCTCCTCAGACACCCTCTGCTCTCTGAGACGCCCTCAGCACCCTTCCCTGTGGCACCACTGTCTCCTCATCCCAGCACAGTCTCCCCTAGGAAGACCCGACCTGAGCCAGGCCCTGCCCCTCCTGAGTGAGCTGCCAGCCCAGCCCAGCTTTGTCAAAAGTTTATTCAGTTGTTTTTCCCCCAGAGATTTGGCTGTCAGCAGAATAAAACAAACAAACAAAAAAATAAAACACAAAAAAACTTCTTAATTGTTCACTTATTTAGAACAAGAATGTATCCCCAAATTGATTTTTATTCACTTATTTGGGGCAAAAGTGTACCCTAAAATTTTCTTTAGAGAATTCTGACCCGTCTAGGAAGGTACAGGTGGAAATACTTTATTTAGATGATTAACGTCGGGCAGTTCCAAGATGGCCAAATAGGAAGAGCTCCAGTCTACAGCTCCCAGTGTGAGCGACGCAGAAGATGGGTGATTTCTGCATTTCCAACTGAGGTACCAGGTTCATCTCACTGGGGCTTGTCAGACAGTGGGTGCAGGACAGTGCATGCAGCACACCGAGTGTGAGCCAAAGCAGGGCGAGGCATCACCTCACCTGGGAAGTGCAAGAGGTCAGGGAAATTCCCTTTCATAGCCAAGCAAAGCTGTGACAGACGGCAGCTGGAAAATCGGGTCACTCCCACCATAATACTGCGCTTTTCCAATGGTCTTAGCAAACGGCACACCAGGAGATTATACCCTACGCCTGGCTCGGAGGGTCCTACACCCACAGAGCCTCGCTCACTGCTAACACAGCAGTCTGAGATCCAACTGCAAGGCGGCAGCGAGGCTGGGGGAGGGGCACCCGCCATTGCTGAGGCTTGAGTAGGTAAACAAAGCGGCCAGGAAGCTCGAACTGGGTGGAGCCCACCACAGCTCAAGGAGGCCTGCCTGCCTCTGTAGACTCCACCTCTGGGGGCAGGGCACAGACAAACAAAAGGCAGCAGAAACCTCTGCAGACTTAAATGTCCCTGTCTGACAGGTTTGAAGAGAGTAATGGTTCTCCCAGCATGGAGTTTGTGATCTGAGAACGGACAGACTGCCTCCTCAAGAGGGTCCCTAACCCCCAAGTAGCCTAACTGGGAGGCACCCCCGAGTAGGGGCAGACTGACACCTCACACAGCCGGGTACCCCTCTGAGACGAAACCTCCAGAGGAAGGATCAGACAGCAACATTTGCTGTTCAGCAATATTCACTGTTCTGCAGCCTCTGCTGCTGATACCCAGGCAAACAGGGTCTGGAGGGGACCTCCAGCAAACTCCAACAGACCTGCAGCTGAGGGTCCTGTCTGTTAGAGGGAAAACTAACAAACAGAAAGGACATCCACACCAAAACCCCATCTGTATGTCACCATCATCAAAGACCAAAGGTAGATAAAACCACAAAGATGAGGAAAAAACAGAACAGAAAAACTGAAAATTCTAAAAATCGAGTGCCTCTCCTCCTCCAAAGGAACGCAGCTCCTCACCAGCAATGGAACAAAGCTGGACAAAGAATGACTTTGACGAGCTGAGAGAAGAAAGCTTCAGATAATCAAACTTCTCCAAGCTAAAGGAGGAAGTTCGAGCCCATCGCAAAGAAGTTAAAAACCTTGAAAAAAGATTAGACGAATGGCTAACTAGAATAACCAATGCAGAGAAGTCCTTAAAGGACCTGCTGAAGCTGAAAACCAAGGCACAAGAACTATGTGATGAATGCACAAGCTTCAGTAGCCAATTCGATCAACTGGAAGAAAGGGTATCAGTGATTGAAGATCAAATGAATGAAGTGAAGTGAGAAGAGAAGTTTAGAGAAAAAAGAATAAAAAGAAATGAACAAAGCCTCCAAGAAATATGGGACTATGTGAAAAGACCAAATCTATGTCTGATTGGTGTACCTGAAAGTGATGGGGACAATGGAACCAAGTTGGAAAACACTCTGCAGTATATTATCCAGGAGAACATCCCCAACCTAGCAAGGCAGGCCAACATTCAAATTAGGAAATACAGAGAATACCACAAAGATACTCCTCGAGAAGAGCAACTCCAAGACACATAATTGTCAGATTCACCAAAGTTGAAATGAAGGAAAAAATGTTAAGGGCAGCCAGAGAGAAAGGTCGGGTTACCCACAAAGGGAGGCCCATCAGACTAACAGCTGATCTCTTGGCAGAAACTCTACAAGCCAGAAGAGAGTGGGGGCCAATATTCAACATACTTAAAGAAAAGAATTTTCAACCCAGAATTTCAGATCCAGCCAAACTAAGCTTTGTAAGTGAAAGAGAAATAAAATCCTTTACAGACAAGCAAATGCTGAGAGATTTTGTCACCACCAGGCCTGCCCTAAAAGAGTTCCTGAAGGAAGCACTAAACATGGAAAGGAACAACTGGTACCAGCCACTGCAAAAACATGCCAAATTGTAAAGACCATCGATGCTAGGAAGAAACTGCATCAACTAATGAGCAAAATAACCAGCTAACATCATAATGACAGGATCAAATTCACACATAACAAAATTAACCTTAAATGTAAATGGGCTAAATGCTCCAATTAAAAGACACAGACTGGCAAATTGGATAAAGAGTCAAGACCCATCAGTGTGCTGTATTCAGGAAACCCATCTCACATGCAGAGACACACATAGGCTCAAAATAAAGGGACGGAGGAAGATCTACCAAGCAAATAGAAAACAAAAAAAGGCAGGGGTTGCAATCCTAGTCTCAGATAAAACAGACTTTAAACCAACAAAGATCAAAAGAGACAAAGAAGGCCATTACATAATGGTAAAGGGATCAATTCAACAAGAGCTAACTATCCTAAATATATATGCACCTAATACAGGATCGCCCAGATTCATAAAGCAAGTCCTTAGAGACCTACAAAGAGACTTAGACTCCCACACAATAATAATGGGAGACTTTAACACCCCACTGTCAACATTAGACAGATCAATGAGACAGAAAGTTAACAAGGATATGCAGGAATTGAACTGAGCTCTGCACCAAGTGGACCTAATAGACATCTATAGAACTCTCCACGCCAAATCAACAGAACATACATTCTTCTCCACACCACACCCGCACCTATTCCAAAATTGACCACATAGTTGGAAGTAAAGCACTCCTCAGCAAATGTAAAAGAACAGAAATTATAATAAACTGTCTCTCAGACCATAGTGAAATCAAACTAGAACTCAGGATTAAGAAACTCACTCAAAACCACTCAACTAATGGAAACTGAACAACCTGCTCCTGAATGACTACTGGGTATATAACAAAATGAAGGCAGAAATAAAGATGTTCTTTGAAACCAACGAGAACAAAGACACAACATACCAGAATCTCTGGGACACATTTAAAGCGGTGTGTAGAGGGAAATTTATAGCACTAAATGCCCACAAGAGAAAGCAGGAAAGATCTAAAATTGACACCCTAACATCACAATTAAAAGAACTAGAGAAGCAAGAGCAAACACATTCAAAAGCTAGCAGAAGCCAAGAAATAACTAAGATCAGAGCAGAACTGAAGTAGATAGAGACACAAAAAACCCTTCAAAAAATCAGTTAATCCAGGAGCTGGTTTTTTTTTTGAAAAGATCAACAAAATTGATAGACCGCTAGCAAGACTAATAAAGAAGAAAAGAGAGAAGAATCAAATAGATGCAATAAAAAATGATAAAGGGGATATCACCACCGATCCCACAGAAATACAAACGACCATCAGAGACTACTATAAACACCTCTACACAAATAAACTAGAAAATCTAGAAGAAATTGATAAATTACTCGACACACACATTCTCCCAAGACTAAACCAGGATGAAGTTGAATCTCTTAATAGACCAATAACAGGCTCTGAAATTGAGGCAATAATTAATAGCTTACCAACCAAAAAAAGTCCAGGACTGGACAGATTCACAGCCAAATTCTACCAGAGGTACAAGGAGGAGCTGGTACCATTCCTTCTGAAACTATTCCAATCAATACAAAAAGAGGGAATCCTCCCTAACTCATTTTATGAGGCCAGCATCATCCTGATACCAAAGCCTGGCAGAGACACAACAAAAAAAGAGAATTTTAGACCAATATCCCTGATGAACACTGATGCAAAAATCCTCAATAAAATACTGGCAAACTGAATCCAGCAGCACATCAAAAAGCTTATCCATGATCAAATGGGCTTCATCCCTGGGATGCAAGGCTGGTTCAACATACGCAAATCAATAAACGTAATCCAGCATATAAACAGAACCAAAGACAAAAACCACATGATTATCTCAATAGATGCAGAAAAGGCCTTTGACAAAATTCAACAGCCTTTCATGCTAAAAACTCTCAATAAATTAGGTATTGATGGGATGTATCTAAAAATAATAACAGCTATTTATGACAAACCCACAGCCAATATCATACTGAATGGGCAAAAACTGGAAGCATTCCCTTTGAAAACTGGCACAAGACAGGGATGCCCTCTCTCACCACTCCTATTCAACATAGTGTTGGAAGTTCTGGCCAGGGAAATCAGGCAGGAGAAAGAAATAAAGGGTATTCAATTAGGAAAAGAGGAAGTCAAATTGTCCCTGTTTGCAGATGACATGATTGTATATTTAGAAAACCCCATCATCTCAGCCCAAAATCTCCTTAAGCTGATAAGCAACTTCAGCAAAGTCTCAGGATACAAAATCAATGTGCAAAAATCACAAGCATTCTTATACACCAAAAACACACAAACAAAGAGCCAAATCATGAGTGAACTCCCATTCACAATTGCTTCAAAGAGAATAAAATACCTAGGAATCCAACTTACAAGGGATGTGAAGGACCTCTTCAAGGAGAACTACAAACCACTGCTCAATGAAATAAAAGAGGATACAAACAAATGGAAGAACATTCCATGCTCATGGGTAGGAAGAATCAATATGGTGAAAATGACCATACTGCCCAAGGTAATTTATAGATTCAGTGCCATCCCCATGAAGCTACCAATGACTTTCTTCACAGAATTGGAAAAAACTACAGTTCATATGGAACCAAAAAAGAGCCTGCATTGCCAGGTCAATCCTAAGCCAAAGAACATAGCTGGAGGCATCACGCTACCTGACTTCAAACTATACTACAAGGCTACAGTAACCAAAACAGCATGGTACTGGTACCAAACAGAGATATAGACCAATGGAACAGAACAGAGCCCTCAGAAATAATGCCACACATCTACAACTATCTGATCTTTGACAAACCTGACAAAAACAAGAAATGGGGAAAGTATTCCCTATTTAACAAACGGTGCTGGGAAAACTGGCTAGCCATATGTAGAAAGCTGAAACTGGATCCTTTCCTTACACATTATACAAAAGTTAATTCAAGATGGATTAAAGACTTAAATGTTAGACCTAGAAGAAAACCTAGAAGAAAACCTAGGCAATACCATTCAGGACATAGGCATGGGCAAGGACGTCATGGCTAAAACACCAAAAACAATGGCAACAAAAGCCAAAATTGACAAATGGGATCTAATTAAACTAAAGAGCTTCTGCACAGCAAAAGAAACTACCATCAGAGTGAACAGGCAACCTACAGAATGGGAGAAAATTTTTGCAATCTACTCATCTGACAAAGGGCTGATACCCAGAATCTACAAAGAACTCAAACAAATTTGCAAGAAAAAAACAACCCCATCAACAAGTGGGCAAAGCATATGAACAGACACTTCTCAAAAGAAGACATTTATGCAGCCAACAGACACATGAAAAACTGCTCATCATCACTGGCCATCAGAGAAATGCAAATCAAAACCACAATGAGATATCATCTCTCACCAGTTAAAATGGCGATCATTAAATGCTCAGGAAACAACAGGTGCTGGAGAGGATGTAGAGAGATAGCAACACTTTTACACTGTTAATGGGACTGTAAACTAGTTCAGCCATTGTGGAAGACAGTGTGGCAATTCCTCAGAAATCTAGAACTGGAAATACCATTTGACCCAGCCATCCCATTACTGGGTATATACCCAAAGGAATATAAATCATGCTGCTATAAAGACACACGCACACTTGTGTTTATTGCGGCACTACTCACAATAGCAAAGACTTGGAACCAACCCTAATGTCCAACAATGATAGACTGGATTAAGGAAATATGACACATATACACCATGGAATACTATGCGGCCATAAAAAATGATGAGTTCATGTCCTTTGTAGGGACATGGATGAAGCTGGAAACCATCATTCTCAGCAAACTATCACAAGGACAGAAAACCAAACACTGTATGTTCTCACTCATAGGTGGGATTGAACAATGAGAACACATGGACACAGGAAGGGGAACATCACACACTGGGGCCTGTTGTGGGGTGGGGGGAGGGGGGAGGGATAGCATTAGGAGATATACCTAATGTAAATGACGAGTAATGGATGCAGCACACCAACATGGTACATGTATACATATGTAACAAACCTGCACGTTGTGCACATGTACCCTAGAGCTTAAAGTATAATAAAAAATATATATATTAAAAAAAAGAAAGAGCATCTTTTTCTTTACATATCTATGTAGTCCAGGTCTTCCTGGAATTCCTGGTTGTGACAATCCTAGCAAGGTTCTTTCCATCAGTTTCAGGGCAGTTTGCTGCCTGTATCCTTTGCAGCTGTTCAGCTTCACCAGTTTTGGTAACTGTGGCAAAGGCAATGCTTTGTTCACTAAAATACTTTAGTTTTCCATTGGGCAGTTGACAAGATGATATTTCTCATCATGAAGACATGATGTCTCATGTTTTCATGGAGGCAAGTGAGTGTTGCTGGCCAGTAAGGCATGGGCAAGAGGGGTGTGCGCCCCCTTCTCTCTGCTTCCATAGTGGCCTTGGGGTTTCTGTGTTGAAGATGCTGACCCTTCAAGGAGGAAGCTTACATTCTTGAATCACCTCTTGGAAAAGAGCAACTGTGTGGAGCTGCCCAGCCAGGAATATCTGTGTTGTCATTTATACTTGGGAGCTGTTTGCCGCAGAAGCCAGCTGACAGTTGCTCTGAAAGGTAGTGCCACTCCTGTGCCCTAGTGGGACTGAAACGCTCCCGGGTTCTACGTGGGCATCGCCGGTGGCCTCTGAGGGTGGGCTGTGCAGTCGTGGAGATGCATTTTAAAGGGTTTAATGCATCAGGGAGCTTCTTTCGGTCAAAAGATAGACTGCAGGTGATCTCTTCTCTGCCAGTGCCTCCTTGGGATTGGGGTAAAAACTCCTCCATCTTCCCATCCTCATGAAAGCAACCACAATTTACAGCTGCGTTTATGTGTGCTTATGCTGCCAGGCACAATTTCTCTAATTCTCAACAATTTCATGAGGTAGAGACAATTGTTATTCTAATTTTGCAAATGAGGACATTAAGGCTGCAGCACCCGTGAGTCATGGAGCTCAGTTCCACATCACTTAGAGGCGCATGTCCAAACTACATGGTCCTGTAGCTCCTAAAAGGATGTGGTTTTGCACATTTAATTCTTCACTTATCCCATAGCACATCTTCATGTTAACATCAATGGGTTAAAACACAAAACATATTTCAAGAAGAAATTGTCACACTGTAAAATTTTATTAGTATAGCTAAGACTGACATTTTCTACATAAAGCAAAGGATTTATCAAATAAGTTGTCCGATATGGTTTGGTCTGTGTTCCTGCCCAAATCTCATGTTGAAATGTCATCCCCAGTGTTGGAGGAGGGGCCTGGGTGGAGGTGATGGGATCATGGGTGGATTCTCAGGTAGTATCTGGCACCACCCCCTCGTTGCTGTTCTCAGGATGGTGAATTCTTATGAGATCTGATTGTTTAAAAGTCTATGGCTTTCTTTTCATATGTCCTTTGGCTGCATGAATGTCTTCTTTTGAGAAGTGTCTGTTCATATCCTTCACCCACTTTTTGATGGGGTTGTTTTTTTCTTGTAAATTTAAGTTCTTTGTAGATTCTGGATATTAGCCCTTTGTCAGATGGCTAGATTGCAAAAATTTTCTCCCATTATGTAGGTTGCCTGTTCACTCTGATGATAGTTTCTTTTGCTGTGCAGAAGCTCTTTAATCAGATCCCATTTGTCAATTCTGGCTTTAATTGCCATTGCTTTTGGTGTTTTAGTCACGAAGTCTTTGCCCATGCCTATGTCCTGAATGGTATTACCTTGATGGGTGCAGCAAACCACCATGGCACGTGTATACCTATATAACAAACCTGCACGTTCAGCACATGTGCCCCAGAAATCAGAAATTAAAGTGCATATATATAGTCTATGGCACCTCCTCTCACTTTGTTTTCTCTTGCTCCTGCCCCCACCATGTGAGACACCTGCTTACCCTCTGCCTTCCCCCAGGATTGGAAGCTTCCTGAGGCCTCCATAGAAGCAGATGCCACCATGCTTCCTAAACAGCCTGCAGAACTGTGAGCCAGTTAAGCCTATTTTCTTATAAATTACTCAGTCTCAGGTATTTCTTTATAGCAATGCAAGAACAGCCTAATGCATTCTCTCTTCTGGATATGTTTATTTTTTCCAGATGAGACCTATCCTTATGGAAACATCTAGCCCATTGAATGAGCCTGTTCTAACTCAGCTGGGGGCTGTGATTGTGTCACTTCAGTTTTTAGGTAAATTGCTGAAAACTGGGGAGTGTAAAACTGGAACAATTTATTTACTATTTTCTTTTCATCATGAGTTTCCATATCAAGAGAGACATTCTGTTAGTAACAAATGCTTCAAATATAGAATTTTTTTTTAGAATATAATGATGAACATGACCATTTGTTTTACTCTAACATTATATGGCTATCTTAAGGAAATTATAAAATAGACTTTTTTTTTTTTTTTTTTTGAGACAGAGTCTCGCTCTGTCGCCCAGGCTGGAGTGCAGTAAAGTGATCTCGGCTCACTCCAAGCTCTGCCTCCCGGGTTCATGCCATTCTCCTGCCTCAGCCTCCCGAGTAGCTGGGACTACAGGCGCCCGCCACCACGCCCTGCTAATTTTTTGTATTTTTAGTAGAGACGGGGTTTCACCGTATTAGCCAGGATGGTCTTGATCTCCTGACCTCATGATCCGCCCACCTCGGCCTCCCAAAGTGCTGGGATTACAGGCGTGAGCCACCGCACCTGGCCAATAAATTAGATTTTCATGGGAAAAATTGTGTTTCAGGGTTATCAAATAAAATAAGGAACAAATAGATTTTCTACGTAATCTTTTTTAAAGTCACATTTGACATATTTTCAGAGTCAGTGTAGTAATGAGACATTTAATGCCATTTATCACCAAACTGTGAACTATACTGCTCTTAAAACTCTCGACTCTCAGTACTTGGATCTTGGAAAATGTGATGTCTACAGGACACATGCCTGCCCCTAAATTTCTCAAAGATTTTGTTATGCCTGGTATTTTCATTTTTAAAGTTATTTCTTTAGGTTGAGTTAAGAAAGTCCAAAGATTCTTTACTAAATGAAAAAATACTGACAGAAACATTATGATATTAAATAATATTATGACATGTGTGAACAGCCGTGTCCTGCCAGGAGGAGGGAGCCTGGAAAACCCTTGTGTTTAGTCCCCACACAGGGAAAGTGCCAGGGAAGATGGAAGGCTGTGAGCTATACCGACGCCCTGGTTTACAAGAAGGCCCGAGATTATTGAAGCACATCTGCGTAAGGAGACATCACCCACAGGAGCTGAGAGGTGTCTGGAGGGCCCCAGAGCCGAGGGGCTTATGGTGAACCCCTCTGCATTCCACGGCTCCCTTCTGAATTCCAAGGTGACTCGTGATCAGCCTGGCTTGATCTACCGCCTGTTTAGGGATTGCTCCAGCCCTGGACAAGCCCTGGGCTGAATGTCACATATGGCAAGAGGGCTCATTCCTACCAAGATCAGAGCTCACTCACTCTTATGTTCAATCTCCTTGCCTTCACTCATTTTTTTGAGACAGATTCTCACCCTGTCACCCAGACTGGAGTGCAGTGGCGCGACCTCGGCTCACTGCAACCTCCGCCTCCTGGGTTCAAGCGATTCTCCTGCCTCAGTTTCCTGAGTAGCTGGGACTACATGCGTGCGCCACCACACCTGGCTAATTTTTATATTTTGAGTAGAGACTGGGTTTCGACATGTTGGCCAGGCTGATCTTGAGCTCCTGACCTTAGGTGATCCACCTGCCTCAGCCTCCCAGAGTTCTGGGGCCTTCACTCTTTAAATGAAATAAAACAAATCTAAGTTTATTTGGCTTATCACAGACATTTCAGATTTCCAAAGTCAATGCCAAGTGCTGGAACTGATCCACTCAATGGTGTGCACCTCGCCAGGGTTCAGTGAGCCGCCTTTGAGAGGAGCAGAACAACTTCCGCCTAGTTTCCCCAGAACAGGGGGAGGCAGAATCCAATCAGAGCCCTCTGCCAAATGGGTTTAACATCTCTCGGACCTTCTGAAACTGCAGCTTCACCCTACAGCAGCTCAGGCACGAACCCCCCGCCAGGTGCACACAGCATCTGCCGGGTGCACGGCATTCCCACAGATCTCTCTTCTCCCACTGTCACACCAGCACGGGCCACATGGACAGGAACAGGGCCTCCCAGGGAGAGCAGCACGGAGTCGCAGTCGCCCTGGAGGCAGGTGCTCCAGCCCTGGCCGAGCCTGGGCAACCCTGGAGAGATCCCACATTTGACGCTTTCTCAGACACCTGACTCACAGCCCCCAGGACAGGTGGCAAATGATCCTGTGCCATCAGCCGCTAAGCATGGGCTGTGTGCTCTGAGCCATCGGTAACAGGCACATTTGAAGGGGCAGTGAATGTTTCAGGCCATGGGGCTCCATCACCTCTGCTCAGCACCACAGCCCTGGGAAAAAGCAGCTCCTGACTGTGGCCAGAGAAGGCCCTGCACTCCCGTGAGGCTGGGCTTGCAGAAACTGGAGAGGGAACCAGGGTTGGCCCATGGGCTGTAGTTAGCTGGCCCCGCTCTCCAGCAACGTAAGGGCACTTGCCAATTAAAAATATAAACAGGCAGTGTATTAGTCCATTTTCATGCTGATAAAGACATACCTGAGACTGGGTAATTTAAAAAGAAAAAGAGGTTTAACGAACTCACAGTTCCACATGGCAGGGGAGACCTCACAATCACTGAGGAAGGTGAAAGCCGTGTCTTAAATGGCCACAGACAAGCGACAATGAGAACCAAGCAAACGGGGTTTCCCTGATAAAACCATCAGATCTTGTGAGACTTATTAACTGCTATGAGAACAGTATCGGGGAAACCACCCCATGATTCAATTATCTCCCACCAGGTCCCTCCCACCACAAGTGGAAATTATGGGAGCTACAATTCAAGATGAGATTTGGGTGGGGACACAGTGAAACCATGTCAGGCAACCACTCAAGCTCTTCATACTCTGAGTCTGGAGCTGGGGGTGAAGTCGAGAATGAGGAAGCACATCCTGGGTGAAGATCCACTAGCAGACATAGCACCAGGTACAGAGGGGCGGCTGCAGCTCACCCTGCCAGCCGCTGGCCTGCATTTCCCCACCTGTGCTAACTCTCCCAGCGTGACTCACCCAGGGCCAGGAGAACCTGTGAGGACAAGACCGACATGAATTTGGTGGGTTCTGAGGACACAGGATCCGAAAGCAGCCAGGCAGGGCAGACTCACAGCCTGGTCCCTGGGTCCTGCCCTTGTCCTTCAAAGACTCTGTCTGGGTTCATTTTGAGCTCTTGTGAAGGTGCAGAAAATTCCTCTCCATAAACAGAGAAGCCTGGCTCCTCACTTCTGCTTCTGAGCCACGGCGAGGTAAGGGTTTCCTGAGAGCACAGAAATCTCCAGAATCTCCTCGAGGCTAACTTTTGAAAATGCCTTTCATAAAACTGTGACAGCAATCACAAAAGGGCCATGGCTCCCTGTATTATCCTTGTAGGGCTTTTGAAATCTACCAGAATAATCCGTGAGAGAAAGACCGTATTCCAATGCATACGACTTTCTTCTGTGTAAGTCAAGCTGAAAAATAACCAGAGGTGCTGATCTAAAGGCAGCAGGAAGACTGGTTTACCCGAAGGACACACTGTGGAGCTTCTTTCTGCTTTGCATTTACTTTGAATTCCAGTTTTAAAGGAACAGTTTATTAAGGGAGAAAACATTTTTATCACAAAAATTAAATATTATTTAAGTGGCCGAGCTCTGACTCTGGTGTAAATTCACCAGTGGGAGCCAATAAAATATACATCCTTTTCCCTAGCCAAATTCCATATTATCTATTTTGTCTTTGCCAAATATAAAGTAATTTTTAAGTAAAGCCCTGACCAAAAGCTGTCTTCACTGGTTTTTAATATCATTGTTATCCTGCCAGTGCCCTTGGGAATTTTACTTTTTTTAGATATATGAATTTGGTCTTCCTTTCACTACCAGAATTATTTACATTTGTTTAGCTTTTAAAACAACATCATTCTGTTGTTTTACTTTTTGTTAAAGAATATTACTTTTTGTTTGAGAATATCACTTTTTGTTAAGTGTCTTTACTTTTCTTTCACAGGAGAAAGGGGTGGTGTGAAGGGTGCTCGGTCATGGGTCTGGGAGGTGGAGGGTGAATCTCCTGCCCTGCCTCATCCGTGTGGACTGGACTGGGGGTGCTGTTCAGACCAGGCTCTCTCCTCCACTATCAGCACTGCCCTGGGCACCATCAGGAACAGCCTCAGCCCCACGCTGGTGCTCCCGCGAATGCCCCGTGTAATCACCACGGGTGATGTTGAGACCACGCCTCACTTCAGAAGGCTCATCATAACAAGCAAAAATGTCACTTTGGATCAATGGCTAAGTGGAAATTGAATCTCTATGAATACTACAAAATAGTTTCTTCATAACGTATTTAACAAATCAAAGAAACTTTTAGGAACCTCCCTAAACCATTGTTTAAAAGAGCAAAATGTCTGGTCAATCCAGTTCACATCAACGCATGTGGGAGCTTTCACTGGAAAGGAATAAAGACAGAGGAGACACTCTGAGTCTCAGTTTCAGAGCGAGACATTTGCATGGCCCTGGTTCCTGGGGCAGGCAGTGCAGTGATGGCGGGTTTTATACCCATTAGCTCTACAATGGATAATTTGGATTTACGAAGAAAATACTGAGATTGCTAACTCCTCGGAGGAACAGATGGTGCCGCGCTCATCTTTATTTACAGGAATTACCACGATGCACGTGCTGGGTGTCCCATGTCCAGCAAACGCAGCCTGCAGCAGCTGGGCTGCAGGTGTGGGGCGTGGCACCCTGAAGAGGAACCCGTTGTGCTGGATGAAGCACTGTCATTCCCTCATGCATAGCATTAGAGAAACGTTCGTTGTGCGTGACTAGAAAAATCCTCCTGTCTTCCCACCTCTGGTGTCTCAAACAAAGGAATCAGAGATTCGCAGTGAGGAGGTGGCTTCCCCAAAAACCAGAACTAGAGTTTAGAATCAGAGGCCTGAGCAATGCCTGCAGGGTTGGAAATGAGGGTGCTCAGGACATGTTTCATAAGGACGATGTAGACACGGTGAAGGAAACACACTCTCAAGACCCCAAACTCACGATGCCACAGGGAAGGTTAAGCTTGGGACCCGCGTCACACAAAACTGCCTCCCTTTTATTCCCAAACAGGCAGCTGTGATTTCCAGGGCTTACCTTATCGTGTGTAAAACGTGGATTCACTAGCGCTAATCAGAGGCCCACGAGATTGCGGCCACATGCCTGACTGTGCCCCACTGCCTGCCCTCCCTCTTTTTCCTTCTCCCCTCCTGCTCGCTCTTTCCCCTTTAAAGTTCCCAAAACCCTCTTTGGAAAAGGCTCGGGTCACAGGTCCCACTGGGACTTGTGTTTGTTTTTTCCGGGCACATTCTCAATCTTAGCAACATAAACTTCTAATTGACTGAGATCTGCTTCGGTCACTTTTTGGCTTACAATACTGTAAACCAAAATAAATCCTCCCTTTCACGACCAAGGTGAGTTTCCCAGTTCACCAGTTTCCTATGCCAGTGTAGGTCTGAGTCGAGCCCATCTCTCCTATCGTCTGCCTAACCAACATGATTTTTCAGCCCTAAGCAATGCGTGGTCAAAGTAATTTAATGCAATTTTCTTCATGCTTTTTTTTCCCTTTTTAAATTTTAAAAACTTAAAAAAAAATTAAAAACTCTTTAATCAACATTTTCAGTTTTTCTATTCTTAAATATCTGTTGAAAAGGTATATCTATGGTCGGGTGCAGTGGTTCATGCCTGTAATCCCAACACTTTGGGAGGCCAAGGTGGGTAGATGACGAGTTCAGGAGATCGAGACCATCCTGGCTAACACAGTGAAACCCCGTCTCTACTAAAAATACAAAAAAAATTTAGCTGGGCGTGGTGGCGGGTGCCTGTAGTCCCAGCTACTTGGGAGGTTGAGGCAGGAGAATCGCCTGAACCAGGAGGCGGAGGGTACAGTGGGCCGAGATCGAGCCATTGCACTCCAGCCTGGGTGACAGAGCAAGACGTCATCTCAGTAAAAAAAAAAAAAAAAAGAAAGAAAGAAAGAAAAGATTTCTCTATAAATTACAGGGCTCATGTTTTCTGGTGTGATGTTCTTTTCAAATAAATCCTCATTAACATTTTTGCAGAAATGGTTTCAAATTTTGTCAGTTAAAACTTAGAACCCGAAAGGGGCAAACACATGCTTGTCCTGGAAAGAAGAAATTAAACACAGTGACCACGGTTTCTATGACTTATTAAGTTTGTAACACAGCTGGGAAACTCATTATCCCTGTGTGTATGACAACAAAAGATTAACTTGCTCAAAAATTCAGCCCGTTCAGTAAAAAGGAAAAGGAAAACACAGAGATCCTACCAGGTGGACGGTGGGTAGTGGGCCGCCAAGGTGCTGACTGACGGAGCCCTTTCTGAGTGAAGGGCCCGGTGTCTCACGGTGAGGCTGGGGTCAAGGAAGGATTCCGGCACCGACCGAAGGCAGGGTCTGAGCTGGGTGCGTGTTTCCAGCCCATTGCCTTCAATCCTTGTAGCAACAATCATTGCATTTCCAGCAGGCTGGGTAAAAAAGATTTCCATCTGAATTATCTTTCCTTATAATCTCGTGAAGAGGAGACCATGGCTGAGGGCTTCATCCAGAGGGAAGTGGCCACAGAGGTGAACTGCAGACTTGGCCGCCGTGACCATCTCTCTTGTTTGTTTCTGAGTGTGCAAGGCGTTTCTCCAGGATTTCCCCTCAATTTAAGGGAGGCGAGTGCAGGTTTTGTCTGTTTGCTCACGCGGCCTTTCCAGCTCTCGGATACTTGTTGGCCGGGGGCAAGTCTTCCTCTCATGGCCCAGATGGAAGTCATTGTGAAGTAGGTCCCTTTTCCCCGCCCACCATGGAATCAGCCACGGGGCTGATCTGAGATGCCAGCTGGGGAGAAAACTACGGTTCTGCTGGGAATTCTCAACGTGATTCACCTGTGTGTCCTCAGTGTGAACCACTGGCTGATGCAGGGAGAGCGGAGAGACTGTGGGAGGGGCGGCAGTGGACTTGTTTTCCCATGAGGCTTATTTCAGACGGCTTTTAAATACCGTTCTTCTTCCCAACGGACACAGGCACTTTTAGATCTGCCATGGGGCAAGAACTGCTGTTTACAACACTCAGCATGTTAGTTCTGAAACTGAAATGGCCCATCAAGATAGGTTTCAGGTAGCAGCTTATCTTTTACAATATCATCTACAGTTGGCTTAAGTATTTTGAAGCTACATATATTCATCTTAAAACTGTTTCAACTTTTTCTTCACCACAAACAACTGTATTTTAGTTTGCGTATTGTAATACCTCTGGGCCTGGAGCTTGGACTGTCCATGGACCTTTGAAGTTAAAGGCATAGGAAAAGATGCTGAGGCTGTGCCCTGGATGGGGGATCATTCCCACAATGGTAAAACTGCCACCCACACTTTCCTGTGTTTGAGTTTTCTGTGACATTTCATTATTATATACCCTGCACAAAGTAGGTATTCATCTATCTGTGCTTTTAAAAAGATTGTCCTGTTGGAAAAGATTTGGGGTAACCTGAATTTCGAAGAGTCATGTAGTCCGTCTTATGCTACGTCCCACCCAGACTCACACAGTTTCACAGAGAAAAAAATGACATAGTAGAGATAGTGTGTAGGATACATGTATAAGGTCAGTTATATTTATTCTATCCCGTGTTTATACCCAAACTCCCATATGTACACTCTATTAATAGTGAGAAAGAGTATTGACTCTGAGTTTTAAGATTAAAAACACAAAAAACCCATTATAATATAATCCAGTTTATGGAAATTCTGCTAAGGTGGCAAAATTACTGTGCACTTTGTACAGATTGTCCAGAGGGGTGTACAGCAGGATAGCTTCCTACCTGCTCTATGAAAACCCTAGTTCCTGACATGTGCTGTGGAGTTGTGTTTTAAAGGAAGCACCTGATACAAAACTGACCACCTGTTGGGAACCAGTGTGTCAGTGTCCTTCTTGAAACATGGCTCCCAGAACAAAAGTCCACGTTTCCTGTGTGAACTGACCGGTTCTGGGTGCATGGCGAGGGGCAAGCCATTGTCTGCCCATCTTCCTTCACGGTGAGCACCAGAATGACATCGGCGTTTTCAGCAGCTATGTGCCATGGCTTATCCCAGCCTGTGAGCTGCCCATCCATCCAAGGTGCCCATCCACCCAAGCTGCCCATCCACCCAAGCTGCCCATCCATCCAAGCTGCCCATCCACCCAAGGCCGTGGCTGCAGCACCTGTCACAGTGCCTGGTCCCCGGGTTAATGCTCTACAAATACTTGTTGAATGGATCAAAAACACTTTCACCTAAATGTTCCACATGCTTCTCCCAACAGCTACTGTTTGGGAGACCGGGCTCCCCTTGAATCTTTTCTTTTTTAAAATTCAATGATAGTACTTTCTTCTCTAAAACATCGATTGTGTTAGTTTATCCCAGGGTTTTAACCTGTTAAGGGCTTTACAAAGTGTTAATTTTGTACTTCAGCATATGCCGCCTCTGGGTCTCTGACTTAGCCATGCTCCTGACGATGTGCCAGGCATGTCTTCATTTTCCACCGTAACCTGCATTTTCTGTGTGTACTTCTCCAGCTTGCTGATAGGGAGTGCTTGCAAGCGCTTCACTGAAATGAGGAACTTATGTTTCTAAGCCCGCGTCTATCGGGGCCTTTTTCACAGATAGAAAGTGCTTTTCCTTAGGGAAATGGTGCTGCCTGTGAATGCTTCCTGCTGCTTTTCTAGCGTGTGTGCACAGATTCCATTCATAACTTCAGGAGGCACCTGGTTGCATGGATAAGGACACCCTTAGAGATGGCAGGCACCGGCTCAAATCTCAAAACCCACTTTTCCTGGTTTGCTGAGAACTTCCTCCCAGATTTCTCACCTGATGCCCATAATGAGGTTGTGAGGGGGTGAAGAACAGGGATTGTGACTTTTTCTATTCCATATATGAGCAAAAGAGTTAAACATGGTAAATTCTTCACACGGGTTTAAACTTGCTTGTGGTCACCTCAGAAAGGACACAGAGTTCTCCCAACTCCTAAGCCAACAGTCTTCCAAGCCTTGGCTCCTCTGGTTTTGACAGCCAGTGTGCTGACAACTGTATTTAAAAGTCAGGTCGGAAACCTGTGGGGATTGTGGGCATCGGGGGAGGGGTTATGTACCCTCCACCTGTCTATCTCTTGTCCCAAACACTGAAAGCAGCAAACCAGAACAACATGGAAATGTTCTCCATCTTATATCTGTTTTGAAAAATCCTGTCCTAAGTTTTATCTGTCTGAATGGACAATAATCAAATGGTCCCTCCACCAGCAAGGGCAGGGCAGGATTCGTGGTTATACATTTATGAGAAGCTGTCAGCAAATCAGAAGAGCTGAACATCAGTTCCCAAGAACTATGGGCCCGGAGGGGTAAACTAGCTTTCCGGCTAACTGCCGTGATTCCTCTGGCACTGCTGTGATACGCAGGGAGTCCTGGAGGAAGAAAACAGTCAAGAAACACATGAAAATAGGCTGAGAACGCAAACAACGGGTCATGGGCGGTATCAGTGATTGGACGATTGTTACAAGGCATTTGCTGATCGCTGTCTCATATTCAAACACACCGAGTTCAACTTAATACTGAAAGTAAGATTTGGAGAAACTTGTTTATATGCTGAGAATGTTTTATTTTTCTGTAATCAAATTTATTTAGTTAGAGCTTTTTTCCTTTGAAAACTAAAATGTTCTTGAAGTTCACTAAAATTCAGACCATAAAATGAGAAAAATAAAGTTCACGAGTCATTTAAAAATATGGTTCCTAATGTTCAGAACTACTTGCTGTAAGTCTCATTCTCAATAAAACTGGACCTCATTGTGTAAACTGTCTTCTGTCACAAACCACTGCTAGGTTAATTTCTATCTCTTTTCCACAGAGGCTATCCTTCTGCAGAATAATCTCTGGGCTTTGCAAATCCAGTTCTGCTCTTGAAAGATCTGTTTGTACCCTGTGGCTGGAGACTCTAACTTTGAGCTGCAATTGTGTCTCCCCTGATCTTCTCTAGAGGTTTCGTTGCTTTTCCTCCTGCCAGAGTTTAGTCATTTTTCCTGGCTCAGCGTTGTGAAAACCCCACATGCTTTGTATGAGCAGAGCCTGTATTCAAGACACACACCCGAGTTAAAGACATACTTGGTGCGTGGTTCTCCATTGAGAAAAAAAGACCTGATGTTTGTAATTTCATTTCCTTGCCTTTTGGGATTCTGAGCATTTTCCAGTCCTCCTTCTAAAAGATGTAAAGAAAACTTCTGGATGAATATTCATACAGCAACATCACTAATGAGAATTATCTATTCAGAATACTATCCTGTCAAATGCCCACATATTGGAAATCAAATCAGTTTCAACAATGTTTTCTGTTTTTAGTGTTCAAATGGGATATGGAATGCACAGACATGGAGCAGAAGGAAAATGGATCCATGCTTGTAAGATAATGGCTACTGTTTTCTAAGGAGGGGCAAAGACATAAATCCGCCCCCCCAGGAAGACTCCCCAGGTCGGCGTGGCTGCTGTGGGTTCTGAGGGTCCCCTGCTTAGTGAGGGAGTCGGGCCCTGTGTGTGAGGACTCCTGGTGTGAGGAGGCCCAGGTGTGAGGACTCCCGGGCGGGCGGCAGAAGGCCTGGGCTCCTGGCCAGCTCCAGGGCTGTAGACACCTTGTTGGGCCCCTTGACCCTCTGCTTCTGTACCTGGAAATGGGAGCCGAAGGGCCGGAGCCTGCACCCCAGGAGAGGTGGTGAGCTGGTGACTTCATAGATGTTAGCGATGGAGATCTGCAGGTGACCCCATTACCTTTTGATTAAAACCCAAAGCTAAGGAGATCTTAGAATCAACTGCGTGTCTCAAATAAAAATAAAACAATTTCTGACCTGGGCCCCCCTAGCAAGGGCCTGGTCAAAGGAGATACTGAGGCCACTTGAGGAGTCTCGGTTTTAAAGGGGTGCAATCAGGAAGGGCTGCCTCCCCCATGGGCTGGGTGTAATCAATCATGAAGGACTGTCTCCCCGATGGGCCAGGTGCCATCAGTCATGAAGGACTGTCTCCCCCATGGGCCAGGTGCCATCATGACGGGCCATCTCCCTGATGCACTGCCAGGAACAGGGAGGCTGGTGCCCAGCTTGTGGCCTCACTGCCCAGCCTGGGCTTCTTTACAGCCTTGTACGTGGCCACCCACAGGGATCCAGCTGATGTGAAGGGGAAGGCCTGTGGGAATGGGGTCATTTGTCTCATTTTTACAAAAAAATAATTTTACTGTTTTTAAATTTTAAAAAATAGTGCATTTTTTGGAAAGAATTGTATATCCATACAAATATAAAAATAAACTTTAGTATCAAATCTTCCTGGGAAAATCTTATTTTTTTCATTATTATATAGTAAAGGTTTATTTTCTAAAATTATTTTTTTACAAAAACAAAAATCTTCCCAGTTTCTTCCCTCCTTGGTGCAGAAGAACACGTTCTATTTTTGGGCGGGTTTAGGCTTTTTGGCAAAAGGGAAGAAAATGAGCGTCTGTTCATTTTGCAGATCAAAATATCCACACTGGAAGGCGAACTGGTGAAAGGAAAATTTCTACCTTTACCTTTTTTGGGTTTTATATATTTTGTACAATTCTAACTCCTATTGCTATTAGTATTAATAGGAAGTTTGAATTAAAGCCAGAGAATGAACACCGAGACAGAAAAATACTGTCTGACGCCCCAAGAACAACATTCATGGGGCAGAATATTATTTTAAATTCACTTGAAATACTCTGCTCCCTACTGGAGTCTTCCACAGAAGCCATCAAAACGTCATAGCACATGCAATATTTATTATATAGAGATGTACCTCTTCTAAAAAGGATATACTTTCAAACACATAAAACTATTGGTTGTAAATATTTGGTATATTAAAATATTTCCCTCCTCCTAATGTCAGATAGACAAGGGGCGGGTGCAATGTGGGGAGCTATGGATTTTTGCTGAGATCTTCATCACCTCATGAAATGGAACATGGAACCTTTAGCATCTGCACTTTTTTTTTTTTTTTTTTTTTTTTGAGACAGAGTCTTGCTCTGTTGCCCAGGCTGGAGTACAGTGGTGCAATCTCGGCTCAGTGCAATCTCCACCCTCCAGGTACAAGCAATTCTTCTGCTTCAGCCTCCTGAGTAGCTGGGATTACAGGTGTCCACCACCATGCCCAGTTAATTTTTGTATTCTTAGTACAGACAGGGTTTTGCCATGTTGGCCAGGCTGCTCTTGAACCCCTAACCTCAAGTGATCCACCCGCTTCAACTTCCCAAAGTGCTAGGATTACATGCATGAGCCACCAGGCCTGGCCCACATTTTCTTTTCAATAGAACTGCAGGAGAAGGCATCTGTTTCTTACTTTCCTATACTTATAGATTGATGGTTTTATGTTCATCCTTTATTTGAAGGTTTGTCAAGAAAGTGCCTAATCCTTATTTTTCTACCTAGAGTCTGTATCTCTAAAAAAAAAATTCAAGCAACTCCAGTCAATTGCCATTAATAACAAAAATGTAAAGTATCCCTACTCAGAAGTCATAAACAATATGAGAAACAAGGAAACTAAACTGCATGCTAATATTTGATGAATTAGGAAAATAATTAAAATTCATATTTATATATGTTATTCAAAGTATGATAAATTTATAAGCATGAAGATTGATATGTAATAAGATTATAATATTAAGTAAAGTTGATTTCCTTGCCCTACATATTTTGACCAATCCCTGTTTCTCAAATACTCCTGTCACTCTGATCCCCACTGGAGGAAAAAGGAAATGACAGCCCACTGCAAAGGAGACCCTTTCCTTCCTGAGGAGAAACGTGGCACTCGCTCAGAATTTTCGATGACATATTTTATGAAAATAAATCTGGGTTTTGCCAACGTGGGAAGTGGCATGTGCAATGCCCACATGGTTCTCATGCTGCTGGGATGCGGGCTGGGGCGTGAACTGCATCAGGTGGACTGGAGTCTGAGCCACAGACTTGTGTGGGGGACGCTGGGGCTCCTCGTTGGGGGGAGACTCATGGGAAGAGGGGACCAGGCATCCCCCATGTCAGATTTAACAAGGAGGACCCGTCTTTGGAAACTAGTGACATGTTTTATTGGTATCACAACTATAGGCTCATCATAAAACAACACAAAGTTGCAATATTCTGCAGGAAAGAATCATTTCTTACGAAAATAATTTAATTTTTCAGCACTCAACAGAAACAACCTTTAGCTGCTGTACATGTATTTTCTGGCAAGACTCTGACTGTCCATGAAGCCGGGGTCCACGGAGGCCACCTTGGCTGCTATGAAGGAGTGGATGCAGTGCAGGACAGCCCTCAGGTCCTGGAACTCGAGTTCCTGGAGGAGAAAATCAGATCAAGTGTTTATTATAATTGTTGGAAGAACACGTTACAAAAATATTTAACAAAGTTTGGACCTTGTGAACTCCAAGAAAGTCCCTCCAAAAAAATAATAATAGACAGGAAATATGTATGGTTTAAAGTAAAAGGCAGAGTAACATGATCCAAATCATGATCCAAATTGGTTATAAACATGAATATACTGGGTATTTTTTATTACAACGCTGAGAATGTAACTTACTTGTTTTCTTGCACCTAACGGGGGCTAATGCTCACTTCCTTTATTTTGCATCTTCAGTGATGGGTCTTGATTAAGTCAGACCCCGTAATCTGGGCCAGGACTCAGTCTTCCCCACCTGCCCAGCACCTGTGGTGATTTTGTGATGTGGATCCCGTCGCAGCAGACCCCTGTGCTGTGTGAGTTGGCAGAACTAGCCATTGTGTCTCAGGCCGCCGTGCCTTTTGTATGGGTGCGTGTGGGCTTCATGCCAAGGCCGCCCTTGGGAGGAACAGTGCCTGCTGTGTGGGTGCATGTGGGCTTCATGCCAAGGCCACGCTTGGGAGGAACAGCGCCTGCTGTGTGGGTGCGTGTGGGCTTCATGCCAAGGCCACGCTTGGGAGGAACAGCGCCTGCTGTGTGGCGCAGAATAGGCAGTGTGCACAGCACGGCGGGAAGCGAGGAGGGGCCTTGTTCACCCACCCTGTCCCCATGGCTACGGGAGAGCAGGAAAGGGTGCCCCAGGGAGAGTTTCCTAGAGAGACGGTTATACCCCTACCCCCTCCCAATAAAAAAACTGAAACAAACTCCTGGATCCTTACCTCCGCATGTTACAGACACTAAATGTCCTGTAAAAGCAAAAATGACCCACAAAAGGTTCATCTTCTCTCCACAAACTGCCCCACATAAAGTCCCTGTGTCAAATCAACAGAAAAGTCCACAGTGAACCCCAAAGCTGACACAGAAGTTAAAGAAACTGTTTTTAGAAGTTATTCAGTTACTGGGGAAAAATCATCTTCCTGTTTTTGATGGTAAAATACGAATCTTGCCGTCCTGCCACCCCCATTCTATTGGTAGAAAAGAAGGTCTAAGTGCATTCTTCTAATGTTGTCTTTCTTCTTTGTTTGCATAACAAAATTCAATAAAATGAAGAAAATAAAATTTATTTTGAGGTGACTGCTAATTGATTGACATCCTATTTTCTAAATCTCACCAAAATTCTAGCATATTCTAAACTGCTGAGATGACACCAGAAAGAAAGATAAATCATTTTCAAGAAGAAGAGCAACGCTAAGGCCTGTCAGTTCCACAGACATGCTCCTTTAAGCTCTCGAAAGGCAGGATCTTGGTCATTTTCATTCCATGGCAGAATGAGGGGGTGGAGAATGGGGCCCCAGGCAGGATTGGAGGTCACACATCACCGGGTAAAGCCCTCCCTCCCCAATAACATCCATCTCAGCTTTTCGGAGCTGCTTTTCTTTATAACTCAAAGACGTGACATCTCAAAAATGACTTCAAACTTCCCTGACAGCATGAAGTCCCCTCGGCCTCTCCCTGGTCCTCTCTGCATGCCTTTCTTTTAGAAACTGCTTCTCTCTTGCAATAGGTACAGGACCCAGCTGGACCAGCCAGAGCCCAGTGGCAGCTTGGTACAGATGACAGGGAGAGGGAGGCCAAGATGCCTACATTGGTGTGACCAGCTGTGAGAAGTGAATACCTGAAGCTTGTTCTAATACCACTAATGCCAAGTGGAGAGCCAGCGAGCCAGCCTGCCGGAAGAGGACTTCAACACAGAGGAACACCCCATGCAGGGATACACAAAGAACACTGGGGGACATTGGGTACCAACATGCTGGGAGCTGCCCCCAACCTCCTAGTGACTGCAACCAAAGGCTTCATCTTTCCTTTATTCCAATTTGAATTAAGTTCCTTCCTATGCATGTGAATGACTCTTAACATTGACAGCTACAACACTAATTATTTTGATCATTTCAAATTGTGATGAGCAAAATGTTCAAGATGTTGAGGTGTATTCTCCTGCCAAAGCTTCATAGTCTTTAGGTAGTTTCATAAAGCGTCATTACACTTGGTAACCAGCATCCCTCACTCTGGTCATGAGTGGAACCCAGGGCCTGCCCAGCCCTTGTGTTAAACTTTAATTCAAGCTGGATTCGCCAATCATACCCAAAGCGTGAGACTGTACTCAAAATCTTTTATTCATTTTGACTTATCCCTGTTAGAGGAAAAAAAAAAAACCAAGTAGCTTTCTAGAAGAAACACAAGGTTCTTGCAAACTTAGCACATATTGTAATTCAATGTATGTATGTGTTTCCAAATAGCAATTACTGAGCTTTAAAGGGACTTTTGGAGAAAAAGAGCCATAATGACCATATCATTCATGCTTCAGGGTTTTGGGTTAATTTTATTTTTTTTGAGACGGAATCTCACTCTGTCGCCCAGGCTGGAGTGCAGTGGCACAACCTCCACTCACTGCAAGCTCCGCCTCCTGGGTTCACGCCATTCTCCTGCCTCAGCCTCCTGAGTAGCTGGGACTATAGGTGCCTGTGACCACACCCAGCTAATTTTTTTTTTTTTTTTTTTTTTTGGTATTTTTAGTAGAGATGGTGTTTCACCATGTTAGCCAGGATGGTCTCAACCTCCTGACCTCGTGATCCGCCCATCTCGGCCTCCCAAGTAGCTGGGACTACAGGCGCCCACCACCATGCCTGGCTAATTTTTTTTTGTATTTTTAGTGGAGACAGGGTTTCATGTGTTAGCCAGGATGGTCTCGATTTCCTGACCTCGTGATCTGCCAGCACCGGCCTCCCAAAGTGCTGGGATTACAGGCGTGAGCCACCGCGCCCGGCCAGGGTTTTGGTTTTATACATAGAAACTGAAAATTGCTTTACAAGTTCCCAAGATGTATCCAATAATAGCACAATGCACAGAAATAAGAAGCCAAACAGCTACCAGTAATAATGCACATATTCAAAACAACATCAATAGTTTTTGGTACCATAAGTTGAAGTTACACTGCATAATCTTTGAAAGTACTAGCAATGGCTGGGTATGGTGGATCACGCCTGTAATCCCAGCACTTTGGGAGGCCGAGGTAGATGGATCACCTGAAGTTAGGAGTTTGACACCAGCCTGGCCAACATGGTGAAATGCTGTCCCTACCAAAAAAAAAAAAAAATACTAAAAATTAACTGGGCATGGTGGCAGGTGCCTGTAATCACAGCTACTTGGGAGGCTGAGGCACAAGAATCACTTGAACCCGGGAGGCGGAAGTTGCAGTGAGCCGAGATTGTGCCATTGCACTCCAGCCTGGGCAACAAGAGTGAAACTCTGTCTCAAAAAAAAAGAAAATAAAAGAAATTACTAGCTAGCAGTGAAATCGGTCACACCACTAAATTCCACACTAAAACTCAATGAGTAGTACTGAAAGCCAGGAATGAAATTAAAGCTTATGAAACAATACTCAATCCATTATGTCATGATCCAGATACTGAATAAACAAGCATCCTGTGGGCATTTCACTGAACATCTTCAATTCAGCCAAAAGCTGAGTCATGATATCTCTGGTCTGGTTAATTTTCTAACCAAGTATTACCAGCAAGGCTATCTTGAATTATGAATTTTTAACTAGAGCTGATTGAAATCACATTTTGACATTTTGTTTGAACAAAATACTTGTGTTGAGTTCTAAGCTGGGGACACCCTGTATGGATCCCTCGCTGCACTCCTCACCTGTGTTCACATGTCGGTCATGGGCTGATGTGTTTCCACCTGCAGAGGAAAGGGCACCTGCTGGCTCTCTGTGCAGGAAACAGTGTGGAATGAACAGTCCAATATGTTGGGTTAGGGAGTGTCAGCCTAATACAATGACAGAGAGAGGCTCTCCCAAAGTTTATTTGGGACTATGTAGGCAATTGCAAGCTGGGACATATGTGCTATAAGAGATTATAGGGATATCCAAAGAGGCTGGGATTCAGGAAAGCTTAAAGGCAAAGTGAGGAGGTTACAGAAGTTGTTTTGAAACCGTTATCCTTGGCTACAAGGATCAATAGCAAGGGGAGCTTGTGTCCTCATAGAAGACTTGTCTTTGCACAAGGTTGCAGTGGTCTTTGTGCAGCTTGTGGTGTTGCCAGGGTCTTTTGTGGTACTTCTTGTTATCAGGTAAATATTCATGGTTCCTCTTTCATGGGGGGGGTCCATTTTGTGAGGGTTTCACAGGAGTCATTCCATCTCAGCGCCGGTCACTTTCATGGAAGTTCTATGGAAATGCTCAGCATCGGTGACTTTCATGGAAGTTCTACTGAAATGCTCAGCGTTGGTGACTTCCATGGAAATTCTACTGAAATGCTCAGTGTCAGTCATTTTCGTGGAAGTTCTACTGAAATGCTCAGCATCGGTGACCTTCGTGGAAGTTCTACTGAAATGCTCAGCGTTGGTGACTTTCATGGAAGTTCTACTGAAATGCTCAGCATTGGTAACTTCCATGGAAGTTCTACTGAAATGCTCAGCATCGGTGACTTTCACGGAAGTTCTATTGAAATGCTCAGCGTCGGTGACCTTCGTGGAAGTTCTATTGAAATGCTCAGCGTCGGTGACTTTCACGGAAGTTCTACTGAAATGCTCAGCGTCGGTGACCTTCACGGAAGTTCTACTGAAATGCTCAGCGTTGGTGACTTTCATGGAAGTTCTACTGAAATGCTCAGTGTCGGTGACCTTCATGGAAGCTCTACTGAAATGCTCAGTGTCGGTGACCTTCATGGAAGTTCTATTGAAATGCTCAGCATTGGTGACTTTCACGGAAGTTCTACTGAAATGCTCAGCGTCGGTGACCTTCGTGGAAGTTCTACTGAAATGCTCAGCATCGGTGACCTTCATGGAAGTTCTACTGAAATGCTCAGCGTTAGTGACCTTTGTGGAAGTTCTACTGAAATGCTCAGCGTTGGTGACCTTCACAGAAGTTCTATTGAAATGCTCAGCGTCGGTGACTTTCACGGAAGTTCTACTGAAATGCTCAGTGTCGGTGACCTTCATGGAAGTTCTATTGAAATGCTTAGCGTCGGTGACTTTCACGGAAGTTCTACTGAAACACTCAGTGTTGGTGACCTTCGTGGAAGTTCTACTGAAATGCTCAGCATCGGTGTATCTCATGGAAGTTCTACTGAAATGCTCAGGGTCGGTGACCTTCGTGGAAGTTCTACTGAAATGCTCAGCATCAGTGACTTTCATGGAAGTTCTACTGAAATGCTCAGCCTCAGTGACTCTCATGGAAGTTCTACTGAAATGCTCAGCATCAATGACTTTCATGGAAGTTCTACTGAAATGCTCAGCATCAGTGACTTTCATGGAAGTTCTACTGAAATGCTCAGCGTTGGTGACCTTCATGGAAGTTCTACTGAAATGCTCAGCGTTGGTGACCTTCATGGAAGTTCTACTGAAATGCTCAGCGTTGGTGACTTTCATGGAAGTTCTACTGAAATGCTCAGCATCCGTGACTTTCATGGAAGTTCTACTGAAATGCTCAGCATCGGTGACCTTCATGGAAGTTCTACTGAAATGCTCAGCATCGGTGACCTTCATGGAAGTTCTACTGAAATGCTCAGCATCGGTGACCTTCACAGAAGTTCTACTGAAATGCTCAGCGTCGGTGACTTTCATGGAAGTTCTACTGAAATGCTCAGCATCGGTGACCTTCGTGGAAGTTCTACTGAAATGCTCAGCGTCGGTGACTTTCATGGAAGTTTTACTGAAATGTGATGGTATCAACACAGCAGCATTTCCCAAAATGTGTTTGATATTAAAAAGTTATATTTTTTAAACACTCTTTGTTTGCATAGATTTGGAGAAAAGTAGATTGAAGAAGGCGGGATACTTTTGCTATTGTGGAACTTCTCAGCCACCTCACTGTGTTAATTGCACTGTCTGTCTCCAATAATGATTTGCCATGCTGTGGTTTTCAAAATTCTGTGAGTTTTTTTTTTTAAATGGGTCAACTTGATGACCATTTATTAAATTCCATGAGAATTTCGTGCTACACACTCAATGGGACAAATCATTGTAATGTAAATTTTCTTATTGTTGGTGGAGAATGATGTAATCATAATGTCACAGGCTGTAACAAATAAAAGATGTTTACATGTTTATTTAAAGCTTCACGTTGGCCCCCACAGATGGGACAATGGAATCTGAATCCAGTGGCTGAAGCACAGAAGGCAAAGCTAGAAAAAGCACTGAGGCTTGGACCAAAGGCCCCAAGGACGCAGTTTACTGCTCAGGGCTGTGTCTGAGCTGACTGAGTTGATGGATGCTAGTGGAATGGAAGAGACAGCGCTGGGGACTGCATCAGCTTTGAATATTCCATAAGGTCAGAGCCTGTGGGTGGGATCTCCAAAAGAACTCTCTTAAGTAAGACAAAAAACCACTGGGACACGCAGGTGACTGGAATCGTTATGCAGAATCAGGCTCCAATGGTAGGCCAAGCAGACACTGCTCTCTTATTTAGAGACTCCATCTCTACAAATATTGAAAGAAAAATCACTCATCCCCTTCCTGAGTGAAGGGTTTGCTCATCTGTGTATGATGCTGGATGTAGGGGGGTGAAATCAGACACCGTATGTTTGCTGCTTCTGTCTGAGTGAGAAGGAAAGAAAATCCCCTAGGGACAGACTTTTTTTTTGTTTGTTTGTGTTTTTAAGAAAAGGAAATTAAAAACACTAGAGTAGCCTCTTTTAGTCACACAAATATAAGGGAAATAGAAAAGGCAAGGAGCTTCCCCTCACTTGTTGTGGCAGGTGCCAGTGCACAAAGAGTCCAATAACCTTCTGGAAATAAAAATATCTTGATCCTTTTGAACTTCCACCCTATACCTTCCTTCTAAGCTGTGCTGCTGGAAGGAACACACCCCAGAGAGAGCTCTCCTGAACAGGCTGGGCTGGTGATCCAGGCTTCATACAAGATCCTCCACTCTGAGGGCAGAGAGGGAGGCATGCTTCCAAAGCTGCGGTGGCTGGAGCTTTCTGGCACAGGTGAGCTCAGAGCACAAGGGCAAAGCCTCCAGATGCTGGGAAAGCCAAGAAAACAGACTGTCCCCCAGAGGCTGCAGGAGAAAGCAGCCAACACCTTGATTTTAGCCCTAAGAGACAAGTTCTTAGAGAACTGTAAGAGGATAAATGTGTGTCTCTAATCTACTATATTTGTGTTAATTTGTTAAGCATCGATAGAAAATGAATACAGATAACTTCTTTCAATCATTTAATGTACTTTTTTTTTTCCTATGGGAAAAATGGGATAGAATTTGTTCAGTGCCCTTAAATGTAAAGAAATGAAGATAAATAACCATTTTTGGTTGAATAAATTGAGCTTTAGTTTCTTTGTTTGCTTGTTTTTGGTAATATTGTTAAATGGAAAGAAGATATGGACAAAGTAAAATGTTTCTCAATATTACTACAGAAAGGCAGCATTCTAATGAAAGAGAAAAAACATGCAAAGAAATAAAATAAAGATTAGTTTATGGAAGCACATAACCAAAAATGGCAGTGGGTTTATTGGTGGACTAGAACCTAAATAGAAATTCGCAATTTAAGGATATTGATGTTGTGTAAAAGCAGTCATCTTTCCCAGCATGTAAAAAGCCATCATATGTGCTGATAAATAATATTATTTTTGAGTCTCAGCTTCTCTATCCACAGAAATTAGAGTGGTGAAATAGACAACAACAAAAACATTGAGACCTAACTATATGTTGTGTACAAGAGACTCACTTTAGATTTCAAGACACACATAGGCCAAAAGTGAAGAGATGGAATAAAATATCTCATGCAAACAAAAGGGCAGGGTGGCTGTACTTAGACAAAATAGAAATTGTTACAAGAGACAAAGAAAAATATTTTATAATGAAAACAGAATCAATCCACCAGGAAGATAGAACAACTGTAAATAAATATGCACCCAACATCAGAACACCTAAATAAAGGTTGAGCATCCCTAATCAAAAAATCTGAAATCTTGAAATGATTCAAGATCTAAATCTTTTTGAGCACTGATATGACACCTCAAGTAGAAAACTCACACCTGACACCTTTGATTTCTGATAGTTCGGTGAACACAAACTATGTTTCATATACAAAATTTTAAAAATACTATATATAATTATCTTCAGGCAATGTGTATTTGGTATATATGAAACAAATATATTTTTTGTTTAGATTTGGGTCCCATCTCCAAGATATGTCATTATGGATATACAAATATTCAAAAATCCAAAAAAAAGTCTGAAAATGAAATACTTCTGTTCCAAAGCATTTGGGATAAGGCATATTCAACCTGTGTATGAAACAAACATTGACAAAACTGAAGGTAGAAGTAGACAACAACACAACAATAGGAGCAGAGTTCAGTATCACCCTTTTAATAAGTCTTAGATCAACCAGATAGAAGAACAATAAGAAAACAAGTTTGAACAACACTATAGACTGAACAGGTATACAGAACATTCCATCTAACAGCAGTAGAAAACACAAGCTTCTCAAATGTGTACAGGAGCATTCTCCAGGACAGGCCATAGACTTCAAGCCACATATTAACAAATATAAGAAGACTGACATCATACCTAGTATCTTCTTCAACTACAAAAGCATGAAGCTAGAAATCAATAGCAGAAGGAAAATTGGAAAAAGCACAAAAATGTGGAAATTAAACAACACACTCTTGGGGAACGAATGGATCAAAGAAGAAATCAAGAGGGATACTAGAAAATATCTTGAGACAAACCAAAACAAAAACATAGCATAAATAAATTTGTGGGATGCAGCAAAAACAGTGCCAAGAGGGAAGTTTATGGTGGTAAACACCTATGTTAAAAAAGATTTCAAATAAACCAAATAACTTTATGCCTTAAGAAACTAGATAAGAAAATCAAACTAAGGTCAAAGTTAGTACAAAAAAAAAATAAAGATTGGAGCAGAACTAAATGAAAGAGAGAACATAAAAACAATAGCAAAACTCAATAAAACTAAGAGTTGGTTTTTGAAAAGATCAGCAATATTTAACTAGACTAATGTTACGGACTGAATGTTTTGTTCACCCAAAGTTCATATGCTGATGTCCTAAACTACAATAAAATCATACTTGGAGTAAGACCTTTGGGAGATAATTAGACTTAGATGAGGGCATGAGGATTGGTTCCGCTATTGGAATTAGAGTCTTTGTAAGTAGAGGAAAGGAGACCTGAGTGCTCACTGTCTCTGCATGTGAGGGCACAGAAAAAAAGTGAACATCTGCAATAGAGAAAGAAATCCATCCTCAGGAACTGAATCTACCAGCACCTTGATCTTTGATTTCACAGAGTCCAAAAGTATAAGAAATAAATGTCTGTTGTTTACACCATGGTATTTTATTTAAAATAGAAATTCAAGCTCACTAATATAACTAAGAAAAAAATAGAGAAAACTCAAAGTCAGAAATGAGAGAAGACATAAATGATGCCACAGAAGAAAAAAACAATTATGAGACTACTGTGAACAATTATATACCAACAAATTAGACCACCTAGAAAAAAATTGGATAAATTCCTAGAAACATACAACCTACCAGTCAATCATGAAGAAACCGACAATCTAAGCATACCACTAACTAGGAAGGAGAGTGAATCAGTAATCAAAAACATTCCAACAAAAGAAAAATGAGGAAGAGATGGCTCCACTGGGGAATTCTACCAAACATTAAAGAAAAATTAACATCAATCTTTGTCAAATTCTTTCAAAAACTGAAGAGGACAGAACACTTCCAAACTCATTATGTAAGGCCACAGTTGCCCTTATAATAAAGCAATCAAAGGCACTACTAGTCAACTGAATTCAATAGCACATGAAAAGGATCATATTCTACAAATATGTGGAATTTATCCCTGGGACATAGGGGTACAAATCACATGATTTTAAGACTCATGAAAAGCATTCAACAAAACTCAGCAGTCTTTCATTATAAAAGTAATAAAAAGTAGGAATAGAAGAAAATTACCCGAACGTAACAAAGGCACTATGTCAAAAGTCCATGACTAACATCATACTCTATGGTGAGAGGCTGAAATCTTTTTCTCTAAGATTATGCCCACTTTTGCCCCTTCTGTTCAACACAGCGCTAGACATCCTAGCCAGAGGAATTGGTCAAGAAAAGAAATAAAGGACATTCAAATTGGAAAATGAAGACATAAAACTATCTCTGTAGAAACATAATCTTATATGTAGATAACCCTAAAGATTCCACTAAAAAATTAGAACTAATAAACAAAAATTCAGCAAAATTTCAGAAGACAAAATTGATACACACAATAAAGTTGCATTTCTACGCACTAACAACAGACGATCCAAAATAGACATTAAGAAAAAAAAAAACCCACTTACAATAGCATCAAAACAAGTAAAATACTTAAGAATAAACTTAACCAAGGAGGCAAAAAGACTTGTACACTGAAAACTATAATGCACTATTGCAAGAAATTAAAGACACAAGTAAATAAAAAAAACCACGTTAATGAATTGTAAGTCTTAATATTGTTAAAATGTGTATACTACCCAAAGTGATCTATAGATTCAATGCAACATCCATCAAAATCTCAATGGCATTTTTACAGACATAGAAAAAATCCTAAAATTTATATGAAACCACAAAAAATCCTGAATAGCTAGGGCAATGTTGAGAAAGAACAAAGTTGGAGGCATCTCACTTCCTTACTCTAAAACATATTACAAAGCCACAGTAATCAATGGTATGGTACTAAAGACACATATAAACCAATGGAACAGAATAGAGAGCCCAGAAATATACTTATACCTACATTGTCAGGTGATCTTCCACAAAGGGCTAACGCTATACAGTGGGGAAAGGTCAGTCTCTCAATAAATAGTGCTGTGAAAACTGGATATTCAGAAGCAAATGAATAAAATTGGACCTTTATCTTACACCATACAGAAAAATCAACTCAAAATAGATTAACGACTTAAACATAAGACCTGAAACTATAAAATTTCTAGAAGAAAACAGTGGAAAAGATTCATCACATTGATCTTGGCACTGATTTTCACAGATATGACACCATAACCACAGGCAACAAAAGCAAAAGTAGACATTTGGGTCCACGTCAACTGAAAAGCTTCTGCACAACAGAAGAAACAATCAGAAGAGTGTAAATGCAACCTATGGTACAGGAGAAAATACCTACAAACCATATCTAATCAGGGGTTAATGTCCAAAATGTATAAATAACTCCTACAACTCAATAGTAAAAAACAAAAAACCTGATTTTCAAAATACGCAAGGGACTTGAATAGACATTTCTCTAAAGATGACATTCAAGTGGCCAGCAAACATGAAAAGGCATTCACATCACCAAGCATTAGGGAAATGCAAATCAAAACCACACTGAGACACTACCTCACATCCATCAGGATAACTGCTGTAAAAACACACATCCACATAGAAAATACCGTGTTGACAACGGTGTGGAGAAGCTGCAACCCTTGCACATTGTGGGTGGAAAGGTAAATTGGTGCAGCTACTATGAATAGTATGGGGGTTTCTCAAAAAAATTAAAAGACAACCACGAGATGACTTAGCAATCCCTTCTCTAGGAATGCATCCGAGGAAAATGGAATCAGTATCTCCAAGAGAGACCTGCACTCCCCTGTTCATTACAGCACTACTCACAATAGCCAGGATAGGGAAACAGCCTAAACATCAGTCAACAGCAAGAATGGATAAAGAAGTATGGTGTATGCAGGTACGTTATTCAGCCTTAAAAAAGGATACACTGTTATTGTTGACAGCAACATGGATGAAGCTGGAAGACACGGTGATAAGTGACATAAGCCAGTCACAGCAGAACAAACACTGCATTATCTCACTTATATATGGAATCTAACAGGGTCAATCTCTCAGAAGGGGGAGTAGCATGGGGCTGCCAGGGGCAGGAGCTGGGGACACGGGAGTTGCCGTTCCACGGGTGCAGTTTCGGTCATGTGAGATAAAGGGGCGCAGGGATCAGCTGCACAGCAACGTGGATGTCGTTAACACGGCTGAACTCTTCACCTAAATACTTAAGAGAGTAAATCTCATGTCATGTGCTTGTTACCACACATAAACAAATACGAAAACCAGAAAGATTACGTGATTTCCCAGGTCACACAGTGGAAGGTATAAATGGCACTAACGTTGAGAGATGAATAAGAACCACGGTGTGAAATGTGTTGTAGGGCTTGGCCAGGGCCCTGCTCATGTTATTTTACTTAGTCTTGTAACAACACTTCAAGCTGACGATACATTCCCTGTTTCACACATGAAGAAATCGAGGCCACAGAAGCCTGAAGTCAAACCGACCTTGTGTGACACAGGGAGAACTTCCGCCCGGCTCTTAGACCCCGTTGCCTGTGAAACGTCTACCCAGAGGTATTTACCAACCCTGAAAAAATAAGATTTTAACCTGCTGTAAAGTCCCAAAGTATTCTCTTCTCACACGTCACTCCAGCCGATCGCATTCGCAATGTGCGACACCCTTCAGGTGGAAACGTACCCACTTTACAGATGAGAACGCGGAGGCTCAGGGAACTCAGTCAGCCGCTCTGCCTCGGAACAGCCAGTCCCTGAGCTCCAGCGCGGGGTCTTCCACTTCCCCCATGGAAACGTACCCACTTTACAGATGAGAAAGCGGAGGCTCAGGGAACTCAGGCAGCCGCTCTGCCTCGGAACAGCCAGTCCCTGAGCTCCAGCGCGGGGTCTTCCACTTCCCCCATGGAAACGTACCCACTTTACAGATGAGAAAGCGGAGGCTCAGGGAACTCAGGCAGCCGCTCTGCCACGGAACACCCAGTCCCTGAGCTCCAGCCCGGCGTTCTTCCACTTCCCCCATGGAAACGTATCCACTTTACAGATGAGGCTCAGGGAACTCAGGCAGCCGCTCTGCCACGGAACACCCAGTCCCTGAGCTCCAGCCCGGGGTCTTCCACTTCCCCCATGGAAACGTATCCACTTTACAGATGAGGCTCAGGGAACTCAGGCAGCCGCTCTGCCACGGAACACCCAGTCCCTGAGCTCCAGCCCGGCGTTCTTCCACTTCCCCCACACCTAACTCCTACAGCCCTGTCATTTTCCTCTGCAATATATCTGTCCTAATGCCTTAGATTTTTATAAAGTTTTTTAATATTTAACGGTGGCTGAAACAATGATTTTAAATATGACCCACATCTTGGCACAGTTTTCAACAGCTGAGTGCTTTAACACCCTGAATTTTTCCCTAATTAGGTAAAACTTTTAGGACGCCATGAGGCTCTATCCTGTGCTTGTCAAAATGTGAACGGTGAGGTCACCCATCACCGGAGAAAACGTTTTTTCTTTCCCACTCTTTACGCGCAGGCATGCCCCATCTATCACCAGAGTGACACTTTCAATCAACACATAAATGCTAATATTACCAAATGTCCTCAATCAATCTCCTCCAGTGGAAATCACACCTCCTTACGGCACGGTCCATTTTTCCGTCTCAGTGCACAAACTGCTGGACATTTGTCACAAAGTGTCTGTGAGATGACTGGCCCCTCCGATGAGCAGCCATCCTGGGTTCTTAGTTTTCCCAATCATTACCTAATGGCCCTATGGGAAAGGGGGCAAAGGTGAAGTCAATCAGCATTGAAGAGAACCGTTTCCACTGGGCCACAGCAATCTGAACTCAGGCTGCCTTTCACCGCAGGCCACTCCTCTGTCACTGACGGCCCCGTGAATTCAAGGAGGTGGCTGTGGGGACTTGGCCCTCAAAGCAAGACTTGAAAGAGATGGTTGTTCAATGCATGAATGAATACCTGGAATAAGCGAGGATGCTTTGTAGTTTGTCTTAGAATAAGCCCAAGAAGTATAGGATGAAATGCAACAATCACGAGGAACAGCCACACCCCGGAACTCAATTCCACACTTGCGGTGCTGCAGAGAGTCCAAGCCAGGGCCCCAGGCACTTCCTTATGTTTATACGATGAGGCTGTAGCCCTCACATATGAACACACCCTGGAGCTCAGGTCGTGCTCCTTCCGCCCACTGTTTCTGTGGGCGGGAGGTGGTGTACAGGTGACCTGGCTGTCCTGGGGATGGAGGGGGCCTGATGTGCAGCCTTTGCTCACTGCTGAGGTATATGTGCTCCCGCCACAGCCAGTTTCAAGCTCCCAGTGGTTTTGCATAATGGCTGGAAAGTTTTCCGAAAATGCACCATGTGGATTTCTGGGTGGGGGTGAGCCAGACACAGCACAGGAACACGCTGGGCAACTGTGCAGCCGGGAGGTGATGTCTTTGTGAGGCAGGACCCCACTGAGCCCCCTGAACTGCTGTGGTGACTGAATGAGGTGGCTGATGAGAATGGTAAGGTTTCCGGTACAACATCAATACCCAGCAGACATTGCTATTTTCACCAAACCATCTTTGTCAAATTAATAAGGCATCCTTAGCCTCAAAGCTAAGGTAAAATAAAATAAAATGTAGGTGATACAGTCCTCATTTTTCAAATGAGAAAACAGAGATTTAAATAACCTGTGCAAGGTGACAAGGCCAATGTGTTGCAAGACTGGCACTTGAAGTAGAATCTGATCCTTAGCCCAGTGGGACCAGCTGTTTCACTCACTGAAGATTTCAGAACCTTGAAACTATGAGGTCGCCATATTACAAAATGCCCAAGAATAAACTCATAAGCTTTATGGGGAGTGGTCCTGCAGAGACAGCATTTCCTGGGAGGCTGTTGGACAGGCAGAATCTCAGGCTCCACCCTGACCTACTGAGTTTACACTCGCAGGGTTGCTGAACTGTGTGCTCAAACCTGACACGGGGCCCAGCTGCTAGGAGGAGGCCTGCACAGGCCCAGCCTCACTGTGCCCAGGAGCTCAATGGGCAGAGGGGCCTGCATCCCAGTCCAAAGGAGCTCAGGGGGCAGAGGGGCCTGCATCCTAGTCCAAAGGAGCTCAGGAGGCAGAGGGGCTGGCATCCCATTTGAAAGGAGCAGAGGGGAGGAGAGGAGAGGCCGGTACCCCAAACACAGTCAGGAAGCTAAAGGTGCCAGGAGGATTGAGCAGAAGATGGCTTTGGTTGCAACTCGTCATTTTCATTGCACCTTGGAGGAGTAAATGATTTTTACAGTTGGGCATGGTGTGGGTGGAAGAGGTTCCAGAAAAAGGCAGGAACCAAGGCACGAGTGTAGTGAGTTAGAAAGCGATGGTCACCCTGTGGGGCTGTGCAGGGACTGTCAGAGAGGGGACTCTGCTGGTACCACTCTGCAGGGCCAGGGACCTCCAGGTCGGCTGGAAGACACCGAACCATGTCCATGGGGTGAGGACAGCTGTCCATCATGAGACATGAGGGAAAGACTGAGTACAGGACTTTCCCTCAGGAGGGGCTGCAAGAGTCCAGGGAGGGTGAGGGCATGCCAGAGGGCAGGTCAATGAGGAGGAAAGCGCCTCGTGGGCTGGCAGAGAGGGTGGGGTGAGCATTCTCCACCATGGGGGTTGGCGTTCCTGGAACAACCAGGTCAGAGACACTTCAGAGCAGTGGGATGAAGGCTTCAATGGTAAACAGTGTAAATGAGCAGGTGCTTTTCCCCCAGAATGGCAGAAACAACTGGTGACAGAGAAACAAACCCAGGCTGTTGAGCCCGGCTGGATGCGGCCGAGTGGGTAGATGACAACAGAGGACTCCGTTCACATCCCGTGTGCCTCCAATCTTATTTGGAAGTTGTTGGGTCAAGTGCCCTCTTTCTTCTACCTGTTCAGATTCGTCGGGTTAGATTCAAAGATCTACCTTCCTTGGCAGTGTTCTCTGTAATCGTGAACAGGTTACTCCGTGATTTACCTCCTGGGATACTTTCCTTGGTGTTCCTTTGACTCAGGTTTTTAAACCACCGTTTCCCCTTCAGCAAATAATGGAATTATATCTTCATAAATGTTATTTATACCCTCAGCATTATTATCTTGCCAGAAGGTTAAAAAACATCTGACTTGTGCAAACAACTCTGAATCTATCAGTCTTGCCTCTTCCTGTGCCTCCAGAGACATATTTTAAAGATGAATCCCTGCTCTTTGGAAAGCTGCTTTCACAAAGCACAGTGCTTGCACTTTACCGTAGCTCCAGAGTCAGGTAGACATACACTAAGAGAGGGAAAACAAGGAAATTAAGAGAACTGTGGGCCTGCTTTCTTCTGCTTGTATAAATATTTTATTTGGAAATTTCCAAGTTCTGACAAAGATAAATAACTCCTACACTTATCGGCCGAACAAGGTCAATTTCGTGGGGAGATGGTGTAGAATTTTACCCATTCCAAACTTGATATTGAGAGTAAAAGTAGGAATAAACATATTAAGGAATTGGGAAGACATTTTCTGATAATTTTGTCTTACAAATAATTAACAAAAACATGAAAATCAGGCATCAATTCAAGTCAATCATGTCCCTATTCACTCAAAATATCATTTGCTTTCGTAAGGCTAGTCATTATAGCCTGTTGGGCTTTTCTTTCTTTTCTTTTTCTTTTCCAATAATGACAGCTGAAAAAACTTCATATATCTTTTTTTGGAAGCATGTTGGCATTTACACTTCTATTTTCTCATTTAATAAAATAGACTTCTTACAATCACTGTTCCCTTTCCATCGTCAACATTCATCATGTTTCTCTGAGCCAAAACCTCAGCCTTCACTCAAGTCATCAATGCCAGCAAATGACAGTGTGCTTATATTTCAAAGCACATGTGCAGAAACAGCATCCGGCTGTCCTTGCTGGAAAAATCTGTGATTTATAAATTGCCAAACTCCTGCAAGAAGCACCATACAGATTAGTACAATGGATAATCATAAATAAATGGGCAATCTGGTAGCTTTTCTAAGAGGCAGAGAACACATTTGCACGTGTATCGGGGCAAGCTGTGTTGCAGGGCAACCTCCTTCCAGACCTCCATTCACACAGTGACACTTTCCCTCCTCTTTCAAAGGCTTGAAATTAATTCGACCAAAGCCCAGCAGGAACTAATGTGGTTACATCCAAGTTCCGCTTTCCAGGAAGAACCACCTTCTCCCTCTGCAGAGTCAGTTCCCCTGACCATTTTCTGAGGAATCACCACACATTAAAAAACCATAATTATCCTAATAGGCATCGCAGGGAGGGGGATGCAATGTCTGAAATGTAGAAGGCACTGGGGGGGTGATAGCAAGGCCAGGAGACTGAGGCCATCCGATTTCCTAAATGGGCATACTTCTTTTGTTGTTGTTTATAAAATTTTAATTTAAAAACATTAAAATTTTAAACAGACATTATAAGTTGTTATCCCCTCCAAAAAGCTTATAATTCATTATTTTAGAAATAATCATTTCCAAATGTTGACAAGACCTGAGCCTGGGCGGGCTGTGAGTCTTAGATGACTTAAGCTTAACTTTGATTCTATGTTTAATAATTCTTTTACCCTAAGCAAGATACTTACACTCATCCCCAGGTTCACGATGAACAAACTGAAGGTAATTACACTGTTTGTGTCCTGGGGCTTGGTGGTGATTAATGCAATCATGCATAAACAGTACCCAGCACAGTCCCTGGCATCTGGATGGCACTTAACATACAAGAGAGACTGAAACTGCCTTTGTGAAACTTATGAAGGTGAGAAAAGTAGCATAAGTGACCCCACCTTGCTTCTAACCTCACAAGCTGATGGCCTTGTTCATGCCTGGGCACAGGCCCAGCTCAGAACACAGGAATTTAGCTTCTAGTTTAACCTTAAAGCAAGGATGATAACAGCCCCTTCCCAAAGCTACCCCTGTTCTTGTTCAAGGACCAAAACTGCCTTTGTATAATTAATGAAGGGCCACAAGGTTAGCATTGTGGTAGGAACCTGAATTCTGCTAAGAGCTCTGCATAGGTAAATCATAACTAGTCATTGTTTCTTAACTTGCTTACTGCTCAGGAGTCATGTAGCTGGTGCTCATAAGACTTGTAACTTCCCTAATTGCCTCCATAGATAACATCACTATTGTAAAGACTAAGACTGGTGTTTGAGATAGTTTTTCAGACCTTATATTTTAGTAGAACAACTGATGCCACTTGGACCAGTGACCCCCCCAACCAGGAAACGATTCAGAGCACAAAGACAGTTTGGACATCCCTATCACCCCTGTGGTTTCATCCCCAACCCAGCCAATCAGCAGTTCCCATTGTCTAACCCCTTGCCGGAAGACTATCCTTTAAAATCCTAGCCTCTGAATTCTTCATAAGGAAGATTTGAAAAGTACCTCCTGTCTCCTCCTGCTCAGTTGCCTTGCAATAATTAAACTCTTTCTCTGCTGTAACACATGCTGTCTCATTGTATTGGCTGTTTTGTGCATCAGTCAAGAATAACCCACTGGGCTATAACAAGATTATTTTTAAAGAAAATAATTCATTAGAAATACACCAGGTAAGAAAGCTAGAAGCACAAGTATTAGTTTAAGCTGATTTCTGTTCAACTGTACAACAATTTGTTAATGAAAAGAGTCAAACTCTGTAAAATATTTGAAGAAATTTATTCTCAGTCAAATATGAATGGCCATGGCCTGTGACACCGCCCTCGGGAGGTCCTAGAAACATGTTCCCAAGGTGGTTAGGGCACAGCTTGATTTTATACACTTTAGGAAGACAGCAGACTTCAATCAAATACATTTAAGAAATACATTGGTTTGGTTCAGAAAGGTGGGACAACTACAAGCAAGGACTTCCAGATTAGAAGTAGACTGAAAAATTTTCTTGTTGACAATTGGTTGAGTGTATATAAAGACCTGGGATCAATAGAAAGGAATGTCTGGGTTAAGATAAAGGATTGTGGAGACCACAGTTCTTATTTGCAGAGGAAGCCTTAAGGTAGTAGGCTTTAGAGAATAGGTTGTAAAATGTTTGTTTTCAGACTTAAAGAATATGTTGATGTTAATGCCAGAGAGGCATCATGAGGCACACCCAACACTTATTTCCTATCATGGCCTGAACCAGTCTTTCAGGTTAAATTTTAAGAAATCCCTGGCTGAGGAGGAAGTCCATTCAGATGGCTGGGGGGCTTTAGAATTTTATTTTTGGTTTACAAATTATCCGTGCACACTTGCATTTAGAATAAAACATATAAAGGGCATGCTGTGCTCCAGGCAGGGTCCAGTGGCTGTTGCCATAGGAATGTCAACCTAAAGGAAGAATCTGAGGCTAAATTAATACATGTGGAGACTTTGTTTGAGCCAAGCTTGAGAGTTGCAACCCGGGGATACAGATTTAAATTGCCCTGAATATACACTCCAAAAAGCTGCAGTTACAAAAGGACCTTAAAAAAAAAAAAGAGGCAGTTTCTGAGTTGTTTACCCAAAATCTAAATTAAATACCATAAGCTACTGATTGATTGGCTATGCTTTGTTCTTTGTATCACAAATTCCAGGAACATGAAGATGATGGGTGAGGCAGCAGGGCAGGGGCACAATGCCTTTAAACAGCTGCCCCAGGCAAGGGTGCATGTGTGGGAGTGCAGGACTGCAGCCCCAAATTCATGTCTCCCTGGGACTGATAAATTCTTCAAACCTCACACAGCTGACTCCTCTGAGCTAGTTTTCTCTTCCCAGGGTTGGGCGAGATGCAGCCATTCAGACCCCTTAATGCTGAACTCACATGGCCTTGGCCAAGGAGAGAAAGGAGTGAAATACGGGTTCACACATACAGTGATGGGAGCCAGACAGGGGCCTGACAGGACATGGAGAGAGACAGGGACTTCAGAGTGACAGAGAGGAACAGGGAGTGAGAGATGATGTTGTGGTCTTTAAGAAGAACCAGTGGTTGTAAACTAGTGCTTTCAAAACCAATTTTGCCCTGGTTTGATGATGGTCCTAGTCTCTGGGCAGGGCTGGTGAGGGTCAGCTGGGGTCTGACTTGCCTGAGGGCTCCTTGGTTTTCATGGGCTGAGCCTTAACACCAGGAAGACCCACAGGCTGGTCAGGAGGCTACTGGACCCTGCCCTGCAGGATCCCTGGCTGGAGCTCTAACCCCTCTCAAGTTTTGATCTTCTTACTCAAGGACCCAAAGCCCCCTACCTGTTATGGTGATGCCTGGGTAGGGTTAGTGCTGGGACCAGAGCCCCTGCCTGTTATGGTGCTACCTGGGTAGGGTTAGCACTGGGACTAGAAGGGCTTCACCTTCCTGTTCCGAGTACTGAGCTCTCACCTTTTTTTTTCCTCTTTCCCAAATTCCTTTCTAAAGGGCCTGGGGAGTTGTGCCCTACAAACCATTAAATCCCCTTGAACAGATTTTTTTTTTAATTAATCTGTATGATGTGGTTGACTTTCCACCCTGACTCTGGTACAGCATGACGTGGTGGATGCAGATGACTTCATCTTAACTTCAGTGTTCCTTCCCACTGACCTCAAGTCTTTAGACAAAGCTTAGCTCTTTCAACCAACTGCCAGCTAAAGAATCCCCAAAACCCACCTATGACTTGTAAGCCCCCGCTTGGAGATACCCACTTTTCCAGGCTGAAGCAGTGCACACCCTCCATGCACTGACTTACGGTTCACATGAGATTCTGTCAGCCTGAAATGTATGAAACCAAACTGCAACCCGACTGCCTCAGGTGCACCTTCTTGGGACCTCAGGAGACTGTGTGTCCCCAGGTCGCAGTCACTCTGTTGGCTCAGAATAAACCTGTAAGTATTTGGCAGCATTCGATTTCCTGTTGCCATCCTCTTCGTCTTCCTCTAGTTGTGAATGCTGAAGCCCGCGTTGGAGGGAGCTTGCCCCTCCAGTTCATGTCCTGGCTGCCCCTGGAATTCGGCACTGGAGAGGTTGGGTGGGATGTGCAGAACAAACAGGACTTCCTGCTTGAGCAAGTCCGGACATCAGAGCTGGAGATGGGGACTGAGACCACAATCAGCTGTGCACCCTGTGGTCAGGGTGAGCCTGCCCTCTACCCTCCCTAGGACTGGGGCTTCCTGCCTCCAGAGACATCCTTGGATGCGGGGGGCTCTCAGGAGTTCCAGCGCCAGGCAGGGTGGAGGGTGGCCCTATCGGCAGGGCTGCTGGGCCAGGCGTGCCCAGAACAGGGGGAAAAGTGCCAGTCCACTCTTCCTATGCATGTCCTGCTTCCCAAATTAAAAGTCCCAGTGAGAGGAAGCTGCCGCTGTCCTACAGAGCTGGGCCAGGCGTGCCCAGAACAGGGGGAAAAGTGCCAGTCCACTCTTCCTATGCATGTCCTGCTTCCCAAATTAAAAGTCCCAGTGAGAGGAAGCTGCCGCTGTCCTACAGAGCTGGGCCAGGCGTGCCCAGAACAGGGGGAAAAGTGCCAGTCCACTCTTCCTATGCATGTCCTGCTTCCCAAATTAAAAGTCCCAGTGAGAGGAAGCTGCTGCTGTCCTACAGAGCTGGGCCAGGCGTGCCCAGAACAGGGGGAAAGTGCCAGTCCACTCTTCCTATGCATGTCCTGCTTCCCAAATTAAAAGTCCCAGTGAGAGGAAGCTGCTGCTGTCCTACAGAGCTGGGCCAGGCGTGCCCAGAACAGGGGGAAAGTGCCAGTCCACTCTTCCTATGCATGTCCTGCTTCCCAAATTAAAAGTCCCAGTGAGAGGAAGCTGCCGCTGTCCTACAGAGCTGGGCCAGGCGTGCCCAGAACAGGGGAAAAGTGCCAGTCCACTCTTCCTATGCATGTCCTGCTTCCCAAATTAAAAGTCCCAGTGAGAGGAAGCTGCCGCTGTCCTACAGAGCTGGGCCAGGCGTGCCCACAACAGGGGGAAAAGTGCCAGTCCACTCTTCCTATGCATGTCCTGCTTCCCAAATTAAAAGTCCCAGTGAGAGGAAGCTGCCGCTGTCCTACAGAGCTGGGCCAGGCGTGCCCAGAACAGGGGGAAAAGTGCGAGTCCACTCTTCCTATGCATGTCCTGCTTCCCAAATTAAAAGTCCCAGTGAGAGGAAGCTGCTGCTGTCCTACAGAGCTGGGCCAGGCGTGCCCAGAACAGGGGGAAAGTGCCAGTCCACTCTTCCTATGCATGTCCTGCTTCCCAAATTAAAAGTCCCAGTGAGAGGAAGCTGCTGCTGTCCTACAGAGCTGGGCCAGGCGTGCCCAGAACAGGGGGAAAAGTGCGAGTCCACTCTTCCTATGCATGTCCTGCTTCCCAAATTAAAAGTCCCAGTGAGAGGAAGCTGCCGCTGTCCTACAGAGCTGGGCCAGGCGTGCCCAGAACAGGGGAAAAGTGCGAGTCCACTCTTCCTATGCATGTCCTGCTTCCCAAATTAAAAGTCCCAGTGAGAGGAAGCTGCTGCTGTCCTACAGAGCTGGGCCAGGCGTGCCCAGAACAGGGGGAAAAGTGCGAGTCCACTCTTCCTATGCATGTCCTGCTTCCCAAATTAAAAGTCCCAGTGAGAGGAAGCTGCCGCTGTCCTACAGAGCTGGGCCAGGCGTGCCCAGAACAGGGGAAAAGTGCGAGTCCACTCTTCCTATGCATGTCCTGCTTCCCAAATTAAAAGTCCCAGTGAGAGGAAGCTGCCGCTGTCCTACAGAGCTGGGCCAGGCGTGCCCAGAACAGGGGGAAAAGTGCCAGTCCACTCTTCCTATGCATGTCCTGCTTCCCAAATTAAAAGTCCCAGTGAGAGGAAGCTGCTGCTGTCCTACAGAGCTGGGCCAGGCGTGCCCAGAACAGGGGAAAAGTGCCAGTCCACTCTTCCTATGCATGTCCTGCTTCCCAAATTAAAAGTCCCAGTGAGAGGAAGCTGCTGCTGTCCTACAGAGCTGGGCCAGGCGTGCCCAGAACAGGGGAAAAGTGCGAGTCCACTCTTCCTATGCATGTCCTGCTTCCCAAATTAAAAGTCCCAGTGAGAGGAAGCTGCTGCTGTCCTACAGAGCTGGGCCAGGCGTGCCCAGAACAGGGGAAAAGTGCGAGTCCACTCTTCCTATGCATGTCCTGCTTCCCAAATTAAAAGTCCCAGTGAGAGGAAGCTGCCACTGTCCTACAGAGCTGGGCCAGGCGTGCCCAGAACAGGGGAAAAGTGCCAGTCCACTCTTCCTATGCATGTCCTGCTTCCCAAATTAAAAGTCCCAGTGAGAGGAAGCTGCTGCTGTCCTACAGAGCTGGGCCAGGCGTGCCCAGAACAGGGGAAAAGTGCGAGTCCACTCTTCCTATGCATGTCCTGCTTCCCAAATTAAAAGTCCCAGTGAGAGGAAGCTGCCGCTGTCCTACAGAGCTGGGCCAGGCGTGCCCAGAACAGGGGGAAAAGTGCCAGTCCACTCTTCCTATGCATGTCCTGCTTCCCAAATTAAAAGTCCCAGTGAGAGGAAGCTGCTGCTGTCCTACAGAGCTGGGCCAGGCGTGCCCAGAACAGGGGAAAAGTGCCAGTCCACTCTTCCTATGCATGTCCTGCTTCCCAAATTAAAAGTCCCAGTGAGAGGAAGCTGCTGCTGTCCTACAGAGCTGGGCCAGGCGTGCCCAGAACAGGGGAAAAGTGCGAGTCCACTCTTCCTATGCATGTCCTGCTTCCCAAATTAAAAGTCCCAGTGAGAGGAAGCTGCTGCTGTCCTACAGAGCTGGGCCAGGCGTGCCCAGAACAGGGGAAAAGTGCCAGTCCACTCTTCCTATGCATGTCCTGCTTCCCAAATTAAAAGTCCCAGTGAGAGGAAGCTGCTGCTGTCCTACAGAGCTGGGCCAGGCGTGCCCAGAACAGGGGAAAAGTGCGAGTCCACTCTTCCTATGCATGTCCTGCTTCCCAAATTAAAAGTCCCAGTGAGAGGAAGCTGCCGCTGTCCTACAGAGCTGGGCCAGGCGTGCCCAGAACAGGGGGAAAAGTGCCAGTCCACTCTTCCTATGCATGTCCTGCTTCCCAAATTAAAAGTCCCAGTGAGAGGAAGCTGCTGCTGTCCTACAGAGCTGGGCCAGGCGTGCCCAGAACAGGGGGAAAAGTGCCAGTCCACTCTTCCTATGCATGTCCTGCTTCCCAAATTAAAAGTCCCAGTGAGAGGAAGCTGCCGCTGTCCTACAGAGCTGGGCCAGGCGTGCCCAGAACAGGGGAAAAGTGCGAGTCCACTCTTCCTATGCATGTCCTGCTTCCCAAATTAAAAGTCCCAGTGAGAGGAAGCTGCCGCTGTCCTACAGAGCTGGGCCAGGCGTGCCCAGAACAGGGGGAAAAGTGCGAGTCCACTCTTCCTATGCATGTCCTGCTTCCCAAATTAAAAGTCCCAGTGAGAGGAAGCTGCCGCTGTCCTACAGAGCTGGGCCAGGCGTGCCCAGAACAGGGGGAAAAGTGCCAGTCCACTCTTCCTATGCATGTCCTGCTTCCCAAATTAAAAGTCCCAGTGAGAGGAAGCTGCTGCTGTCCTACAGAGCTGGGCCAGGCGTGCCCAGAACAGGGGGAAAAGTGCGAGTCCACTCTTCCTATGCATGTCCTGCTTCCCAAATTAAAAGTCCCAGTGAGAGGAAGCTGCCGCTGTCCTACAGAGCTGGGCCAGGCGTGCCCAGAACAGGGGGAAAAGTGCGAGTCCACTCTTCCTATGCATGTCCTGCTTCCCAAATTAAAAGTCCCAGTGAGAGGAAGCTGCTGCTGTCCTACAGAGCTGGGCCAGGCGTGCCCAGAACAGGGGGAAAAGTGCGAGTCCACTCTTCCTATGCATGTCCTGCTTCCCAAATTAAAAGTCCCAGTGAGAGGAAGCTGCCGCTGTCCTACAGAGCTGGGCCAGGCGTGCCCAGAACAGGGGGAAAAGTGCCAGTCCACTCTTCCTATGCATGTCCTGCTTCCCAAATTAAAAGTCCCAGTGAGAGGAAGCTGCCGCTGTCCTACAGAGCTGGGCCAGGCGTGCCCAGAACAGGGGAAAAGTGCGAGTCCACTCTTCCTATGCATGTCCTGCTTCCCAAATTAAAAGTCCCAGTGAGAGGAAGCTGCCGCTGTCCTACAGAGCTGGGCCAGGCGTGCCCAGAACAGGGGGAAAAGTGCCAGTCCACTCTTCCTATGCATGTCCTGCTTCCCAAATTAAAAGTCCCAGTGAGAGGAAGCTGCTGCTGTCCTACAGAGCAGGAGCTATTTGAAATGTAGGACCCTCAAGAGACAAATGTAATCATAACATAATTCATAACAAGCCAGAAGCAAGAAACCGGCCTTGTCTAAGGAGTGAGATCCCTGCCCTGAGGTCTTCACAGAGGACTTGCTACGAAGGCTCTGATTTGCATTAATTAGGTCCTCAAGAAGGTTTTAAATATTAAAGGAAAATATCTTTTCCAGAGTCTGAATTACCTAAGTCCCAGGCTACAGCATGTTGTTCATTAAAAGAAAATAAAACAGGCTGGGTGAGGTGGTGCACAGCTGTAATCCCAGTGCTTTGGGAGGCTGAGGTAGGAGGATGGCTTGAGCCCAGGAGTCTGAGCCTGCAGTGAGCTATGACTGTGCCACTGCACTCTAGCCTGGGCAACAGAGTAAGACCCTATCTCAAAAAAAAAAAAAAAAAGCGATAAAAATTAGGAAACAAAAAGAGCATTGTTGGGTCTCAGCAGGTGGCTCCCTGAAGCCTGGCACATGGATGTGCTGAGGGCCCCAGAAGCTGCCTCGGAATCAAGGTCCCTCCAGCCTTGTCTTGTTTCTCTCCCAAGTGCAGGAAGAAACTCACTGGAGTCTCATTTGACTGAGAAAGCTTCTTTCAAAGGAAATGCAACTGTCTTAAGACTGCCTCCCCAGGGATCTCATTAAACAGCTGGGAAAGATCAACCTCCAGAGAAGAGAAGAGACTGGAGGCAGCCACCAAGCCCAGACTTTCCCCCTGTTCTTCTGAGGGCAGCTCCCGGAGGTTACCTGGGAGACTTCGTCTGCAGCCAAGACAACCTTCACTCCCACATACCCTCCCTGGAGCATGGGACTGAGCAACCCCACTCCTCCTTTCTGTGAGGAGGGCATTCGGGCCTCAGCCATCTGGACCCTCTGAGTTCACATTTCCCAAGACCTCCATGAACACATGTGAGTGTAATAAATGTTCTCTGCTTCTCTCTTGTTAACATGTGTTTCTGCTGTAGGGGTGTCAGCTGTGGCCCTTTTTCATGGGGAACAAAGGGATCATCCTGAGCTTCCTGATGTGTACAGAAAGCACAGAGTTCAAGGGGGAAGATTCAGAGGATCACAGGTGAATCCGGTCATCTGGAAACTCCTGTGAGCATCTCCAACAGCAGAGACACACGTAGACTCCTGCAAACCCAGCTCAGCTGCCATCCTCCCTTGGCAGCCAAAGGTCTCAGAAAGGCACGTTTCCAAAACTTGGTTTTCTCACCTATAAATTGGGGCAAACCCCAGTCTGTGTCTATTGGGAGAATTAAGTGAGATACTGCACGTAAACTCTGGCACAATTTAAACATCAAAAATGGCAGCTATAATTTAGGCTAATAATTTAATTTCTTTCTTTGAGCCAGGTGTCTTGCCTGTAAAATGGGGATATTTTGTTATAAAAAAATTAGGAAGAAAATAAACTGTAATTGCCCTGTGCAAAACATCCCACATTAATTCAATGAATTATTAATAACAAAAAGATGGAAAAATTATTTTCCCATTTAGGAAAAAATGTGAAATAATAGCAAACCTAGGATGCTTTTATAATTAATGCAAATAATAATAAAATGTCACTATTCTACCATTCAATTTTAGAAAGACAAATCACATTTATGTCAAACATTTTATTTTTGTACTGGCTCACTTTTGTGAACATATGCACTTACATTAGAGATATTTCACATTAGAATCTTTTTCAATTGAAAGAATAGAGGTGATCATATCTTTTTGGAGAGACGCCATTTTCAACAACATTTTGTTATTTGGTATTTATTAATTCCTAGCATGAACCAGCTCTACAGAACCTGGAAAAGAAAAATGACCCACTTTGCAAAAGAATCTCTCCTTCGATTAGTATGAAATGTTTGCCCTTTCTATCCTGGAAAGGATAAAGAATGGCGTTTTGTAATCGGGCTGTTGGGTGATGATCTCATTTATTCAAATGCCAAGTCCACCCTCTGTCTGCATAGACTCCTCTTCCCACCCCTTCTTCCAGGGTAATAACAACCGGCATCTCGGTTCTTTAAGTCACTTCTCCAAATTCACAGTCTCTGAGGTCTGCAAGTTTTGTTACCTAAATCAGTAAATTTAGACAGATGTGAGGATTTGCTTTAATTGTTAGCTCCAGTTTTTTGTGGGGAGGAGAGAGAAGACCTTGGGAACATACAGAAAATTGTCAGAGGCCATGGAGAGGGAGGCGAGTGCCTCGGTGCCTCTTCTGTGCCTCCACAGAGCTTCCACCCCTCTGGGAGCACCCGGAAGCAGCCTGTGCTGCATCCCAGCTTGATTTCAGTTCGATGCGGCCAGTGAGCGGACGGTGCGAGGCCTTAAGCAGTTTCTAGTCTGCAGATCCGGGAGTGCTGCAGCAGCCAATACTCTCATTTGGTCGTTAGCATAGGGACAGGGGGTGCTGCCCTTTCCCCCACCTGACCATCTTGTCTCCAGCCTGTATGCAGATGCCAGTGCACAGCTCTTGGGCTGCAGTGGAATGTATTTGTTTCTGTGGGTTAGGCAGTTATGGCTTCCTCTACTGTGGTGTGGCAGAAGGGTTTACATTTTCCTCTTGATATTCATCAGCTTAAGATTCACACATCAGAGAAATAATCAGCCCTCACAATGAGCAAGTCTTTTTACTGATGAGATGTGACAAGGCTTCCACTCAATTTGAGGGAAAACTGGCAGGAAGCCCTCCTCCTGGAGTCTGGAAAAATATAAAAACAGCTACAAACCATTCCTTCTATCAATGTGAGAACTGAAGTGAGAATTCAAGGTGGCTCCAGCCCCAACTAGCACATGTTAGATAACTCTGGTAAGTGATTGTTTTGTATCATGCATTAGGGAGTTTAAAACACTGCTGTCAAACAACAAAAGAAAAAGATAAAGTGGACTTGATCAAAATAAAAAACTTTCGTGCATCGAAGGACATTTTCAAGAGAGTGAGAAAAGACAAACTACAGAATGGAAGAAAATATTTACACATCATATATCTTAGAAGGATTTAATGTCCAGAATTTATCAAGAACTCCTACACATCAACATCAAAAAAACAAAAAATCCACTTTAAAAATGGGCAGAGGACTTAAGTTTCTCCAAAGAAGACACACGGATGTCCCCTTAACACATGGTAAGATGTGTCACATCATCAATCATTGGGGAAATGCAAACAAACAAAACCCTCAAAATGAGATACCACTTCACACCTACTACAATGGCTATAATATTTTAAAAAGGAGAAAAGAAAAACATTGATGAGGATGCGGAGAAATTGGAACCTTCATTGCCAGTTGGAATGTAAACAAGTATAGGCGCTGTGGAGAACAGATGAGCAGTTCCATAAGAAAGTTAAATAGAGTTATGATATGACCTAGGAAATTCACTCCCATGGGTATTCCAAAAAATAAAAAAGGGACTCGAACAGATACTTGCATGTAAATGTGCATTGCACCATTATTCACAATAGCCAAAAGGTGAAATAACCCAGAGTGCTCATCAACAAATATTGAATAAAATATGATGTATCCATGAAATGCAATATAATTCAGCTCTAAAAAAGAATGTTCTGGTACATATTCCAACATGGATGGACCTTGAAGACATTAAGCTCTAAGCAAAAGAAGCCAGATAGAAAAGGTAATCTATTCTACTATTGCACTTCTATGAGGCACCTAGAAAAAGCAAATTCATAGAGACAGACAATAGAATAGAGGTTACCCGGAGCTGGGGATTGGGAGAAGGGGAAAATAAATTTTGTTTCTATCTGCTTATAATGAATAATCTGAAAAAGAAATTAAGAAAACAATCCCATTTACAATAGGATGAAAAAGTAAAATGCTAAGGAATGAACTTAACCATGGATGCAAAGGTCTTGTAGAATGAAAACTAAAAAAAATTGTTAAAAGAAAGTAATGAAGACACCAACAAATGGAAAGGCATCCCATATTTATGGGTTGGAAGGCATAATGTTATTAAGGTGTTAATATTGCCAAAAGTGAACCTCAGATTCAATACATTCTCCATTCAAATCCCAAAGACATTTTTTTAAATAGAAAAATGCCTCTGTAATCTTAAAGGATCCTGACTAGCCAAAACAATCTTGAAAACAAATAAACAAAGTCTGAAGTCTCATGGTTCCTGATTTTAAAGCTGATGGCAAAGCCACAGTTATCAAAACACTGTACTGGTATAAAGAGAGACATACAGATGAATGGAATACACCAGAGAGCACAGAAGTAAAACCTGGCCTATGTGGTGCCATGTAAGTCTGTGATTCAATCAGAAATGTCCGTGCAATGGGGAATGAGCAGTTTTTTAATCAACTGGTGCTGGGAAAATTAGATATCCGGTTGCAAAACAATGAATTTAGGCTCTTACCTTATACCATATATAAAAATTAACCCCAAATGAATCAAGGACCTAAACATAAGAATTAAAACTTTAAAAAGTTTAGAAGAAAACATAGGGAAACACTTATGACATTGGGTTTGGCAACAATTTCTTGGATATGACACAAACAGCAAAGGCAATCAAAGAAAGCATAGATAAATTAAAAGAGATAATTAGATTGCACCAACATTAATAACTTTTGTGCATCAAAGGACACTGTAAACAAAGAATAAAGAGAAAACTCCCAGAATGAGAGAAGACATCCGCAAATCACACATTTGATAAGGAGCTAATATCTAGAATATTTAAGAACTCTTATAAATCAGCAACAACAACAACAAAAGACAACTTGATAAGAAAATGGGCAAAAAATCTGAATATTTATTTAGGGAAGATATAGAAGTGTCCAATAAGCACATGAAAAGATGTTCAACATCAATAATCATTAGAAGATACAAATAAAACTCCAGTGAGATAACATTTACCATCCATTAGGATGGCCAGTACTCTCCTAGGAAGTGTTGTTGAGGATGTGGAGAAACTGGAACCCTTGTGCATTCCAATTTCCTTTGTTGGTGGAAATAAAATAGTGCAGCTGCTACAGCAAAGAGTATGGGAGTTCCTCAAAAAATTAAAAATAGAATTACCACATGATCCAGCAATTCTACTCTTGTTCAATACCCGAATAATTTAAAGCAGGGACTCAAGCAGATATTTGAGCACCTGTGTTCACAGTAGCATTATTCACAAGAGCCAAAGAATGGAAGCAGCCTAAGTGTTGGGTATATGCATATAATGGAATATTATTCAACCTAAAAAAGAAAAGAAACTATGGCCAAAGCAATTTATAGATTCAATGCAATCCCTATCAAAATTCCAATGACATGTTTGACTGAAACAGAAAAAAAATTCTAAAATTCATATTGAACTGCAAAAGACCTTGACTAGCAAAAGCATTATTGGGTAAATAGAACAAAGCTAGGGGCACTGCACTACCCAACTTCAAAATATACTACAAAGCTGTAACAACCAAAACAGCATGGTACTAGTGCTAAAACAGAAATATAGACAAAAACAGAATTGAGACCCCAAAGATAAATCCACGCTTTTACCATCAGTTGCTCCTTTACAAGGGTGGCAAGAACACACAACGGGGAAAAGATAGTCTCTTCAATAAATGATGTGGGGAAAACTGGATATTCACATTCAGAAGAATGAAATCAGATATTTATTTCACACCATATAAAAAATCAACTCAAAATGGATTAAAGATTTAAATGTAAGACCAAAAACTATAAAACCACTAGGATAAAACATAGGACAAAATATTTTTGGCATTGGTCTGGGCAATGATGTTTTGGATATGATTCCAAAGGCATAAGCGATGAAAGCAAACAGACAAATTAAAGTCCATTGAACTAAACAGTGTCCGCACAGCAATAAAAATAATAAACAAAATGAAGTGACTACCTAAAGAATGGAGGAAATATTTACAAGCCATGCATTTGATAAGGGGTTAATATCCAAAATATATAAGGAAGTCAAAGCACTCAAAAGCAAGAAAACAACCTGATTTTAAAATGGGCGGAAAACTTGGACAGGCATTTCCCAAAAGAAGACAGACAGATGGCCAGCAAGTCTATGAAACAAATGTTCAGTGTCACTAAGCACAGAGAGAGTGGGGAGAATTGGAAATTGACACCTCCAAACTGGTAGGTATTATTGTGTCTGGTACTTTTCTCTTTGAAAATCTGTATCAAAAGAGGCATATTTTGGATTTATCTCTTTACCAATGCCTTTGAGTTGAAATATTATAGTATTTTAATTTCAAGACTAATATTATTTTGACTTCCAAAATATAGACCATAATGGGGACGGTCCCTTCCAAATAAAAAAGATAGGAAAACAAAGCAATGAGAATATGATTTGTTTGATCTGGTGACGTAAACCATGACTGTGATGTACCTAAAAGAAATGTAAAACACACCAACCTCTCTCTAAGGACACCCAGAAGACGGGTTTGAAGGCTGCATTTCTATCTTAGAAGCTGGAGTGTTTACCAGGGACAGTTCTCCCAGTGTGAACATCCATCTCATATTTTGCCAAATCCAATCACAAGCAAGTTATTTAAGCTCATTGGACAGAACCTGAGTGTGCCTCACGTGGTTTCTCGGTGTTCAATCCAGACCCACACAGGCTGAAGTACATGTCTAGATTTAGTGCAATGATACTTGGAAAACGGAATTCACTCGTAGGACTCCAGTCTAATTTTTAATTTATCTTAGAAGCTCTGATGGTCGAAAATAAAGTAATTAGAAATTTTCTTGGTTTTCCCTGGGCCCAGACTGGCTTTACTTACCTACATGGCTATTGTTTTAATGCTCTAACTTCCTCACCTGCCTGTGAATCCCCAAAGCCAGGGTCAGAGAGGAGCATGAGTCCTTCCTTCTCACACAGAAGCTATAGCCCTGGTTCACCTTTCCTGGACAGCAGGCAGCGTGGTTGGCTGCTGACGGCTCAGGCCACTGCTGGGCTTCTCTCAACACTGAGAGAGCCAGGAAGTATGTCAGGACCCATTCTGTCATGTCTCCTAAAAATTAGCTTATATGTTGATAAAGTTTCTCAAAGCATGGTTAATTGCAGGAAACATTTACGGAGCATCTGTCACATGGAAAGCCAGCAGCTGATGCAGAGGAACGCACGGGGGTATGTTCAAGGTCCTCTACGCAAGGAGCACAGGCTCAGTGCGCTTTAGGGTCACAGTGGCTGGGCCCCAAGTTGAGAGACAAAAACACATGAATCTCTTTATGAAAAGGGCAATTAGTGGGATAAGATTATAATCAAGAAGAAACAACATAACCATTTAAGAAACAATTCACTTTTCTGTAGTCTTTTGAGTACTTTGTCCATGCACGTTTTGAACATTCATTTTTATTTTTATTTCAATAGTTTTTGGGGAATGGGGGTTTTTGGTTACATGGTTAAGTTGTTTAGCAGTGATTTCTGAGATTTTGGTGCACCTGTCACCCATGCAGTGTACACTATACCCAATGTGTAGTCTTTTATTCCTCAGTCCCCTCCCATCCTTCCCCCCAATTCCCCAAAGCCCATTGTATCATTTGTATGCCTTTGCGTCCTCATCACTTAGCTCCCATTTATGAATGAGAACGTGATATTTGGTTTTCCATTCCTGAGTTACTTCACTTAGAATAATGGCTTCCAGCTCCATCCAAGTTGCTGCAAAAGACATTATTTTGTTCCTTTGTATGGTTGAGTAATATTCCATGGAGTATATGTACCATACTTTCTTTATCTACTCATTGGTGGATGGGCACTTAGGTTGGTTCCATGTCTTTGAAATTGCTAATTGTGCTGCTATAAACATTTGTGTGCATGTGTCTTTTTCATATGACTTTTTTTTCCTTTGGGTAGATACCCAATAGTGGGGTTGCTGGATCAAATGGCAGTCCTACTTTTAGTTCTTCAAGGAATCTCCACACTGTTTTCCACAGTGGTTGTGCTAGTTTACATTCCCACCAGCAGGTAAAAGTGTTCCCTTTTTATCACATTCACACCGACATCTATTGTTTTTTAACTTTTTGATTATGGCCATTCTTGCAGGAGTAAGGTAGCTTATATGTTGTGGTTTTAATTTGCATTTCCCTGCAAATTACTGATGTTGAGCATTTTTTCATATGTTTGTTGGCCATTTGTATATTTTCTTTTGAGAATTGCCTATTCATGTCCTTTGCCCACTTTTTGATGAGATTATTTGTTTTCTTCTTTCTGGTTTGTTTGAGTTCCTTGCAGAGTCTGGATATTAGTCCTTTATCGAATATATAGATTGCGAAGATTTTATCCCTTTCCGTGGGTTGTCTGTTCACTCTGCTGATCATTTCTTTTGCTGTGCAGGAGCTTTTTAGTTTAATTAGGTCTCATCTATTTGTTTTTGCTTTTTGTTGCATTTGCTTTGGGGTTCTTGGTCATGAACTCTCATTGGCCTAAGCCAATGTCTAGAAGAGTTTTTCTGATGTTACCTTCCAGAATTTTTATAGTTTCAGGTCTTAGATTTAAGTCTTTGATCCATCCTCAGTTGATTTTTGTATAAGGTGAGAGATGAGGATCCACTTTCATTTTTCTGCATGTGGCTTGCCAATTATCCCAGACCCATATATTGAATAGAGTTCTCTTTCCCCAATTTATGTTTTTGTATGCTTTGTCAAGATCAGTTGGCTGTAAGTATTTGGCTTTGTTTCTGGGTTCTCTATTCTGTTCCATTGGTCTATGTCTGTTTTTGTACTAGTACCATGCTGTTTTGGTGACTATAGCCTTCTATTATGGTTTGAAGTTGGGTAATGTGATACCTCCAAATTTGTTTTTTTCTTAGTTTTGCTTTGGCTATGTAGGCTCCTTTTTGGTTCCACATAAATTTTAGGTTTGCTTTTTCTAGTTCTGTGAAGAATTATGATATTTTGATGGGGACTGAATTTGTAGATTACTTTCAGCAGTATAGTCATTTTCACAGTATTGATCCTACCCATTCATAACCATGAGATGTGTTTCCATTTGTCTGTGTCAGCTATGATTTCTTTCAGCAGTGTTTTGTAGTTTCCCTTGTAGGGATTTTTCACCTCCTTGGTTAGGTATATTCCTAAATATTTTACTTTTTGCAGCTGTTGTAAAAGCGATTGAGTTCTTGATTTAATTCTAAGCTTGGTCATTATTGGTGTATAGCAGTGCTACTCATTTGTGTACATTGCTTTTGTATTCTGAGACTTTACATGATTCATTTATCAGATCTAGGAGCTTTCTGAATGAGTCCTTACAGTTTCTAAGTACAATCATATCATCAGCAAACAGCGATAGTTTGACCTCCTCTTCAAAATTTTAGATGTCATTGATTTGTTTTTCTTGTCTGATTGCTCTGGCTAGGACTTCAGTACTATGGTGAATAGAAGTGGTGAGAGTAGGCGTCCCTGTCTTCTTCCAATTCTCAGGAGAAATGCTTTCAACTTTTCCCCATTCAGTATGATGTTGGCTGTGGGTTTGTCATAGATAGCTTTTATTACCTAAAGTCATGTCCTTTCTATGCTGATTTTACTGAGGGTTTTAATCATAAAGAGATGCTGGATTTTGTCAAATTCTTTACCTGCATCTATTGAGATGATAATATGGTTTTTGTTTTTAATTTTATGTGATGTACCATATTTATTGACTTACGTATGTTAAACCATCCCTGCATCCTCAGTATGAAACCCATTTGATTATGGTGTATTATCTATTTGATATGCTGTTGGATTTAATTGGCATATTATGTTGAATTTAATTAGCAAATTATTAGCATAATTTTCTTGAAGATTTTTACACATATGTTAATCAGATATATTGTCTGTAGTTTTCTTTTTTTGTTCTGTCTTTTCCTGGTTTTGGCATTAGGGTGATACTGGCTTCACATAATGGTTTAGGGAGGATTCCGTCTTTCTCTATCTTTTGGAATAGTTTCAGTAAAATTGATACCCATTCTTCTTTGAATGTCTGATAGAATTAAGGTGTGAATCCACCTCGTCCTTGTCCTTGCACTTTTACAACACACATCAGGTAACATTATAGTAAGTTCTGTTTGTATTTCTATTTTCCCCTAATTTCTGAATGGCCAATTCATCTTAATGTCTCAAAATTAACAGGGATAACTTTTCACTCACTAGCAGAGAGACCTTTGGACATAGTAAATTTTTGACATATGTTTACCAAATGAATGTAGAAAGGAAGGACACAACTTCACAGGAAGACAAGCTGAGAACTGGAACCCAACAAAGGCCTGGAGATGAGACGTTGCAGCGCATGTCCTTGGAACAGCTGGAGGGAAGAGGCAGCCGAGCAGGCACCAGGCTGGGTTGTGTCGTGAAGAACAGCTGGAGGGAAGAGGCAGCCAAGCAGGCACCAGGCTGGGTTATGTCGTGAAGCTGGAAACCGCGCCAGGGCATGAACTTCAGGCCTTCCTGGTACCCTGCCCAGGAGTGTGCATTTTTCTGAACATGCAATGAGAGATCTTAAAGCTCTTGAGCACCATTGAGACATCTGATTATCTGGCAGGCTTATCATACCTTTACTCCTTAAAATAAGAAAACGATGACTTCACAGCCAGAGAGATGCCAGGCTGAGGTAGAGGCCACACACTATCAAGTGAGCTACTGACAGCCTGCAAGTGCAATGCTGAGAGCATTCAAGGCCACACAAGGATCCCCCAAAGTGTGCCTCAGACAAGGTCAAGAACTGGGATTCCATTGGGTGGGACTCTCAGACCCACAAACTTCATAAGGCTTGTCTCACTCAAGTTACCAGTCAAGATTACCAGGCAAGGAAAGAATAAAGTCAAGGGATCCTGGTTCCAAGTCATTCCCAGAAGTTATTTCCTACATTCCCCACCCCCGGATAGTTGTAAAGTTATTAAGACAAAGTCAGTTGGACTTAGCTCGCAGCAGAAGGTCTGCTTCACAGTATTCCAGTCTAGCACCAGTGGTTTCACTTCTTTAGGCCCAAATTTACACAGCATGCTTTTAAAATTGCAGCTGCTTTCTAGTGTTTGTAATTAGGACCTGTCATTTCATTTGGGACCAATTTCCATTAGCTCCAAACTAAAAGGTGAATGACAGTGAGTTCTTTTGCCCTGAAGAGAAGAGTCCATTGCAGCTCTGACCCTCATGGGTGCTCTAGGGGATTAGAGAGGTTTCAGCAATGTTGTCCAGGACACGACGTGGCCTCACAGAGCATCCCTCACTGGAAGAACATTTTAGGGACTCTTGCTTTTGGAAAGGTAAAGAAAGAAATGGTCAATCTGCTGCCCCAAGGTGATGGGAGCTTCTGAAACACACAGGAGCAAGTCACAACTCACTGCTAACACCCAGAGGACAAGTCACAACTCACTGGTGACAACCTGAGGAGTGACACTCATCAACCGGCACACATCGACCTGATAGACTATGCCAGCCTTGGTCACTTTTGAAAAGGAATTGCTAAAATTATGGGACACTGCTTACCAAAACTGAGCTCTCCTTTAAGGGGCACCCCGTTGGCAACACCCGCTGGATTTATGGAGCTCTGTCTTGCAAATACCTATGTAAATGGACCCATGTGACTCAAGGTGACCCTAAAAAACAATGGTCACAATGCAAGTCTTTTGAAATTCTTAAATTAATATGTTTGCATGCACAATTTTAAAAAGCAGGTTGTGGAACCCGACTAATTGAATGGGAAACATACTTTCTGTCTGTCCCACCTGAAATCTGATAATAAGAGATTTAAATTTTTTGGTTTTTTGAGAGTTTTCCTTTAACTTCTCAAGACATCCTTGTGAACGGTCAAACTGCCTGCTCCACCTTGCTGCACAGATTACAAAAGGAACACCAGGCTTTCCCAGGCCTTTCCCAGTCCCTGGGAAATGTAAGTATTATCATGTCTTTGCCATAGTCTCATCTAGGGAATTAGCTAGGCAGTATTCCAGGTGAGATCAGATTTGAAACAGCATGGAAATTCTTTAGACCACCACAGAATCCCTCTCCTCAGAGGATGCACTTAGCTTAGGAGAGAAATATGTATAAGAATTAATTTGAATTATTTGTTTAAATTATTTATATTGCTTTTGACCTTTTAGGGGACCCATGTATAATCCTTTCTACTGAAGAAAACCAAAATATTCCTCTCAAAAACACTGAGAATTGTTGAGCTGAAGAAGGTGAAAATGCCAGGGACCTTGTCCCATCTTCCACTAGCCTGATGGCGGAACAGCAGTGTACAAAGATAGAGCTTCCTGGCCTCCTCTCCTCCTTTCCCACCTCAAAAGGCCCCTCACAACACTTGTTTATCTGCTCAGAGGCAGTGGCACCAGAGGCTCTAGGAACAGATTTTACTCTTCCCATAAATTCACCTCCCACATTTTCCCACCTCTTGGAAGCCTGGAAATGCTCTTTTCTTTGTTTAGTCACTATATAGGATTTGTGGTTCTTTGCAAAAATACTATGTGAGCACAGTCCCCAAGCAACTGTCTTGACAGAGAAAAACTTCCGAGGCCTCCCCCACACGATGGGTACAACACTCGTCAATAAGCGTCAAAGGCCTCCCCCACACGATGCGTACAGCACTCATTAATAAACTTCTGCTGGTTTCTTCTTGTCAATCGGACTTTTGTTTTCAGGAAAGTGTCAAAACTAAGAACACATGAAGGAAAGAAAAGCAATTATATTTTCTTCCCTGCACTACCCCCATGGACACTTTTGTTTTCCTGTTTTCCTGGCTGTTCCTTTTAACCTGGCCATTGTGCGTAGACAGGCAGCTGAGAAGTGAGACCCTGGAAGATTTTACCTGACAGATACAGCTGCACCCCATCTGATGCTACCAGAACTTTCTTTCTCAAGCTGACCCTGGAGGTGTCTGGATCTTGAAAAGGCGGAGAGTTTTGCTTCATCTTTGGAGACCTTGGTTAATGCCAGGGAGAACTTCTTAAGTTGGGCTCATGCATATTTATTTGTGTTCATTTTGAGTCATCTGTGCACATACACCTTTGGTTTAAAATTTTGGTTTATATTTAGAATGCGATAGACATTTTTTGTTGTTGTTGTTGTTTTTTAGCCTTTTCTCTTAAGCTAAATAAAACCATTTACTCAGAGAAAAAGGAAACATTTTATTAAGCCAAAGACAAACAGCTTTAAATAATGATTACCCTAGATCTCTAATAAACAAATATGTCCCACTTCTAAAACTCTTTCTGTAAATTCCAAAAAGAAAAAAGAAAAAAAAACCAGGAATGTTTGCTAATTGCCCAGCTAATACCTTATAAAAGGATTTTTTAAGAGTCTGTAGTCAAAAGTAACCTTAATTAAAGCTAGTATTAAGTGTGTGGGTGTGTAAATGTGTCTGTGTATGTGCGTATGTGTATATGTGCATGTGTGAATCTGTGCGTGTGTATGTGTGCATGTGTGTGTGCATGCATGTGTGTATGCGTGTGCATGTGTATGTGTGTGTATGCATCTGTGTGTGTATGTGTATGTGTGTATATGTGCGTGCATGTGTGTGTATGTGTGTGTGTGGATACACACGTTTTGAGGCTTCTGTTCTTTCTATGAAAGCATCTTGGTGACAGAGTCCCTCTTTTCTTAAACCCCTGCTAACCAATGCACTCATTTTGTGTGTTTCTCCACTAGTTGATAGAATTTTTGCCAAGGATAATGTGAAACTTTATTAGCTTTTTGGAAAACAAGAGCTCCTCCATCTGTCTCCTCTAAGATCTGTCCTTCATTTACTTCTTTCTGTTCCTTCTTTCTCCTGTCCCGTTCAATACCACAAGAGAGGACCTAAAAAAATCTTCTAACAGCCCTAAGACCTCTTGAGGAAACCAGAATTGGTGCCACAAAACTCTTTTTTGGAGAGGAACTCTTTTTCCTCACGGAGCCCCAGAGTTGTGGGTGGACAGCTTCTTCTCAGGTGTAAAGCTCTATTCTTTTTTATTAAATTCCTTAATTTTTAAACATTTAGATACATACACAGGTACACGTATGTCATATGTTGTATCTGCATGCATGTACGTGTCTATCCACATGTTTGTATATTACCTACATGGTACCTGACATGGTTTGGATCTGTGTCCCCACCCAAATCTCACATGGAATTGTCATTCCCAGTGCTGGAGGTGGGGCCTGGTGGGAGGTGCCTGGATCATGGGGTGGGTTCTCGTGGTTCAGCACCATCCCCCTAGTGCTGTTCTCATGATAGAGTTCTCACGAGATGGGGTTGTTTAAAGGTGGATGGCATCCCTCGCCCCCCTTGCTCTGGCTGTGTGACGTGCTGGCTCCCCCTTCACCTTCCACCATGAGTAAAAGTTTCCTGAGGCCTCCCCAGAAGCGACTAGATGCCAGTATCATCCTTCCTGTACAGCATGCAGAAGCATAAACTAAGTATATCTCTTTTCTTTATAAATTACTCAGCCTCAGGTATTTCTTTAGAGCAATACAAGAACAGACTAATACAGTACTAAACTAACTTAAAGATAAGTGAGTGTTCATAAATAAGTAAACCCAAATATTTTCCAAGTTCAGGTAATTTGAGTAAGAATTTTGGTAAATAAAACTAGCTTAATATTGTTTGTTTAATAAAAACAACTGTTTTTGGAGTTATCAGTAAATTATGCTTGCATTTAACTTTAAGGTTCTTGCTTTTACGATACCTGCATAACATACAGTAATATAAAAATGGTTAACAGAAAATTTAACTTGACACAATGGCTGGATTTGTCTAATGTCCCATGAAATTTTCCAAAAAATTAGAATGAATAGATAAATTAAACAGCTGTAAATGGGATAAAGTTTATAAATGAACTTTTAGTAATAATTGTTTTATAATATGTTTACTTAAAAAGGCTTCTCAAAGTTTTTGGTAACTGTACCCTTAAAGCTTTGCTAAGCTAAATTAAATGATGATGATATTCATCGAACATATCAGTCATTTCCAAATAGATATAATACTAAGACAGCAATTATTAAATATGAGTTTAAGCTTATATATTTTGCCTTATTTCAGAGAAACAAATGATATTGAAATCTGTTAGTAAAAATGTCCTGTTCCAAATTGAAACATTGTTCCATTAGAAAGCCTATGTTTCTAAGATTATAAAATGTGTATTCATAAATTGTTGGTACCTGAGTGACAGTTAAAAAAAAATCCCTTACTTCTTAGGTTTACACTATACATTAAGGCTACTAAGAGTTAAAATTCTAACTAATTTCCAGCAACAAAAACTGGAGATAAGAGGAGAAACAATTCTATATACAGAGAGTATAAGAAAATATACTTATTCTTATATAAAAAATATAAGAAGATATATTTTTTGTAAGGAAGATTTCAAGAAAGACTTGGGGGTGTGATTTTATTACAGGAAAGTGGCTTTGCCTAATGTAAAGGTTATTCTAAGGTTGCATTTAATGGAAAGAATAAAAGAAGAAAGAAAAAGATAAACTGAAGGATATACAAAGTTGAGAAAAGAAAGAGAATGGAAAAATGTGTAAGAGGTTATAAAATATTTATGAAAATTTTATCTTGTGTGTCAAAGCTGATTGAGATTAAATGGATTCGTTTATAAGATTTTATTAAAATTTGCTTCAGCATTAATAATATGCCAATGCAAAGGTGATTTTTTTTGTTTTGAGCAAGATTTTCATGTAATATTAATAGGAGATAGTAAAAGATTTTTCATTTACATTCAGAGTAGATTGCAAAAAGGGTGGGGGGGAGAGTGACAGATTCTGTTGGCCTCATGCTTCCTTTACGAAGTCTGTTAATTGTTTCGAAAACTGCATATCCTCTCTATCAAAGAGTAATGGTTTTTGCTGTTGAAATCTTTTGATTATCACTTTGTTTAAATGAATCACTGTTATTTCTCAGTGACTTGTGTTGCTGTTTTGTTCAAGTGTGTTAAACCTTTGAGATATTTGATATAGGCTTTCCAAAATAAAATTTCAAAATCTAAAATTGCCTTTTTGACCTTAAAATAATTTTTGAACATTAAGACCTCTGGAAGTCCAAATAGGGCTCCTGCAAGTCCAAGAAAGGCATATTACGTTTCCTTGGTATGTAAAAATCATAAGAGAAACAATATCACATAAAAAGTCGTTTTAACTTATTTGTTATATTTGTTTGGATATATTATAAATATATGTACCAAAATTGTATAAGATGTCTTTAAAAAATCTGATATGCCGGCTGGGTGCAGCGGCTCATGCCTGTAATCCCAGCACTTTGGGAGGCTGAGGCAGGTGGATCACTGGAGGTCAGGAGATCGAGACCATCCTTGCCAACATGGTGAAACCCCATCTCTACTAAAAATATAAAATTAGCTGGGCGTGGTCACAGGTGCCTGTAATCCCAGTTACTCAGGAGGCTGAGGCAAGAGAATCACTTGAAACCGGGAGGCAGAGGTGGCGGTGAGCTGAGATCACACCACTGCATTCCAGCCTGGGTGACAGAGTGAGACTCCATCTCAAAAAAAAAAAATCTGATATGCCTAGGTATATATTATCAGTGATAATCCTGACTACGTTTAATTGCTGTATGTCACAGAAATAACCAAATTTCTTTGCCAATTGAGTCTTTAACCATGGCTATTCTGTCTTTTGTCACCCACAGGCAATTATTGTTTCACTGTAACTTTTCTAAAAAAGCATAATCAACTACAGTAAAAGCTTTGAATCTTATTAACAAAATGAACGAAGGATCACAAGTACACTTAAATGAGGGTTTCTGATAACTTTGGAGATCATCCTATTAGACTACTTAAAAACTTCCAGAACTTTAAAACAAAACCAGAACCAAAACTGATGTGTTCATGAGGATTGCTAACACAACATTAAACAGAGTGAGAACTAAATACATGAACTGATACTGGACTGAAATAACTTGTATAACTTTTTGTTTGAAACATTGCTGATCACATTTTGTTTACAGAGTAAAAAAGTCTTTCTTTTTTTCTTTTAAACTATTTACAGCTTACAGCAATTGGGTAAACTATACTTTTGTGAGCAAAACTTAAACATTTACCTTTCCCTTTACCTTATTTCTCCAGAATTCAGAAACCATTCATGAGTATTCTTATTTTATGGTGACAGAGTTATTTGCATAAGTTCAATAAAAGTCTATTTTCTTTTGTAATAGGACTTGACTGGAGGCACTGGTCATTTTATCAAGGCTTTGATAATGAAATGGCATATTTTTAGATATAACCAGACTGCCTTGAGGAACTGACGTTGACTTTATAGGGCCAGTAAATAGTACCTTGGAAAGACTGGCATGGTCACTTGCTTACAAGGTTCCCTTACAAGATTCCTGACCTTGCGGCAAGCACAGAACATCACTTTCAGACAGGCCTAGGAACCTAAAGATATTTTGGGAACTTGAAAAGGAAGGAATTCACCCAATTCATACAGATACTACCAGCACAGTCTGATGGTCAATACTTGGCTTGGCTTCCCAGCCTCAAGAGTCTTTAAAGAGTCTAATCTGAAATTCCCTAAGAAAATATTCTGGCAAAACCAACGTAGAAGGAACCCATGTGGCCAGTCATTATTATTGCTGCACTTTATGCAAATAACCAGGCCTAACATAATAAAACTAAAACTTATTTTAAAAATAAATTGGGCCTACTATGATTTATCTTTGGTAAAACTGGGGGACTGGAGAGAGAAAATTTATGTTCCAACTGCACACCTGTTATTAGATTCTAGCGCTGACCATTGTTTTTGAATTTTTATTATTTGCTTACAACTTAGGCTGAATTCTGAATTATTTCCTGGCTCCAAGAAGTCTCTAAAGAAGAACCTAAATTTAATTTTATTCATGAAGTTTTTAGTTGACTTCCTAATAGAATAGGTTCTCTTTTTTTCATTCTGGCTTGAAAATTTTCTTCTTTATTAAAATCCTTATATGCACTATATTTCTACTCTTCAAATTATCAATGTTATGCATGTCTTATTGTTTTACTTCTGAGAAAACTTAAACTGTGGCATTCCAAAGACTAGAGATGATTCAATAAGCAACAGCAGCTATGAAAATCAGAGACTTGACTGAAGGCTCATTTCTGCCACTCTGCAACACTGTCCCAACTCAGCTACTGGGCGCTAACACCATCCCAACTCAGCCATACTGGGGAGTCTCCGCCATGTGACTGTTAGCCAACTCTCAGCCTACTGGGACCCTCAGCCATGTGACTGTTAGCCATGTCCCAGACTACTGGGGGGTCTCAGGCATGTGACTGTTACCCATGTCCCAGCCTACTAGGGGGTGTCAGCCATGTGACATTACCCATGTACCAGCCTATGGGGGAGTCTCAGCTATGTGACTGTTACCTATGTACCAGCCTACTGGGGGGTCTTAGCCATGTGACTGTCAGCCATGTCCCTGACTAACCTGGGTTGGGGAGGTCTCAGCAATGTGACTGTTACCCATGTCCCACATTACTGGGTGGCGGGAGGTCTCAGCAATATGACTGTTAGCCATGTCCCAGACTACTGGGGGGCATCTCAGCCATGTGACTGTTAGCCATGTCCCAGCCTACTAGGGGGTCTCAGCCATGTGACTGTTAGCCATGTCCCACACTACTGGGTGGGGGGAGGTCTCAGCCATGTGACTGTTAGCCATGTTCCAGCCTACTAGGGGGTCTCAGCCATGTGACTGTTAGTCTTGTCCCAGTCTACTGGGGGGTCTTAGCCATGTGACTGTTACCCATGTCCCAGCCTACAGGGGGTCTCAGCCATGTGACTGTTAGTCTTGTCCCAGTCTACCGGGGGGTCTTAGCCATGTGACTGTTACCCATGTCCCAGCCTACAGGGGGTCTCAGCCATGTGACTGTTAGTCTTGTCCTAGTCTACTGGGGGGTCTCAGGCATGTGACTGTGAGCCATGTCCCAGCCTATGGGGGGTCTCAACCATGTGACTGTTAGCCATGTCCCAGCCTACTGGGGGTCTCAGCCATGTGTCCTTCAGAGTTTTATTGGTGTTTCCACCCACTTTCATGATGAAACAGCTGTGGTCAGGGCTTCACTTCTGCTACTTCTTGTTGCAATAAAAGCCACTGAGCTCCAAGCTGACCAGAAGCTGTCCTTGGAAATCCAAGTGTTTTCCTCTATGAAAAAGATTCTGATCAGAGAGACAGACCCTACCCACCTCCTTTCCACTTCCTACCTCTCCTTAGGTCAACTCTTAAGAAAGGAGGCAGATGCCTGGAGCTAAGTAGGCTCTGCCTCTGACTCACAGCACAATGTTTCTTTTGGTCAAAATTTTCTGAATCTGTTAAAATGTGTGGACCTGGGGTAGATCATGTCTAATTTACAGGGTTATTGAGAAAAGTAAGGGGTTGGCTCATGAGTTTTACAAAGTGAATGTGCCCTATGAATGAAATGGCCTTGAGCGGCGGCACTTCCTGCTTGGATCTGGGCCTTCCTCTGAGCCCTCTTTCAAAAGGTGGAGGGTGGGATATTCATGAAAGCAATCCCTGCTCAGTGACGTTCAGTGGCAGGGGCCCTTCCCAGGTTCCCACGTGCAAAGTGCCCCCAAATCATTGGGCAGCGATAGGTTCCCTTGTATCAACCCCAAGCAGTAGAGGGGAGCCTCCAAGACCACAGATTACTCAGGTACCCCAGTAGGAAAGGAGCCTCTGAGGACTCTGCACCAGAAGGGTAGAAGGAGGGGGAGAGAGAGAGAGACAGAGTGAGAGAGATAGAGACAGAGACAAAGAGAGAGGTGGTCAGAGACTCAGGGAGTTGAATCTGGTACCAGATGTCTTCAAAACCATCTAAGGAGGCCATATTAATTTTTATTATTTCTCCTGGGGCCAACTCAGGTTTAAACAGTTAAAGTGTTATGGGGTCTGCATTGGAACTCCAGCTCCATTCCCTTTCAACCTCAGTTCCTCTCTAGGAAATGAAGTCCCAGGACGCACCTGACCTGGTTTCTGGGGATGTGGATTTTCCCTCCTAGGGCCCTAAATATTCCCGTGTCTCTGGCTTTGGGGGAGTTAGCTGCTGACACTCCAGGGTTGCCTCTGGAGAGCAGTCTTCATTCTGACTTGCCCCTGCTGCAAGTGAAGTTTTGTGACTGAATGCTTTAACTTCAATTTACCATTTTGAAAACTTTAGTTACTGAATGATAATACACTTGCTTGTTGCCACTGCTTAGAAAAAAGATTTGATTCAACTATATTTTTTTGTTAGTTTGAATATTGTGTTTCTGGATGCAGCTATTGAGAGACTTAAAACCAAAACAAAGATGTTGTGTTCAAACATCCTAAAAGTAGTCAACTCATTTTTCTGGAATGAATCGACTATCCAGCCTTCTATCAAAGGTTATTAATTTTAAAAATGGAAAGAGAAGAGAAGGAAGGGAAGGAAAGAAGAAAGGAAGGAAGGAAGGAGAGAAGGAAGGAAGGAAGGAGGGAAGGAAGAAAGAAGGAAAGGAAGGAAGGAAGGAGGGAGGAAGAAAGAAGGCTTTGCTTTTGTTTTCATTTTCTTGAGATGAGAATTTTAAAAATAATTTCAGATCTGTATTAGGGAAGGGGGCGTTGTGCTTCACATGTATCATATTAATTGTTTATGCTCTTCCTTTTGATATCCGTCTGCATGAGAACATTTAGGAGCCCCTGGTTCATGCACAGGGAGATGGGAAATTCTCTGTTGGATGACATTTTGCTGGGACTGGCCCTCCCTCCTGGCACCATCTGGCTTCCTGAAATAGTTTTCTCAGCACCCTCGATTCAGTCTTTTCAGTGATAAATGCTGTGGGCATCGATCGGTGCTCCTGCCAAGAAAACTCAGCAGCCAGGTCTCAGTATCAGAAACACCCCAATTTCCTTCTGGTCTGCCACCCCCTCCGTGGTCCTAAACACTCAGGTGCCCACGCCCAATCTTCCTCCATCTGCGGCTGGCACACTCGGCTGACTCATTGATGGCAGAGGCGTAATTTTCAGTGGGGTTTACTCTCACAGATCATTATAGAGTGAAAAATACACGGTAGTGTTTCTCCCAGAGACATGATTCTTCAGTAAAATGTGCCCTGCTTTCAAGGCACAACCTCTGCTTCATGGATATATATGTGGGAATATCAGAAACTTCTGTATGCATCTGCATGGAGTCATTAAGGTATCTCATTTTAATGATAGTAGGAACAATTTTCTCTTTAGAACTGATGAAACTCCAGTGAGCATTAAGGTATCCCATTTTCCTGACAATAGGAACAATTTTCTCCTTAGAACTGATGAAACTCCTGTGAGTATATTTGGCAGTTTCTTTAACAATAATTTGCTCCTTCTTCATTAATTTATTCATTTAAAACATTTAAGTGTACATATGTGCTGACCCTCATGCTGAATATAAAAAAGCTAAACTAAAGTTTCCCTTTGGAGGCTCAGCCTAGAGGCAAAAATGGAATTATAAAGAAATATGCAAAATATAAGCAATATACACAGAAACATGGGGGGGCCTCCCTGGGTATCTTTCGTGGGAATTGGGGAAGGGCAGCTTCCCCTGTGCAGTGAGCGCCAAGCTATGTCTCTATAATCTGACATAATTTGCATGAATAACAAACAGCACAGGATGGAAGTAAATTCTTCATTCAATAACATTTGCTTCCTCTCCACTCTTTTTTTTTAAAGGAAAAAACAGTCAAAGAGGAAGAAAAATATTTTATTTAAAAACTACTGCAACCTAAAATTTCCAGCCATTGGAATCTGTGTGAAATCATCCTACAGTCTTGAATTCTACGTGATTTTTTTCTTTCTTTTCTTTTTTTCTTTCTTTTTTTTTTTTTTTTTTGAGAAGGAGTCTCGCTCTGTCACTCAGGCTGGAGTACAGTGGCGCGATGATCTCGGCTCACTGTAAGCTCTGCCTCCCGGGTTCACACCATTCTCCTGCCTCAGCCTCCTGAGTAGCTGGGACTACAGGTGCCCGCAACCAGGCCCGGCTAATTTTTTGTATTTTTAGTAAAGATGGTTTCACTGTGTCAGCCAGGATGGTCTCGATCTCATGACCTCATGATTCACCCGCCTCAGCCTCCCAAAGTGCTGAGATTACAGGCATGAGCCACCATGCCCGGCCAATTCTACGTGATTTTTGCAAATAATGGATGGTAGGAATATTTCACTCTGCTCCCCAAGCCCCAGAACTCCTCCCTAGATTTCAGGAGAAACTCAAGTGTTCCCATCATGCACTAATTACTAAGGTAGCGTCCTGGTAGAATATTCCAGAAATATTTTCAACAACTACTAAAAGGAAACTTGTTTCATGGTTACCACTCATTTCACTAGAAAATCAACTTACTAGGAATATTGTTTTCTCTGGCACTCCTGGTTAATTGATGTATTGAGATAATAAAATGTTCCTATTTCTTAAGACAACATATTGCTAACATCCAAGATTTGCAATAGCTATGAGTTTCAACTCAGAATTCATTCCCGTGGACTCCTTAAGTCTTGCATTAGCTTCTAGAGTTTTCATTTCCCAGCTGCCATGTTCTAACTTTCTGTATATCTCATACGTTGATAAATGCACAACCTCAGTGTGTGAAGGTGACTTCTGAAAATGCCCACGGTCACCCATCACCCATGCACTAAGTGTTTGCAGTTATCCACATATGTGTTTCCTACTCTGTGGGATAAGGTGGGAAATGCTGTCATCCTCATCTGTGTCCCCTCTTCTTCCTGTGTAAGCTGTGAGGCCCTTGCCTGCACAGAGCCCAGGGAGCTGAGGGGCCCAAGCGACGTGCCCAGGGCCCTCGGGTCACTGCTCTTGTGAGGTCCCTACCTCTGTCTACCCAAGTTCCTCCCTCTCATCCCAGGGGTGCCACGGAGGGGCCTTGGGCGGCTCTGAGATCCAGCACGGGAAATGGAGGTGGAGGTTTTTTTAGTTTGGGTTTGTTGGGACATATTTATGTGCCCTACACTCATTTCTAAGTGTAGCTAGGTTGCTGTATTTGCAGTTTTACATTTTTTTTTCATAAAAAATTTCCACAAATTGTTTAAACTACAAGTCCTACGAATCTGGTATCCATCCCTGTGGCCTCTGTAACTCCCTGGGGCGTTCTCTTTTCCACCAACCCACGATGGAAATAGATGCAATCCAAACAAAGCATCACAAGGCAGCGATGCCGGTCTCAAAGCCTGTGTCCCACCTGAATCTAACATATTTCAAGCCTCTCTGTCTTAGGTGACCTGATACTGGTCTCAAAGCCTGTGTCCCACGTGAATCTAACATATTTCAGGCCTTTCTGTCTTAGGTGACCTGATACTGATGCTCCTTTCATTAACAGATAATCAAGAGCTGACTGATCATTAACAAATAAAACACAAATACATTTAACCTCAACAGACACTGTCAAAAGGGTGTTTCAGATGCCATGGGAGCTGCTGGAGGTCCTGAAGCCTGAGCCCCGGGGATGACAGAGGCTCAGAAAGCCACGGGGACACCGCAGGCGTGAAACCCTCATGGCCACCGTAGACCTCCGGCACCCTCACAGTATGAGACTCAGAGCTCCACAAGATTAAGGCAGCAAAAGGTTACGGTGCTCCTCCCCGGTGATGGCGCCCAAGGCAAACAGCTGCATAAATAAACAAACCAGAGGAAGAACATTCTATTTTCATCCCTGATCCATTCACATCCAAGCCAGTGAAATACCAGATGGAAACTGATGTCAAGCCTCTCTCTCCGCGTTCCCACCTTGCTGGTGGCTGACGACCCCAGGATGCGGCTCAGGGCAGCCTGCTGAGAGGTCAGCGCCTTGCCTGCTCAGGCACTGCGGTCAGCACGAGTGCCGCTGCCTCATCGCTCTCCCCCAGCCCAGGAGCCACAGTGTCTGTACCATCTGCATTCAGGTTTTGCTTTTGTCAATTTCCAAAACATAAAAATGTCAAACAATCCCATACAATTTCCGTTGTACTTAAAAGCAACTATAAAGTGTCATTTCATTGAGATCAATGAAGAGAGGATCAAAGTTGACCTAAACTTTCACGTATAAAAATGCCATGTGTGACATGTTGCTCAGATTAATTCCATCAGAGAAAAAAATGTGTGCAAAGTATTGACAATCTGTTTCCACACCGTATGTGTTCATGAGTCTATTTTTTAAAATTTATTTTTCAGTTTAGTAAATTTAATCTTTAGTCTTATTAAGTTTATATTAAACTGGCTTGTGGGCAACACATTTATACATAAAATATGGTAAAAGTCAACACCTGTCAATAGTACAATGTCACCTCCAGGCAATGAATTTAAAAGGTCTAAGGTCTTTAATTAACAAAGAAGTTTGTTCTCCATATTATAGTCAATTTATCACATACAGTGTGCAAACAAAATACAGTTTGTAAAACCCTTCCTTTAAATTTTGACTTCTGGTATATTTTAAAATAATGATTTCCTGCTAATATTTACTAAGAAGCTTGTACATTTTAGTAAAATCAAATACTTTGTTTCAATGGTCACCATTTTAGGATATAAACGTCTCTCTAACAGGAAACATCCTATACAGATTGAGCATCCCAAAAATGAAAATCCAAACCCTGAAATGCTCCAGAATCCCAACCTTCTCCAATGCTGGCCTGATGCTCAATGCTCCAGAATCCCAACCTTCTCCAATGCTGGCCTGATACTAAATGTTCCAGAATCCCAACCTTCTCCAATGCTGACCTGATGCTAAATGCTCCAGAATCCCAACCTTCTCCAATGCTGACCTGATGCTAAATGCTCCAGAATCCCAACCTTCTCCAATGCTGGCCTCATGCTACATGCTCCAGAATCCCAACCTTCTCCAATGCTGGCCTGATGCTAAATGCTCCAGAATCCCAACCTTCTCCAATGCTGACCTGATGCTAAATGCTCCAGAATCCCAACCTTCTCCAATGCTGGCCTCATGCTACATGCTCCAGAATCCCAACCTTCTCCAATGCTGGCCTCATGCTACATGCTCCAGAATCCCAACCTTCTCCAATGCTGGCCTCATGCTAAATGTTCCAGAATCCCAACCTTCTCCAATGCTGGCCTGATGCTAAATGCTCCAGAATCCCAACCTTCTCCAATGCTGCCCTGATGCTAAATGCTCCAGAATCCCAACCTTCTCCAATGCTGGCCGGACGCTAAATGTTCCAGAATCCCAACCTTCTCCAATGCTGGCCTCATGCTAAATGTTCCAGAATCCCAGCCTTCTCCAATGCTGGCCTGATGCTCAATGCTCCAGAATCCCAACCTTCTCCAATGCTGGCCTGATGCTAAATGCTCCAGAATCCCAACCTTCTCCAATGCTGCCCTGATGCTAAATGCTCCAGAATCCCAACCTTCTCCAATGCTGGCCATATGCTACATGCTCCAGAATCCCAACCTTCTCCAATGCTGGCCTGATGCTCAATGCTCCAGAATCCCAACCTTCTCCAATGCTGGCCTGATGCTCAATGCTCCAGAATCCCAACCTTCTCCAATGCTGGCCTCATGCTAAACGCTCCAGAATCCCAGCCTTCTCCAATGCTGGCCTCATGCTAAATGCTCCAGAATCCCAACCTTCTCCAATGCTGACCTGATGCTAAATGTTCCAGAATCCCAACCTTCTCCAATGCTGCCCTGATGCTAAGTGCTCCAGAATCCCAACCTTCTCGAATGCTGGCCTGATGCTCAAAGGAAATGTTCATTGGAACATTTTGCTTTTTGGATTTTCGGATTTCAGATGCTTAATCAGTACCTAATCCACAAATATTCCAAAATCTGAAATCCCAAACACTTCTGGTCTCAAGCATTTCAGATAAGGGATATTTGACCTCGACAGGCTCTTTCGGCGTATTTATTGCCTAATTTTCAGGAAGGACTCGTGCTTCAGGACCTATTGGTTTATTTTTGTGTGCATGGGAGGGGTGGAGATTTTTACCAGCGGACCCTCTGAGCTGTACTTTATGTGTGGGTGGTGGCAGAATAACCCATGCCCCATGCCGCATACCTTCGTCTCAATCTGTTTGGTGTCCAGATTCTGAAACAGCAGCTTTACTCGAGTTTTCCCATCATCTGAAGATCCCTTAAGCTGGGAAAATTTAAATCTCCAGAGCACATTCTGTAAAGGAATAAAATTAATTAGCGATTTCTAAACAAGAGCTCATTTATTTAATTAGCATCTGTTACTACATTAAACAGCCTCGTTAAATCAACAGACATTCACTTAATGTTTAAATCGACGTTTAGCATGTGATGATTTGTCTGTCTCTACTTTCTCATTCTTCAATCTTTGCAAACTGACCTCCTCCAGCCCACTCAACTCTCCCGCCCCACAGTCCAGCCTCCAGTAGCTGCCCCACATGTCTTGGGGATGCATCAGCATCCACGGTCCTCAGTCCCACGTCACCTGCAGTCGACCCCTCTGGTCTTCCCTTGTGTTTTCCTGTACACAGCCTTAAAACATCCTATGAGCATTGTTCCTTTTTCTGCTTGGAGAACTTCAGAAAAAATCACTAAAAGTTCCAGTTCTTCCTATATTATATAAGACATAGTCAAAAGTGCAGATAAAATGAAAAACTTTAATCCTGACTGACACCACCCCATCTATGGCTATATGTGAAACACTAAACCTTAGTTTTTCATGAACCAATTTGAAAAATGTAAAATTAAAAATTAAAAATATCGCCTTTTAATACTACTGCAAAAATCACTTAATGTTTGCTATGGTACGTTAAAGATGAAATGTACTCTACAAACTCTTACTCCCATAAATAAAAAAGGCTGCAGCAAAGAAAGACGTAATGGATGTCTTCTATAAAAGATAGTCTTTAATTATAGATACTTCATTATAATAAATATTTATCTTCCCAGGAAAATTCCACCAGGGAACAGTAATTTTTTTTTTGGCAAGCCATACGTCAAATTTCCATTAAAAGCTTTTATTTTTAAACAATGAACATATTTTTCTCTAAGTGTCAGGAGAGACAAAGGGGCTGCAGAAAACAGGGAAGAAGTTTCAAGAACATTTCTATCCCATCTGACCATTGACGGGTTTATTTCCCGCCCACACGCTAGCCTCAAGATTCTTGGCCACATCTTTTTCTTTATATTAAATCCAGGAGCTAAATAGAATCTCCGCATTTTACGCCAAAGTGTCAAAGCACATGTTTCCTCTAGGTTTTGGGAAATTTAGAACTTCATAGGATCTTAGGGAATAGTTTCTCTGTCTCTTCCACGTTCACAGTGAGGAAACTGAGCCCACACCCACCTGGACAGACTTTGGGCATCAGGATCCTTTTAGCATTAGAATTGCCAGACACTATCTAGAAAGAGAATATTCCAAAATCATGCTTCAGTCACTGCTTCCCATGTGATATGGTTTAGCTGTGTCCCCACCCAAATCTCATCTTGAATTGTTATGGGAGGGACCTGGTGGGAGGTAACTGAATCATGAGGGCAGGTCTTTCCCATGCTGTTCTCGTGACAGTGACTAAGTCTCACATGATCTGATGGTTTTATAAGGGGCAGTTCCCCTGCACACTCTCTCTTGCCTGCCACCACGTAAGACATGCCTTTGCTCTTCCTTTGCCTTCTGCCATGATTGTGAGGCCTCCCCAGCCATGTGGAACTGAGTCCATTCAACCTCTTTTTCTTTATAAATTACCCAGCCTTGGGTATTTCTTCATAGCAGTATGAGAATGGACTAATATCCCGTGGTTGTCAATTCCAGAAGTGAAGCATGTGTATCCATTCTTGTCGCGAGCAGAAGAGAGCGTGATGTGAGTACTGGGGCACTGAGGCAAGCCCCAGAAGCAGATGGCAGCCACAGCTGGCCTGGAGGGCCTGTCCCAGTGAGGGAGCTGCCCGAGCCACTCCTGCCCTGCTCCACCCACTGCACCTGCCTCCGGAGAGCCTCTTCCCACACTCCACACCAATTCCACCTTGCCTAGGCAGCGCCAAAGCACCTTCTCTGAAAGCTGTTAAGTGAAGGCTGTGACTTCAGCCCCTTAGATTCAGGTAAGTCTCATCTGCCTTTAAAAGGACCTATTATCCATCATTTGTAGGAGGGACCTGTGATCATAGGTATGTGCTCATCCATCAGGAGAAGCCAGGCAGTCTTGGCTATTGAGGTTTTGCCTAATTTCTCACAAAATAAGCAACAAACGACTCTGTGAGCAGCAGTAAGAGTCTTTGGTTCAAATTTGATTTTGAAGAAAGAGCGCAGTAGTGGTCTACCCCTATTAGGATAGGGTCCTGGGAATAACCTAAATTAATATTTTGCATGGTATTGTAAACTGCTATTAAAACATTATATACAAAAAGTGCAAAAATATCTATGTAAAAGTCCTGTTTATTGTTTAAAGAATTCAAAATGGTCCTCACAGTGAAGTGATTTAGGTATATGATTATTGTCTTTATGGTCCATTGATATTGCACTGCAACTGTACTCAATATTTGCAGATTTGAGAATAACCCTTCCTCATGAGGCATACATATCCAGTATATATGCTTAAAATTATGTCCTAATTTTACCATCTAGCTCTTGTCTGGGTGATGGAGGACAAGGATCTCGTCAGCTTCTCTGGGTTGGGACAGGCTGCAGCGTGGTCCAGGTACAAGTTGGGGCTCCATGGGCGCAGGCGTGACTCTCTTTCTGCCCTTCTCAGAGCTGTGTGGCCGGACGTGGTGGCTCCTCTCATAATCGTCCCTTCCAAATCGCCTGTGGTGGCCTCTTTTAACTGTTTCACAGATTTTCTCTTCTGCACCTGAAAACAGCAATGTTTCTGTAGAAAAGGAACTTGTTTTTCCATTATGGATGGCATTTCTGCACACTTTATGTAAAAGTGGACTGGGTAACAGTTTAATTTCACAATTCTGAGCCCTTCTCCAAAGCGCAATTGGACATTCTAGGTCGGAATGTGGCATGTGCTCCACTCACAGCTCCAGAGACGCTGTTGGGCAGTCAGTCACATCAGAGCCATTTTTTTTGCTCCACATCCTGGGGGATAAACTTGGGTGGACCCATCCTCCCGTGGCACAGATAAAAGCTGAAGGGAAGCCGGATTTTTAGTTCTCCCTCTTGGAAGACAGAAAACATTTTTCCATAGTTTTAGTAATTAAAGAGCAGCTTTGCAGTTCAGTGCATGTTACATGAAACATGCTAATGTTTACCTATTACTGTGATGGTTTCAGGTTGTTAAAGATGATAATCACATCTCACTTCCTTTGGAACACATTCTGATTATTAATATACTGACAATGGAAGGTAATACTTCCTCTGCAACACAGTCTGATTGTTAACACACCGATCATGGAAGATAATCCTTGAATCCTTCACGGTGGAGATGCCACAGGCAGTACCAGGCAACTCCATGACAAGGACTTGGAGGTGCTCTCAGTTCAAACCTAATTCGTTTCTTGATGTTTTCCTGGGAGCTGTGGAGACATTTGCTTCTCTTCCTCATCAGGCCAAAGGCAAGTCTGCACTTCGTCTTCCACAACAAACAATTCCTTTTCAGCTTTTAAAAACTGATCTTTTTGTTCCTCTCCATCAACCTTAACTCAGCCCCACAGGAATCCTGTTCCTAGCTAAGGAGCAGGTCCCATGGGGGCCAGGACAGCACCAGGACACTCTTGTGAGAGTCTGCACCAATCGCTCTAAATACAGAATCATAATTTGCTGCGGTGTGGGAAGTGGCCTGGTGGTAGATTTAGAATAGAAGTTACCATTTAGAGACAAGGCTAGCTTTTCAACGTGTCCCCAAGAACGAGTGAATCCTGCGGTGGTTCTGCCTCTCCAGCAGCTCTTGGTCCTACACGTATGGCCAGGCTCCATCCTGGGATCCGTGGAGGCTGAGGACTCAGGCGGCACCCCTCCTGGACCCAGGCTGCCTGGTGCCCACCCAGGGTCAGCCTCCCCTTCTCCCTCACCATTGTGGGTTCTATTCTTGTCGATGTCCTCTCCCACTTCTGATTAATTACATGGAACAGGAGGGAAGTCAGTGCTAATCCAGAGAGTGAGAAGAGGATGTGGACATCGTCCAGAGGCCCCGCCGGCCTGGACTGCGCTTGGACGGGGCAGGAGACCCGCCTGCGTGGGGCAGGGACGCCCTCCATCTCTAGCAGCTAGGGGGTGTTCTAGTTTATCCTCTTTAATTAAAAAAAAAACTTTGCATCGAGAGATTTAGGCCATATAGATTAGATAATGGTCTTCTCATTTATTTTGTAAGTGCAGAAAATATTTTCATGGTCAAACACATTTTTTTTCCTGCTTACCTCCTTTCTCAACATTGAAAATAGATAGTTGATGGTGAATGGATTCAGCCTGGGAAATAATTGCTTGTCTTTATCTGGCAAGCAGAAGTGGGCAATCAAGAAATCTGACCACACACAGGCTTCGAAGGAGGATGTCCCTGCAAATGAGTTGGGTTGGCCTCCCAAGTCCAGAACCTCTTTCCTTGCAAGAGTTTGGTGAATAGGCATTGTTGCCATGTCATGGTCTAGTTTTGACCCAGAAATAATACACAAATGTCCTCAGTTAACAGGATAGTGTGGTGTAAAAGTGCTAATTATCTTGTGAATATAAGCATGGTAACTCCCAATCTAAGTATTTGTAGGCACAGAATCTATTTGATTTTTTTATAATGACTAATAAGAGGGCATGTGGGTACCGGAGAAAGTAACATTTTAAATAATTATTTAGAAGCATTTCATATTCAATAATATTTATCTTCATAATTCTTTCATCATATCATTCATCATATTGATGTTCCTATCAATATACAAATAATCGAAAGCCTACTGACGCCAAACTCACAAATGTCATCCTACATTGACATGAGTGACAAGATGCCAAATAAAGGAAAATTATAAACATTTTATGAATTTACAACCCATTGGTTTATCCTTCACAGTTAAGGTGGGAAAGCTTTTCTTCAAAAAAATTAATTCAAATATTGCAAATTCTAAAATAAACTACAAGGAACAATTGTTTATGTTGTCATGTGCTATTTTCAGGTTCAGTTGTTGTCTGAATGGACTCAACAAGGAGTTAGGCCAGAACTCCTTGAAATAAAGAAATAATCACGAGAAAAATGTGAGGTCAAGTGCTCTCCTTCAAAGGAAAATAGGTCAGCAGGTCAGGGCCTCTGAGCCTCAGGTTCAGACCAGCAAAAAGACGTCTTCATTGAATCTTTACACAAAGTTGACCTAGAGTGGAGAGGACAGCGAGCAGAGAAGAACCTCAGCTGAGGAGGTGAAAAGTTCCTCCCTGGAAGCAGAGAGAGCGGGTAGAGGGCTGGAGCTGGCCCAGATGCCCCCGGACCGCCGGCATGCTTACTCTAGCACTGCCCAGGTCATTTTGGGTGAGGGATACGCACGCTGTCAAGCAAAAGGAGGCACTCCAGGCTGTAGACAAATGCGCTTTAATTATAGGAGCTCAGCTGAGTTGGACGGTCTGGTTACCAAGGATTTAAAACACTGCTGCTTTACCCTAAGGGCTCACAACCCCATCTTGCACAGCATTAAGAAACAAATTATAGCTATTTTAAAAGTTGACTGGATTGATTTTAGGGCTGACTCTGGAGACAGTTCTGTCTGAAATGATAGGAAGTGCCCCATGAGGCCCCAAGCCCGGCTCTGCCTGACTGTGCCTGGCATTGACCACGCCAGGGAAATGGGAAAAGGCTCCGGAGAAGGATGGTGATGCCCTTGAGGAGGAAAGGCACAGGGCAGCCCAGGAAGAAAGGAAACTCACCGGGGAAATGAAGGTAGGAAATGTGTCTTCATGTTGAGCAATGGCCTGGAAACTCACAAACATCACTCCCACCCAAGGAACCCCATGGCCACTCCAGGTGAAAATCAGCCCCTGCAGGTACGGGGCTCAGGGCTTGGCTGAATGTGGTGATGGATGTTCTTTTCATTTTTGCAGACTCAGTTGATCTTCCTGTGCTGAGACCCTCTAGCAGAATCACAACAGAGAGACACGTGACCTCTGGACACTATGCTGAGCCCCGAGCATGGGTGAGAGGCGCTGGCTGGGAAGGGCCTGTGAGTACATTACCCACAGCAACACAGGTACAGATAAATGCCCCTGGTGAGTGCTGGCCCAGGCAATGGGGCCGGTGGGCCAGCGTTTCGCTCCTGGAAAGGAGGAGCTCACAGGCTCCTTCCAGTGGAGGGACACACAGGACCCCAGGGGCTGCAGTGAGGGGGCTACGCAAACCTGCTCTAAAGCAGAATTTGGATTCTCCTTTCAGATTGCCTGGAACACTTCATTACTTGAAACACAGAGCAAGAAGCAGAAGTTACAAATCAGGTGTTCTCTTTAAGAAGCTGTATGGAGAGTTTGTCCTTACACTTGAATAGTTGCTTCATTACCTCCCTTATCTCAGAAGGACATGCACAGTAAGGTTATGAAGAACTGGCTTCCAAATAATATTAAGAGCAAGTCACCTAGACTGGAACCAGCAGGTCCATATGGCAGACCAGGGACAGCGGGAAGAACACCTAAGTGGAACCCTGAAGCTACTTCCCACTCTGTGACTTTAGGGTCCATAGAATTATGGACCTGGATACTGGATGGCAGATGTGAAATCCCTTCTTCTTATTCAATGCTTATGCAAATATGTGCTATTGTCATTGCAAACATGGTATGTGCCCTGGAGGGGAACAATGACTCCATTAAATTTTCTGGCCCTGGAATTCCGTAAAGGAAGTAGTCCATGGCCCTAGCCCAGGTTTTTCAGCCTCCACACTATTGCCCAGTAGGCCCTGGAGATGCCCTGTGTGGGGCCCTGTGCCCAGAGCGGCATCCCTGGGCTCCACCCTGCAGGTGCCCTGGATATCAGCAGAAACTCCCACCAAGTCCTGACAATAGAAAGTGTCTCCAGACATGCCCAAGTGTCCCTCGGGGGCAAAACCACCAGTTTGGGAGACCCTGCCTAGGAAAGGTTTTTGTCTTGCTTTTTGTAGAGAGGCCACACAGTGAGAGGCTTCTCAGAAAGAAGGCGCAGTTCCCAGTGCTCATTAACCTACAGATTCAATGACCAATTCACTGCAGAGGGCATCCAAAGGTTCTCGAACACAGAAGTTAGGAAATGACCATGAGATAACAAACGGGGCTCTATTTTGTAAAGGGGGTGCAGCCCGATTTGGGATTGCTAATAAAAGACAAGTAAGTCTTTCAACTCGATTTGTTGAAATTTTTTTTAACAACCGTATTTATCTTACCAACACTTTCCATTTCACTCATTCTTAATTAACACAGAGAGTAGGTTTTAAAAAATATTATGACAAAACAGTGGATTGTCCTCACAAAGCATTTCCTTAACACTTACGTAGTTAGGAGAATACTCAGATGGGGTGGAAATGGGTCTCACTCCCTTCCTAATGGCAGCTGTACATTCCTGGCATCCGCCCTCCACAAATTCCCCCAGGCACAGGCACTGTTCACCGCTACCACGAATGTTCAGATGGAAGGCAGGCAACGATGAGTGTTTTTTTTCAAAGCGTTTACTCAAGTGTTGTGGGTCCCTCCTTAGCAGCAGCATCTTCAACTTCCCTATCCACCCACCTGACCCTGCTGTGAATCCTATTGGCCAGACACCCTCAGGGCTTGTGGCGATCCTGGGGCCCTGAGCTATCAGAAAAAAAAGTCTATGAAAGCAAGGCCTCTGCACGATACACAATCCAGCAAGGTTGGTGGCTTCTACCAGACATGCGTGAGTGTTAACGCCCATGGAATGTAACCAAGCACATGGCAATGGGGCGGCATGGATGCCTGCTTGGCCTCTTACCTTGGTCTTACTCTCAAAACAGGTAAATCCCAACGCGAAATCCACCGTGAAACACAGCATCTCTCCTTGCCAGCTGCACATGTATGTTCTGGACTAGAAAAAAGTATCAATTTTGAGAAAACATTCTTTAATAATGCTGTTTAACTTTAATTAGGTAGTCTCCATATTAACCCCCCTTTGGTCAAAAATTATAAAATGCTCTCATATGCAAGTTACGGGGAACAAAACAGGAGGATGCAGGGTCCCGGGAGACCCACAGGAACAACTGCATACAGGTTCTTTCTTGCTTTTTGTCAAGAGGCAAATATTTCCAGCTCGGTGAGGTGGGGAGTGTTTACAGGCATTGCTCTAACTCAGAACAAATGCACAGAGCCCAGCCAATCTCTATTCTCCTACGCGTGTTTGAAAACACAGTAAACCACTGAATTTTCTTTCTGCTAGCTCATTGTACCTATTGGGGAATATGTTCACTTTTCTTTGCATGAGGCCCACAAGCATGTTCCGGCAGAAGCTGGAAGCGGCACTTTCCTGAGAAAATTCTGAAGAGCAGTACAATTTACACCGCCACCAAGCAGCAGCGCAGTACTGCAGGGATACCACCAAAAACAAACAAAAACTACATCGGTCACACGGTGCGAGAAGGTCTGCAGTCTGAAGCGCATCCCACCCGCGGCCGGTGGTTTGTGCGGAGGGCGGCCCGGACCAGCACGTGCCGCTTCTGAGGGGAAGCCCGGGTTGGGTTCTCTGCTCCTGGGCTCTGCCCGGAAGGTCTCTGGGCTTCAGGCTGCGGAGCCCGTGAACACCTGCCAATGCACTCGCAGCCATGTTGGTTGAAAGCGAGATTTGTGCTTTAAATGTTTTCATGCGACTCCAGACGAAAGAAGCAGGGACCCTAATAACTTGGTAAAAGTTATTTTTAACAATCTCTGTAATAAATCTGCGGGTAAAATGTTCCCATTTAGAAGAGAAGCGGAGCCATTGCTTTGAGCTGGAGAAATACAGCTGTGGGTTCTGGGCCTGTCTCTGAGCCACCCTGTGACATCCAAACACGTTACTCTTGTGGGAAATGGGTGCTTGATGCCTACACTCTCTCTCTTTCCCTCCTTCTCTCTCTTCTCTCTCTCGCATACACACACACACACACACACACAGTACACGGCTCACACACACCACACACACTCACACACAGACACAGTGCACCGCTAACACCATATATACACACACACATACAGAGTGCATGGCTCATACACCACACACACACACACACACACACAATGCAGGGCTGGCACACACACACAGTGCACGGTTCACATACCACACACACACTTATACACAATGCACGGCTCACCCACCACAGACACAGACATACAGACACAGACATACAGACACACAATGCATGGCTCACACACCACACACACACACACACACACAGCACATGGCTCCCACCACACACACAGAGCACATGGCTCACACACCACACACACACAGTGCATGGTTCACACACTCACACATTCCCCCACACACACAGTCCATGGCTCACACACCACACACACACAGCACATGACACACACCAGACACACACAGTGCATGACTCTCACTCCACACACACCCACAATGCCCGGCTCACACCCACACAGCCTACAGCTCTCACACAGCATGCGGCTTACACACGCACACACACAGTGCGGGGCACACAGCGCACAGCTCTCTGACACACACAGTGCATGGCATACACACGTGCACGCACACAGCGCGGCTCACAGCGCACTGCTCTGACACAGCATGTGGCTCACACACACAGAGTACACAGGTGACACACAGCACATGGCTGACACACACAGTGTGGCTCACACAGCGCACGGCTGACAGTGCATGGCACACACACACACACACACACACACTCACACCCTGGCCGAGGGAGGCTGGAGCCAGTCAGGTCTCAAGTCTCAGGTCTCAGTCCCCAGTCCTCAGTCCTCAGTCCTGCCACGGCTCCGCTCCATGGGCTGCCCACACTGCCTGACAAGACCTCCACTGTCCCCCCGCTCCTGCTGTGCTCGGCCCTGTGGCTGCATAGCTCGGGAGGCTCTTCCTCACTTGTCTCTCATTCTGCTATTGTCCTTTTCCTGGATAGCTGAATGCGTGCCTTCAACATCTTCATGCCTGTCAACCTTTCCTTAGAGATTGTCACAAACACAGTAGCTCAAGTCCCTGCCTCTCCCCTCTTAGAGGAGAGCAGATGGTGGGGGGCCCAAAAGGCTGGAAGGACCCATCTGCCTTGGGCTTCACACAGCTCCTGACCCTTCCAGGATAAACGGGGATCCAGCCAACGCCACACACACAGCCGGCGGTCACAAATACTCTACACACTGTTGGCATTGGCGATGAGAGTCCGAGAGCAGATCACAATGAGTGGTGGCTGAAAAGCACAGTACCAGCCAGCTCCCCTTGCCCACCTTCCATAAACCTGACCCAGAGTGTGATAAGGACTGAGGTTCTATGTGAAAGGCCACAGGAGGTGACATTCTCACAGCTCAGGTTTGAAAGCTACTCAATCTCTAGAATTTAAATCTAGTGATTATAAAATAGGAAATGAAAGTATTCCAAGGGAAATTGCTACATTTTATGTAGACTAAGTAGCTAGCATCATAGGATCTGTAGAAATTGTAAACATCAGTGGCTACTGCTGAATGGCAATGCACACACATGCAGTAATTATAGCCCATCTTTACGGCACAGGACAAAGTTACTCCAGATGGCCACATAAGCACACAACGCATTTGCATAATCTCCAAAGGGGCTTAGGATGAAGGAAAAAGAGAAAGCTTTCATCTAAGGAACCTCTGGCTACACAAAATCTCATTTTCAGAATTAATCAATCAGTATCCTCCCAGACACATAGAGTGTCTCATCATTTGCATTTTTAGAACTTGAGGGAATTTTTTAAAAAAATCTGTTTCCTCATTACTGCTGTACATACAACTCCCACAAAACAGTCTTATCATAGAACTTTCCAAACACAATTCTTTCAACCTAGTGAATGAATGACATGTGGGATTATTTCCAGGCTTCCTCTATGTTTACAAATTTTCCCTTGATGCCTTGGAAGAAACTCTAATTGGCACACACACCCCAAATCCTGAAGGAAGGGTTGCCTCACGGCCCACTTCCCACATCGGAGGGAGTCTGGGAATGTTTATTTTTGTGTACTGGTTTCTTGAAAGACATCCTCATAGACTGCCCAGCAAATTTTGATAAAATTAGTAATTTAAATATTTTCCTGTAACTCAGGGAGAGAATGTCCATGTAACTCATTTGGTGTAGTCATTTGGAATTCTCTAAGATGTTGAGGCTGCAGGAACAACTTACTAGAATAACATTTGATCTACTGATGAAATTATGGAGAAAAGGTATATGCAGAACACTTCATGGTTTGTCTGAAGACAGAGGACAGTCTTTTCATACTGAACTTTATCTCCAGCACATTATATGGTGACCCATAGAAAAATGACCAACTGTAGACCACAGCTCTGGGCTTACAGCAAAGCTTCTGAATCAATTAATGAGTTCAAGAAAAAAAAAAAAGTTCTAAGTACCTCCTTCCACAAGTGACCGAAACATAAAATAGTTTTAGAACTCTTTATATGAAAATATCAAAAATGGTCTTATTAATGAAAGCTTAAAGTAAATGGCTTTGAAGTTCAGCTTTTGGAATAAAATAAACCAAGAGCAATAGCACAGAGCAATCAATATTTACAGAAACCATCAAAAATATAAAGCACAGAATTACCTGAAGAGTTAAAAAAAGAAAGAAAAAAACCTAAGAATACCAGAAATAAAACCATCTTTTTTTTTTTTTTTGAGAGAGAGAGTTTCGCTCTTATTGCCCAGGCTGGAGTGCAGTGGGGTGATCTCGGCTCACTGCAACCTCCACCTCCTGGGTTCAAGCGATTCTCCTGCCTCAGACTCCCAAGTAGCTGGGATTACAGGCGTCCCCCACCATGCCCGCCTATTTTTTGTATTTTTAGTAGACATGGGGTTTCACCATGTTGACCAGGCTGGTCTCAAACTTCTGAACGCAGTGATCCACCCGCCTTGGCCTCCCAAAGTGCTGAGATTACAGGCATGAGCCACCGCACCGGCCAAGACAAGATTTCTTTTCTGTGTTCTGAACACCAAGAACAGGATGCCACAGCCGTGCTACTCAGGTGAGATGCTGTAACTTCAGGAGATGACAGGCAAGTCGCCCCCTTTGATTTGCTCATTTCCAGTAAGGAAAATGCTCTCCCAATAGTGGGCAGTAAAGCAAGCAGCCTGGAAAAGGAACTGGAGTCGGATATAAGAGAAATAACAGCAGGCGTGCATCTGCCACGCGTAGGTCACCTAGTGCTTTCTTGAAGATTGAGTGTCTGTATTAATGGAGAATATTGGTCTGTAGTTTATTTTCTGGAGTGTTTTTGACTGCTTTTGGTATAAGGGTAATTAATGCTTGCTTCAAAAACTTGTGTTTCTCTTCCTTTTTTCTTCTAGAAGATATTATAGAGAAGATATTGGTGTTCTCTTTGACATTTGATAAAATTCTCCAGTGAAATCATCTGAACTAAACATTTCATTTTGAAAGTTTTTAAGCTACAAATAAGTTTTCTTAGTAATGGTAAGGCTACCCAAAGACTCTACAGTGATGGAGTTGTGGCAGTTCGTGGTTTACGAGGAAACAGTCTCTTCAGTTTAAGTTGCGAGATTTATATGTGTAGAGTTATTCATTGTATTTTCATTATCCTGTCGAAGTTTACACAGTCTGTAGTGATATCCCATTTCATTTATTACATTCTCAATTTTTGTCTTCTCTTTTTCTCCTCTTTTTTTTGTGAGTCTTTCTTCTAAACATTTGCCAAATTTAATGATATCTTCAAAGAAACAGCTCTTTGTTTTACTGGTTTCCTCTTCTGTTTTTCTGTTTTTGATTTTACTGATATCTGCTCTTCCTTGGGGTTTATAGTTTATTGTTTCTAGTTTATTGAGGCAAAAGCCTACAGTTTTTAGACCTTTCCTCTTCTCTAATGAATGCATGCTGTTAATGCCGTAAATTTCCTGCGCAGCCCTGATTCAGCTGTGCCTCACAAACTTTGATATATTACAGGGTTCTCATTTTCATATCCTCATTATTTTTTATTTGCCTTGAAACTGCATGTTTGACACATTGCTTATTTATAAGTGTGCAGTATCTAAGTGTTTGGAGAATTTCCTATTATCTTTCTGTTGTTGATTTCAAATTTGTTTCCATTTTAATTAACATTCTTTGTATATTTTCAGTTCTTACAAATTTGTTGATGCTTGTTTATGCCCCCAGATATGGCTGATCCTGCTAAAAGTTGCATGGACACTTGAAGATAATGTTTATTATCCCGTAGTATGTGGTGGGGGGATTCCATAAATGTTTACTGGATTCTTTTAGTTGATGGTACTGTTGAAGTCTTCTATATATTTGCTGATATTTTACCTAGTTGTCTTTCAATTGTTGAGAAGGAGTGTTGAGGCCTTCCACTGTAATTGTAGATTTTTCTGTTTTTTGTTTTTGTTTCAGTTCTCAGTTTTTGCTTCCCATATTTTGCAGCCCCGTTGTTTTGTGAATACTCACTTAGGATGGCTGGGTCTTCCCGGTGGACTGAGCCTCTCATCATCCTATAACGCCACTCTCTCTGCACCTAGTAATTTTATTTTCTCTGAAGTCTCCTTTATCTGATAATAGGGCTACTCTTGCTTTCCTTTGATCAAGGTTACATGAGTTATCTCTTTTTACTCATTTACTTTCAAACCATCTACATGGTTACCTTTGAAGTAAGTTTCTTGACTAGAGCTTGGTCATCTTGTTAATCTCCTCTGCCAATCTCTGTTTCTTACTTGGTGCATTTACACCACTTTCACTTCATGTAATTTATTGATATCTTAGGGCTGAAGACTGATATTTTATTTTTTGTTTCCTGTCTTTGATTTCTCTTTTTTTTCCTGCCTAACTGTAAGTTACTTAAACTTTTTTTTTTTTTTTTTTAGCATTCCAATTTATCTGTATTTTTTTGAGTGTCTCTTTGGATGGCCTTTTTAGAAATTGCTCTGGTTCTCTATACGCAGTTGTATACACATTCTATATACACAGTGGTCCTTCCTCCATGAGTTTAGTTGAAGTATAGAAACCTCACTCCCCTTCACCTTCCTTTTCCCTCCCCCATTTATAGTATATATATTTCAAATAGTTTCTTCATATACATTTAGAATCACATCAGACAGTGTTATTATTTTTTCTTCGACCATAAAACATAATTTAGTAAACACAGGCCGGGCGCGGTGGCTCACACCTGTAATCCCAGCACCTTGGGAGGCTGAGGTGGGAGGATCACGAGCTCAGGAGATCGAGACCAGCCTGGCTAACATGATGAAACCCTGTCTCTACTAAATACAAAAAATTAGCCAGGTGTGGTGGCACATGCCTGCAGTCTCAGCTACTTGGGAGGATGAGGCAGGAGAATCTCTTCAACCTGGGAGGCGGAGGTTGCAGTGAGCCGAGATCACACCACTGCACTCCAGCCTGGGTGACAGAGCGAGACTCTGTCTTAAAAAAAAAAAAAAAGTAAGAAAACTCAGTAGGACAAGAAATGTCTGTGGTGTCACCTGCACTCTCGCTCACCATGGCCCTTCTTCCCTCCTGATGTTCCCAGGTTCCTTCTTTCATCATTTGATTTCTGTTTAGAGAACTTCCTTTATTCTTTCTGGATAGATCTGCTGATACTAAACTCTCTTAATTTTTTTTATCAGAAAATGTTTCAATTTTTTTAATTACTAAAATATATTTTCAAGTGGATAAAGTCTTCTGTGTGCCAATTCTTTTCTTTCAGCACTTAAAACAATATTGGGACACTCCCTTCTGGCCTCTGTAGTGTCTGATGAGAACGCCACTATAATTTGAATCGTTTTTCCTCCCTAAGGGCTGTATTATTTTTCTCAGGCTGCTTTCAAGATTTGTTTTCTTTTTCTTTAGTTTTCATGAGCTTAATTGTAAGGATCTGGGTATGGAATTCTTTGGGCTTATTCTGTTTAGAGTTTGTTCAGTTTCTGGAATATGTAGGTTTACGTCTCTAGCCAATGTGGGGAAGTTTGAGGCCATAATATTTTTTGAGTACTTCTCAGTACTTCTTTTCTCCTGGACTCCAGTGATACAGGTGTTATGCCTTGGTTACATCCTGCAGGTCCCCCTGGAGGACAGCATGGCATGGGTGCAGACGGCAGCTGAGCCTCAGCAGGGCGCGGGGTAAGCAGTGACAACCACAGTGAGTATGTGGACTCTGTGACTCTCCCTCAAACTAAGTAAGGTGCCCAATCCCATGACCCTTCCCCACCATCCACTGAGAGCTCCATGCATGTCACCTTGACCCTTCCCCGCCATCCACTGAGAACTCCATGCATGTCACCTCTGGGGGATGCTGAGGCTTGAGCTGAGTGCTGTGAGAGCTCGGCAGGTCTAAAGCCATCCCATTTTACACAGCTTCAGGCTGTCGGTGGAGAATTTCCTCTCGCACACAGTCAGCCTAATGACTCATCAAATTTTCTAGGGCTCTTGAGAAGCACAATCAATTAGAGTTCCCTTAAATACCTTTTACTTAATTTTTGGACATCACTGCAGAAAATGACACATGCTGCAGTGGCGAAAAATCCAGATAATAAAGATTAAAATAGCTTTTTATAGGACAATAGCTAGTAAACGTAATTAGGATGTGATAAAACAAAATGTGGTATTAAATAGCACACTCAAGTTCATTTTCAAATATATTAAAAATTCACGCTCTAAACAAAAGCATTAAGATTAGCCTTTTAAGTATCATAGACAACATACACAAATGAAGAGCTGGAATTAATGAAGTTAAAGAAGCGATTCTGTTCATTAACAAAACAGGATGCATGGAGCTGTCGGAAGCAACATCAGGATGGGGTATGGGAAGGGAGAGAAATCACATGGGCACAGGTAGCTCTTCTGGGATAGACTGAGAGCCACCTTACAAGCAGGGGCCGGCACGGCCCAGGTGAGGTTCTGATCAATGTGCACCCTGGGGCCGCAGCTTGTGTCCAGGGGGAAATGCTGACCCACCCTGGGGTGTTGAGGGATCTTCCTGTTTTTATCCTGGGGTCAGTGAGCCCCGGGAGGCCAATGCTTTCTTCGGCCTAAAGCAGACTGGATTGTGGAAGGAGACCTGCAGAAAACGCTTTAGCTAACGAAGACCATCAGCCAAGAGTGAGTGGACTTTGAAAGGATTTTCGACAGCACTTCAGAGCGGTGATGGTAACAGTGCCGTCATTTAAAGCACCCTTCTTGCACACCCTTCAGAGCGGTGATGGTAACAGTGCCCTCATTTAAGGCACCTGTCTTGCATGCCCTTCAGAGCGGCGATGGTAACAGTGCCCTCATTTGAGGCACACTTCTTGCATGCCCTTCAGAGTGGTGATGGTAATAGTGCCCTCATTTAAGGCACCCTTCTTGCACGCCCTTCAGAGCGGTGATGGTAACAGTGCCCTCGTTTGAGGCACCTGTCTTGCACGCCCTTCAGAGCAGTGATGGTAAGTGCCCTCATTTAAGGCACCCTTCTTGCATGCCTTCAGAGTGGTGATGGTCACAGTGCCGTCATTTAAGGCACCCTTCTTGCATGCCTGGAACTAGGCTAAGTGCCTTACGTTGAATTCTCATGGTAAACTCACGAGATGGTGCTTTCATCCTCATTTTACAGATGACAGGTGGGGTTTGGGCAGGCACACAGCTTGCCAAAGGCACAGAGGACGGGCTGGTCTCTCTGTCCCTGTGTCCTGACTCCTCATTTATTGCTTCCGGCACCACAGCTCAGCATTGCAGTTGTGCTCCACGTTTCTTGTGGGTTGCTTCACAGGGATGACTTGTGTCCCTCCGAAAGTCATGCTGGAGTCTTAGCCCCCAGTATCTTATTTGGAAGTAGGCTCTTTGCAGAAGAGACCAAGGTGAGGCTGTGCTGGAGCACATGGGGCTCGAATCCTGTGACCAGTGATCTTCTGAGAAAAGGAGACAGAGACCCAGGGAGGAGAGCCAGGTGTGGAGACAGGGATGGAAGCTGGGGTGAGGAGCTGCAGATTGAGGAATGCCAGGGACTGCAGGAGCCACCCAAAGCAGGAAGAGGCAGGAAGGATCCACCTTCTGAACCTGAGGGAGTTCAGCCCTGCCAACCCTTTGATCTCAGACTTGCAGCCTCCAGAAATGAGAGGATAAATTTCTGTTGTTTTAAGCCACTTGGTTTGCGGACATTCCTTAGGGCAGCCCTGGGAAATGTGCGCAGGGCTAGACCAGCAGGGTCAGGACTAGTGACAGATGTGTTTCCACGGCCCGGAAAGCAGCAGTGCAGGGCATGTTCCTGCCTCTGACTGTTGGCTCCCGATGTTGCGCCTTATGGGATAAAAGTATCTTGTATTAGTCAGGGTTCTCTAGACAGACAGAACTAATGGGATAGATATATATCAAGGGGAGTTTATTAAATATTAACTTACACAATCACAGGGTCCCACAATAGGCCATCTGCAAGCTTGAGGAGCAAGGAGAGCCAGTCCAAACCTCAAAACTGAAGAACTTGGAGTCTGATGTTCAAGGGCAGGAAGCACCCAGCATGGGAGAAAGATGTAGGCTGGGAGCTAGGCCCATCTCTCCTTTTCACATTTTTCTGCCTGCTTCATGTTCACTGGCAGCTGCTTGGATGGTGCCTACCCAATTAAGGGTGGGTTTGCCTACCCCAGCCCACTGACTCAAAAGTGAATCTCCTTTGGCAACACCTTCACAGACACACCCAGGATCAATACTTTGTGTCCTTCAAGCCAATCAAGTTGACACTCAGTATCAACCATCACATTTCTGGAGTGGCGCAGGATGGTAAAAAGGCATTTGGAGAGGTGGAGGAGGCAGAGGAAGAAGGGACCCAGGGAAGGCGGGTGTGGAAAGCAGACCTGGTGTTCACCCAGGGGCACCATCCAGGACCGGGGGAGGACAGGGTCTCTACCAATGCTTACTGGTTTAATTCTGCTTCACTGTTTTAGAATGTCTGTGACTTTGGCCTGTCTTCTGTTTACATATTAATTATTTTAAATTAAATGTATAGGCCGGGTGTGGTGGCTCTCACCTGTAATCCCAGCACTTTGGGAGGCCAAGGTGGGTGGATCGCTTGAGCCCAGGAGTTTGAGACCAGTCTGGGCAACATGGAAAATCCCCATCTCTACCAAAAATACAAAAAATTATCTGGGTGTGGTGGTGGGCATCTGTAATTCCAGCTACTCAGGAGGTTGAGACACGAGACTCTCTTGAGCCTGGGAGGCAGAGGTTGCAGTGAGCCGAGATCATGCCACTGCACTCCAGCCTAGGTGACAGAGGTAGACTCTGTCTCAAAAAAATAAAACTAAAAATAAATAAATGAATGAAATGTATATAAAATACACTGTGCTGACATGCTGATAGATTGAAATCCCACCTGCCCCTACTCTGGAAGAAGCACCAGCCCAGTCTTCTGTCCGTCACCCCTTGCAGCTCTCTGCTCTTTGTAACACATAGAGCCCTGGGCAATGGGCCTCAGCTCCACACATTTCTAGATTCATACAGACCAACACGCGCCCTGCTCAAGCCCTGGTTGGGAGTTCTCACTACTCCGTTCCTTGCTGATACTCGGTATTTTCAAACTTGTTAACTTCTGCCTGTCTAGTGTGAGATGGAGTCTCCTAGGAGACTAAATCACATGGTCCTAACGTGGAACGAGGACAAGATCCCTGCCTTCTGGACCTTCTTTTCCATTCTTTCCTTCTCTGCTCTTATCCTGAGAGCTCCTGGGCCACTTTCCTGTCACTTGATGCTTCCAGGGAAAGGCTGGAAAACGACCTACAAGAGCCAGGAAGGAACTGCGGATGCGCCAGGCTGGGCCACTGGGAAGGAGCTGCAGAGGCGACGGGCTGGGCCGCTGGGAAGGAGCTGTAGAGGCGCCGGGCTGGGCTGCTGGGAAGGAGCTGCAGAGGTGCAGGGCTGGGCTGATGGGAAGGAGCTGCAGAGGCGCCGGGCTGGGCAGCCCCTGTGTTGTGCAACTCCAAGATGTTATTAGTGACAGGTGGACAATGTCTCAAGTATAGCTCATGCAATAGACACAAGGCAGCAGCACACATTTAATGGAGATGTGCAAAGTACCAAATATCAGATGGCAAAGTAACGGGTTTACATTCTCCATTGAAAATAAATATTTACATGAATGTGTACTGCATGCACTGAAGTTCAGCCTGGATCCTCCACCTTCAGGTGATGAGTATGGATTCTGCATGAAGACAGAAAAGCTTATTCCCCTCACTTGCAGATACACAAGGTGGGAGGGAACCTGAGGCTGGCAGTGGGGGCATTAGCTCAGGGATCCTTCAGTGGGTGGAATGCAGGTTTCCAGTAGAACGGGGCAATTCGAAACTTCTGCTACTTCCTTCAGGGAAGTATGGAGGAAAATAAAGGACATGCCCCTGAAACATCCCCAGCACATAGAGCTGGTGCCCTGGACAGTGAAGTTAGGCACCCGGAATCTCTGTGAGGCTGGATGTTCTGTTCTGCTTTCTTGAGAAAGTGTCAAATAATTTTCTGTGTCCTGTATCTGGAATTGAAGCAAAAAGGGCAAAAAATGGGCATTGCTACCTGTGCTCTACAAATACAATTTATTGTCAGCCCAGCAACTTCTTCTAAAGCAAGACTGTCGTTAATATCAGAACTCTTCAAAGATGGTGATTTTCTCAGCAAAGGTGGTCTGTTCCTAAAGAGCGTGCTGGGGAGTCTGCCCTGTGCTGACCCGGAAGCAGGTTCCTACACAAAGGCAGAGCTGCTCAGGGACTGTCATTCCAGGGAGGAAAGCAGGAAAATGCAAACAGTGACTGATTCATGAACACGGAGATGCCTTGAGGTCCCTGAGTGACCAGGAAAGGCCCGGCCAGTGTGGGCCAGGAGCCTAGGTCAACCTCTATCTCTGTGGGGGACTGATAAGACCCTGTATTTTTCAGTTTTACTAATACACGGGTAGAAGAGGCTTCTCTAATTGTGAAATGTATGCCTAAGGGGCAGGTAGCGGCGTGCTCACCAGCACAGAGGCTGCTGCTGGGGCAGGGGCACCTTGGGAACATTCTGCAACCCTCTGCCCCTCACTCTGTCATCTGAAAAATGGGAATAACAGTCAAAATATGTATAAGTTTTATAAAAATCAAATGATTAATAAATATACCGTTATTTAACAGTGCCTAGTAGGCAATAAGCACCCAGTTGGTCAGCAGCTGTGCTTGCTGTCATTATTCTAACCAATTCCAGGATGAGTAGATCAGCATTAGCACAGAAGTGGCCATGGTGCGAGGCAGAGGCTTACCAAGTGGAAGCAACTGATAGTGACGTCTGCCTGACCCTCCCACCCCAACACAGGAGACTCAGCCTTCTACAGTGGAAGGCATCGATGGAGACACCTGCCTGACCCTCCCACCCCAACACGGGAGACTCAGCCTTCTACAGTGAAAGCCATCGATGGTGACGTCTGCCTGGCCCTCCCACCCCAACATGGGAGACTCAGCCTTCTACAGTGAAAGCCATCGATGGTGACGTCTGCCTCACCCTCCCACCCCAACATGGAAGACTCAGCCTTCTACAGTGAAAGCCATTGATGGTGACGTCTGCCTGCTCCTCCTACCCCAACATAGGAGACTCGGCCTTCTACAGTGGAAGACATTGATGGTGACATCTGCCTGACCCTCCCACCCCAATACAGGAGACTCAGCCTTCTACAGTGGAAGCCATCGATGGTGACGTCTGCCTGCTCCTCCCTCCCCAATACGGGAGACTCAGCCTTCTACAGTGGAAATCATCGATGGAGACACCTGCCTGACCCTCGTACCCCAACATGGGAGACTCAGCCTTCTACAGTGGAAGCCATTGATGGTGACACCTGCCTGCCCCTCCCACCCAAACATTGGAGACTCAGTCCTCTACGGCTGTCATTCCTATGTCACTCGAAATTTCCTCAATCATTACATTTCTGGGCTACACTTTCTCTGTATTATTATAATAGATGCCTCTGGGAATAGGGTTAAAACTAAGAAACACTGAAGTTACTAAAATGGGTAACTTACTGAAGCGGATACTTTGTATTAAAAAAGGTACTCTCCCTATACAAGTTTCAGCACCTGTTGGAAAAAATTATTCTGGGAAGAGAGTTCCCTCAGAGTGAACGGGGAGAAGACAGGAGGCGGATCCTCAAGCCTGTCTCCATGCAGGCTCCTCACACTGAGGCATGAGACACTACATCCGCCCAGCATGTGGCCGCTTCAGTCTCTGCATCTGAGAGTTCAAAACACTGAAACTCAGAGTTGCCACAGAGCTCATGGCCACACGAGAGTCCCTGCGGCACCACCCTAGCATGAGAGAGAGACTCTGACACTGCCCACTCAGTCATTCCCCAGCATCATCATCTCCCCAGCACTCCATGCGCACAGGGCAGAGCTGGATCCTTCACACTCAGCGCAGCGGGAGTGAACGAGACAGCCTGCGTCAAACGCCTCATCCCAGAGGGAGCCAGGTCAGAAGACGAGCCACACTGTCTACTTCCTCGCCTCTGGGTGCCTGGGCTGTAAACTGTAGAGTGTTATGTTAGCGAGTGGTTTTATGATTCTGCAGGCTTGATTTCTTCCTCCAGACACTGTGTTATTTATAAAGCAAACGATGACACTCACTTCCCTCATATACCTGAGGACTTAGGTTTGTGTTTCTTAAGATGCTAAGATATTTTGTTCAATAATTTCTCATCATATGTTAATATCTGATTCCTGAAATGACCGTTTACCATTGACAGAAAGTGCTTGTGTCCATGTGGTTTGGGAGACCAATGTCCTGCTTACAAGATGGATGATGAACCCCTTTACATGAAGAAGTAGCAGAGAGTGAGTTCCTTTCTGCATTTCTGATTGGAGATTTCTTTAATCTTAACCAGTTTCTACTTTTTAAATATAAATTGGATCATCTGTCCCTCTAAGGTAATCATTCTAGAAACTCATCTACTTTCTCCTAAGAAAGCTAAATCTCTGTTTTTCAGATAAAGAATCTAAGTTTCTCTTATAAATTCATTCATTTCTCAAACATTTGAGCACATAAAATGTACCATGTTTAGAGAGATTAGATGAAATTCTCAAAGCTGCATTCCTTGGGCATGGGAGGGGCATGGCCAGGACCTGAGGGTTGGGGTCTGTCCCTAATGGGACCTGAGGGTTGGGGTCTGTCCCTAATGGGATCTGAGGGTTGGGGTCTGTCCCCAATGGGACCTGAAGGATGGGGTCTGTCCCCAGTGTCCCCATGCGTGGGAGTTGTTCAGCATACCATTCCATCTCCTCCAAAAAATAGGAGCCACTGAGGACTTCAGGGACAGACGATCTGGAGAGGGTGAGATTGCAGGGGTATGCAGAGTGGTGGAGACAAAAGAGAGTTGGGGAAGAGAGTGGTCAGCTAAGAGGCTATGGTGGTGACCAGCCTGAACACATGTGGCACCGTCTGACTTGGACCCCAGCGTTGGGCTGTTCAGGAACATCTTGAATGTTCTTAGTCCACAGGCTTAGAGGACTGTTCTGGGTTCCAGTTTCGGATCAACCAAATGGCACTATTACAGCATCAAAGCAGTCTTCCAAGCTGGTCCTTTTAACTCCTAGTAAGTGCACAAAAGGAAGCCTGCCAGAGGGTCACTTCTCCCATGTAGATATCATACTTTACAAGGTTCGCTCCACATGCTCGGCCGCAAAACAAGCCTTAAAAAATGTTAAAAGATTAAAATTCTATCAATTATCTTTTTTTTTTGAACTTATTGGAATGTAACTAGAAATCAACAGCAGAAGGAAAATGAAAATCAGCAAATATGTGCAACTTAAACAACCCATTCTTACACAACCAATGGGTCAAGGAAGAAATCACAAGGGAAGCTAGAAAATAACCTAAATAAAAAACACAACACACCAGAATTCACACAACACAGTAAAACTAGGGCCAAAAGGGAAACTTATAGCTAAAAATGCTTATATTAAAAAAAGAAAGATCTCAAATTGGCATCTTAACTTTTAACCTTAAGAAACTAGAAAAAAGAAAAACACGCTAAACGCAAATCTAGAAGAAGGAAGGAAATAATAAAGATTAAAGAAGAAATTTTTAAAAAGACAAAATAGAAAAACAATATAGAAAATCAATGGATGCAAAACTTGATTCTTCAAAAATATTTTTTAAAATGGCAATGCTTTATCTGTATTGACCAAATAAAACATAGAGAAGATTCAAATAGCTAAAATCAGAAATCAGAGAGGGGACATTTCTACTGACTTAACAAAAGTAAAAAAAAAAAAAAAAAAGTAACAGAGTACTACAAACAATTTTACACTAACAAATTGAATAACTTGGATTCAATGAAAAAATTCGTGTGACACACACAATTTATCAAAACTAAATCAAGAAGAAATAGAAAATGTGAACAAACTGTAGCTTGCAATGGGACTGAACCTATAATCAAAAACCTTAAAGCAAAGAAAAGCCAAGGGCCAGATAGTTTCGCTGGTGAATTCTACCAAACATTTAAAGAAGAATTAACACCAATCCTTCTCAAACACTTCTAAAAACCTGAAGAGAAGGATATACTTTCCCAGTCATTCTATGAGGTCAGTGTTACCTTGATACCAAACCCAGACAAGGATTCTACAGGAAAAGAAAACTGCAGACCAATATCCCCTATGAAGATTGATGCAAAAATCTCAACAAAATACTAGTAAACAAAATTCAACAGCACATTAAAAGCATTGTACAATGTAACAAAGTAAGATTTATCCCTGGAATGAAAGGATGGTTTGACATAGAAAAATCTATCAATGCAACATGCCATGTGAACAAAAGGAAGGAAAAAGAAAAATCTGTATCATCTTAATAGATGCAAAAAAGTAACTGGCAAAATTCAACACCCTTTTATGATATAAAACACCCAACAAACTAGAAATTGGGTGAAATATCTCAACATCATAAAGGCCTTATATAAAAGCCCACATTAACATCATACTCAATAGTGAAAGACTGAAAGCTTTTTCTTTAAGATCAGGAACAAGGCAAGGATGCCTACTGCTGCCAATTATATTCCACACAATACTAGACATCCGAGCTACAGCAACTGTGAAGAAAAACAAACAAGTCAACCAAATAGGAAAGAAAAAACAAAATTATCATTGTTCACAAGCAACACTTTCTTACATATAGAAAACCCTAAAGACAGAACAAAAAAAAATCTGTTAGAATGAATACACGAATTAAGCAAATCCTGCACAAAAAAGTTGCAGGATTCAAAATTAACACTCAAAAATCAGTTTTATTTCTATATGCTAACAACGAACAACCTGAAAAGGATATTGAGAAAACAATCTCATTTACAATAGCATCAAAAAGAATAAAATATATGGAATTAACTAAGCCAAGGAAGCAAAAAGACTTGTACATTGAAAACTACAAAACATTGATGACAAAAATTAAAGAACACACCATTGAAGAAAAGACATCTTGTGCTCATGGATTGTTAGACTTAATGATGTTCGGATGTCCATACCACTCAAAGCTATCTGCAAATTCAATGCAGTCATTATCAAAATCCCAAAGACCTTTTTCCAGAAATAGAAAAATCCATCTTAAAATTCCTATGGAATGTCAAGGACCTTGAATAGCCAAAACAATCTTAAAAACAAGTTGGAGATTTCACAATCCCTGATTTCAAAACTTACTGCAAAGCTACATTAATCAAAACAATGTTGCACTGGCATAAAGAAAGACATAGATCAATGGAACAGAACAGAGAGCGATGAAAGAAACCCTCACATAGGTGCTCAGATAATTCCTAACAAAGTTGTCAAGACCATTCAATGGAGAAAGGCCAGTCTTTTCAATAAATGGTGCTGGGAAAACTGGATATCCATTTGCAAAAATGAAGTGGAACCCTTATCTTACATCATATCCCAAAATTAAATCAAAACAGACCAAAACTCTAAATGTCACAGCTAAAATTGTAAAATTCTTGTGATTAAAAATAGGGGGAATACTGCATGACACTGGACTTGGCAATGATTTCTTGGATATGACACCAAAAACACAGGCAACCAAAAAAATAGACAAACAGAATAATACCAAAATTAAAACTTTTGTGTATCAGAGGACACCACCAAAGAGTGGAAATCCAACCCAGAGAATGTGAAAGTTTGTAAATCATATATCTATTAAGGGGTTGATGTCTAGAATACATAAGAACTCCTACAACTGAACCAGAAGAAAACAAGCAAACAACCCAATTAAAAGACGGGCAAAAGACCTGAATAGACATTACTCCAAGAAGATATATCAATGACCCATCAGCACGTGGAAAGATGCCAACATCACCAGTGATTAGAGAAACAAAAATCAAACCTCAGTGAGATGCCACCTCACACCTGCTAGGATGGCTACTATAAAATACAAACAAGCAAATACAACAGAAAATAACAAGTGATGATGAGGCTATGAAGAAATTAGAACCCTTGTGTACTATTGCTAGGAATGTAAAATTTTGTAATGTTATGGAAAACAGTACAGTAACTCCTTATAATTTAAAAATTGAACTGCCACATGATCCAACAATCCCACTTTTGTGTATACACCCAGAATAACTGAAAGCAGAGACATTACAAGATGATTTGTACACCCATTGATATGGTTTGGCTCTGTGTCCACACCAGAATCTGATGTATTGCATTTCCCACTGTTGGAGTTAAGGCCTGGTGGGTGACTGGATCATGGGGGTGGTTTCTAATGATTTAGCACCATCCTCCTAGTGCTGTCTTGTGATAGAGTTCTCATGAGATCTGGTTGTTTAAAGGTGTGCAGTACTTCTCAGCTGGGTGCAGTGGCTCACACCTGTAATCCCAGCACTTTGGGAGGCCAAGGTGGGTGGATTGCTTGGGTCAGGAGCTCAAGACCAGTCTGGACAACATGGCAAAACCCCGTCTCTACTAAAAATACATAAATTAGCTGGGTGTGGTGGTGCATGTCTATAATCCCAGCTACTCAGGAGGCTGAGGTAGAAGAATTGCTGGAACCTGGGAGCCGGAGGTTGCAGTAAGCCAAGATCATGCCACTTCACTCCAGATTGGGTGAGAGAGTGAAAGTTCATCTCAAAAAAAAAAAAAAAGGATGTAGAACTTCCCCTTCATGCTCCCTCTCTGTCCCTCTCCACCATGTGAAGACAGCTTTCTTCCCTTTTGCCTTCTGCCATGATTGTAAGTTTCCTGAGGTCTCCCCAACCATGCCTCCTGTACAGCCTGTGGAACTGTGAGTCAATTAAACCACTTTTCTTCATAAATAACCTAACCTCAGGTAGTTCTTTATAGCAATGTGAGAATGGACTAATACACCATTTTTATAGCAACATTATTCCCAGCAGCCCAAAGGTAGAAACAACTCAAGTGTCCATCAAAGGATGAACGGATAAACAAAATGTTATATCCATACAATGGAATATTACTCGCCTTTAGAAAGGAAGGAAATTCTGACATGCTACAACAGGGATGACCTTGAAAACATTATGCTAAGTTAAATAAGTCAGGCACAAACAGACGGACACTGCACGAGTCTGCTCATACGAAATATCTGCAGTCCTCAGATTCATAGAGACGGGGAGTGGAATAGTGGCTACCATGGGCTGGGGTTGGAGCACGGGGAGCTGGTGTTTAGTGGCAATGGAGCTTCGGCTTTGCAAGATGACAGGGTTCTGGTGATGGTGGTGACAGCTGAACACCACTGTGAATGTCCTCAATGACTGTGCACTGTATACTTTAAAGTGTTACGTTTTATGTGATGTATATTTCACCACATTTTTAAAATAAGGGTCCTACTCCAAACATGGCTACAGGTTTGAGTATGGCCCGTGACTATTTTCTGTGCAAATAGGCACGAGTTCACGCAAAGCAAACACGGATGTCAGTGTTTGCTAAGTGCTGCCTACAGTGCACAAAGTGTGCCATGGGCTTCCAGGGTACGATCTGCCAAGTGATAGACACAGAGCAGGTGGCAGGAGTGAGACGGAGGAAGGGGCAGTCAGAGAAATTGTGGAGAGACACATGCGGGCAGTGAGTAGACTGAGCAGGCTCCTGCTGAGTGCACGCAGCACCCAGTGCCCCAGGAAAGATGAGGGAAGGGCGGCGGCAGAAGGAGACATTTTGAAGGTGAGAACAGGACCCCAGTCACCTGGGGATGTGGGTCTGAGGTTCCAGAATGAGCTGCAGACAAGTAAAGATTGGCATCATTGCTAATTTGGAATATCTAAGGGTGTGATATTGATTAGGATCTCTGAAGATAATGCTAGTGGCAGGAAGTAAAGATGCTAGAGGTGATGCCAACACTTGAGTTTCAAGCCAAGCAGAGATGATGGCAGAGAGCAGAGGACAGCCGTGAGAAAATCAGAAAATGATCAAGATGATCGTGGAATAGAGGCTAATTAAGGAGCAGTAATCAACAATCTCAAAGGCCAAGGCTGAAAGGAATCAGGCGTAAGAGTAGACCAGAAATCTGAAGTCAGATTTGTGTGGCTGGGGATGACCTGCAAATGCAGGGGCTGGGGGAGATGGAAGAGTAGGCAGGGGAAAGGCTGCATGTGTGTGCATAGGTGTAAGTGTGTACACAAAAGTGGGTGTGGCATGAGCATGTGTGAATACATGCCTGCATGAATGTGCATGAGTGTGCATGTGTACATGTGTGTGAGGTGTGTCATGTTTACACACATTTTCCTTGGTCTGCATGTGTGTGGGCATACATATAAGTGCATATGCATAACTGTGAGGGTGCACAAAAATGTATGTATGTATCTTCATGTGTGTGCTGTGCCCATGTGTATGTATGCTTATGTATGTGTGTTCATGTATATGTGCATACCTGCATGCATGGGCCTGTGTGCACGTGAATGCATGTGTGTGTCATGTGTGCACATGTCCATGTATATGCCTCTGTGTGTGAATGCGTGGGTGTGGTGTGTTTGTAGCTTGTCGGTGAGCTTGGGAAGTGGACCATCTTGGAGGATAGCTGAGCACCATTAACTTAGTTAAATTTATGTTTTTGGCGATACAAATTTCTTCTTCAGACCTTCAGAGATTTACATGGTGTTTGCTGGATCTCAGACCTTGTGCCTGATGAAAAGTAGCAGAAATGAGACAACCAGAAACACATTGCTCTGAGTGGTCTAGATATGATGTCAGATCTGTGCACAGAGAATTGTCTGTTTTGTTCACTGTAGGTTCTCCAAGGCCTAGAACATAAGTGCCGCCCAAAAAACACTTGCTGAGTAAAAATAGCCAAGTTGGATGGCATTTACCATGTGCCAGGCACCATCTTAAGCTGTATAAATACCAATCACTCATAAATATCAAAACAACTCTAGGGGATTAATTCTATTATCCTATTTTCTAGAGAAGAAAACTGAGGCAAAGGACTTCTTAAAAACTTGTCCGAGGTTCCAGGTGGTCAGGATGGAAGCTGGGCTCGCCCCAGGTGCTCCACCCCGGGTCCAGGCTGTCCATCACGATGCTGTGTGGAATGCGTGAGTGAGGTGGTCATTCTCGGGTCTTAAAGTCAACAGCTGGGAAGGCTTCTCCTTCCATTAATGCAACCACAAAACCATGGATGGAAAAGGACGCATCTTATTTTCAAGTGGAAATGCTGCTTGGGCCCTTTTCATGACGGCAGACTCTTCAGCGGTGGCCAGAGGGTGAAAACAACAGGTCACGCTGTCAGCGCGTGAAGTTGTTCCTGTGGCCCCGGCCCTCCAATGAGAATGACGAGTGCTCGCTGTCTGGCGCATGCTATTCAGGGTTTCCTCGTTCAGCGTCACCATCAGGAGCACGTTCCGCCGTCACTCTGCCACCTGCACGGAGCACTCCGGGCCCCCTGCTGCTATTCTCCACCCCTGCTCAACCAGATGCAGCACCAAGCAATGTGTGGGCTGGGGCTCATTTCTCGAATAAAGGGGCATGTTCACAGTTCAGCTTCCCCATGAACAAGACACGTGGTGAACACGTTTAGAAACCAGTCAGAGCAGCACAGAGGTGAGGTGAGAAGGAAAGGCTGCCGGACTCACCCAGCCTCCAACTTCACTCGAGGTTGGCTCAGACAAAGGAGCACCCGCTGCATCCACAGAGGCCCTGGTGCCTCCTGTTGGACTATTTCTATTTCCAATTATCAGCTTTTCTCTAAAGAAATTAAATTGTTCAAAAGTTTTCACAATTTTTAAGTCTTTCCAACATTCCTTAAATGTGGATAACAATCACTCATTGTTTAGACAGAAGGAAGGAATGAAGAATGAGGGGCAGGTGACTCAGCTGTGACTCCTCGGCGGGAAAAGCACAGAGTGAGCAAAGATATTCTCCTCCCCAACCCAGAGTTCCTTCCAAACACGCCTGCCCTTCTGCAAGCTTTGTCTCTGAGCTGTGTGTCCACCTGGAGAACACACCTGGTCTCACCAGCCCCCTCATTCTGAAAGAGTGAAGAGCCTGCCGAGGAAGTGCACAGGAGCATGTCTGCCTCCTTCAGTGAGCAAGTCATGACAGCCACAGTGACACTCAGGTAACCTGTTGACGAATGTTCTTCAGAGCAAGTGTGATGGTTAATATTGAGTGTCAATTCGATTGGATTGAAGGATGCAAAGTGTTGATCCTGGGTGTGTCTGTGCAATCTGCTCACAGCAGAGACCAACACTGAGCCCTCAATATGGCACCATTCCTCGGGGTGATCTGCCAGCTCCCTGGTGGCAGGTTGATTATATTGGACCTCTTCCATCATGGAAAGGGCAGAGGTTTGTCCTCACTGGAATGGACACTTACTCTAAATATGGGTTTGCCTATCCTGCATGCAATGCTTCTGCCAAGACTACCATCCGTGGACTCACAGAATACCTTATCCACTGTCATGGTGTTCCACACAGCATTGCCTCTGACCAAGGCACTCACTTTATGGCTGAAAAAGTGTGGCAGTAGGCTCATGCTCATGGAATTCACTGGTCTTACCATGTTCCCCATCAGCTGGAAACAGCTGGATTGACAGAATGGTGGAATGGCCTTTTGAAGTCACAATGCCAACTAGGTGACAATACTTTGCAGGGAAGGGGCAAAGTTCTCCAGAAGACCATGTATGCTCTGAATCAGCATTTGATATATGGTACTGTTTTTCTCATAGCCAGGATTCACGGGTCCAAGAATCAAGGGGTGGAAGAGGAAGTGGCACCACTCACTATCACCCCTAGTGATCCCCTAGCAAAATTTCTGTTTCCAGTTCCCTCGACATTATGTTCTGCTGTCCTAGAGGTCTTAGTTCCAGAAGGAGGAACCCTGCCACCAGGAAACACAAGGACAATTCCATTAAACTGGAAGTTAAGATTGCCACCTGGACACTTTGGGCTTCTCCTAACTTTAAGTCAAGAGGCTAAGAGAGGAGTTACAGTGTTGGCTGGGGCGATTGACCTGGAGTATCAAGATGAAATCAGTCTACTACTCCACAACAGAGGTAAGGAAGAGTACGCAAGGAATGCAGGAGCTCCATTCAGGCATTTCTTGGTATTACCATGCCCTATGATTAAGGTCAATGGGAAACCACAACAGCCCAATCCAGGCAGGACTACAAATGGTCCAGACCCTTCAGGAATGAAGGTTTGGGTCTTTCCATCAGGAAAAAAAAACACGACCTGCTGAGGTGCTTGCTGAAGGCAAAAGGAGTACAGAATGGGTATTAGAAGAAGGAAGTCATTAATACCAGCTATGACCATGTGACCAGATGCAGAAATGGGGATTGTAATTGTCATGAGCATTTCCTCCTTCTTTTGTTAAAAACATACTTGTGCATGTATACACTTGTACTAAGAAAATATCTTCATTTTATTTCTTTTTCCTTTATCATGTGACATTAGATTTATTGCCTTCATGTCAGCATTTAAGTATTGTTAACTTTGTGTGATAGTATTTGGGTTGGGGATTGGTGCGTTTCCAGTCCTACCAAGGAAAGTTGTATTATGTTAGGTGTAATTATGACATGATTGTCTTTATTTGAAGATTATGTATAATCTCAGGAGATGTATATGGGTTCAAGTTGACAAGGGGTGGACTTATGGTGGTTAATACTGAGTGTCAACTTGATTGGATTGAAGGATGCAAAATATTGATCCTGAATGTTTCTATGAGGGTGTTGGCAAAGGAGATTAACATTTGAGTCAGTGGGCTGGGAAAGGCAGACCCACCCTTAATCTGGGTGGGCACCATCTAATCAGCTGCCAGCAAATATAAACCAGGCAGAAAAACATGAAAAGTCTAGATTGGCCTAGCCTCCCAGCCTACATCTTTCTCCTGTGCTGGATGCTTCCTGCCCTTGAACATGGGACTTCATGCTCTTCAGCTTTGGGACTCGGACTGGCTTCCTTGCTCCTCAGCTTGGGGATGGCCTACTGTGGGGTCTTGTGATCGTGTGAGTTAATAAACTCCCATATATACATATATATATTTATATAGTTATATTTATATTTATATAGAGTTGTAAAACTAATATGAGATAGATAGATAGATCTCCTATTGTGTCCCTGTAGAGAACCCTGACTAATACAGTAAGTATATGGTTTCCTACAACCTGACACACAGCCTATGTGCAATAAATGTTTGTCATTAATAAACAAAACTGAATATTTTAATTACAAACACAAATGTCTATTTTAGAAATATAATATGGTTCCAGTATTTAGAATTGGTGATTTAGTTGACGTCAGCTTTAACTTTCTACTTGTTTTGTATAAACATATGTTTAAGTGAAATTTTAAAAGATAAGGCCAATTTAATCTTGCCTTACTCAGAGAAAACATGACATCCTTTAGGGCCCCATATGCAAACTAAAAAAACAATTGGTTTGGCGTCTCCATCAAAGGAAAGTAGATGGTGAGAAATATATTCTCTTTTTGGGTGGTTTTGTAAGTTTTTCGAGGGGTGCTTGACTGTGATACGTTGGAGACTCTGGGGTTCCAAAGAAAAACAAGACAGAATCTCCCTGCCATCACCGAGCTCGCATCCCAGAAAAATGCTGGACTTGTGGTTCTCACACATTTCCAGGTTCAACTGGCTGCCGCCTTCCTATCAGCACCCGCCAGAATCTGAACAGCTAAAAGTTGGAGAGAGAGGGAACGTTACAATGTAAACAATTAATAAAAGCTAATTTGGCCATGCTCTTCCCAGGATGGAGGTGTTAACTGAAGGATTAGATTAGCCCTGAAATGAATGACGGAGCAGAAATAGAAACATTACCACCAGCGCTCTTAGTTCCAATCGAATTAAATTAAGCCATAATGGCTTTTGGAGAAATAAATTGCCAGCTGCAGCCCGCTCCCTACTCCAGCATCTTTCCGGGGGAGATTCACAGGAGCTCACAGGCACCAAGAGCAATACTCAGGATCATTCTTCACAACGGCAGGTCGGCGGCTCACTGCGGGGACTTTCAAATATCTACCGTGAGGTACTCAGTTTAAAGCTGTCAAACATAATTCCCAGCCACAGTGCAGCACCAATGTTCTAGCCCTGTTTCTCTCAGCAGCTCTATTTTATATTTGGATAGGTAAAGAAGACAGCGGGCTCTTTAACTGTTTATTCCCCAGGTAGTTATCCATGCCCAAGACTCGCTTTAATTCAGGAAAAGCCGCCTCCACAGTTGCTGAGCTTCTGCAGGAGCAGGATACGAATGACCGGGCATACCTACTGTGTGATGGTCCCGAGGACGTCCCATGCGAGAGGGAGGTCCACAGAGAACTGTGGAAGACACAGAGAAGCCAGGGCCACACACAGGCTGTGGTGAGGAGAGGGCATCCAGGCTGGGATGCAGGGTGTGGGACAGAAAGCCCCAGGGGCAGACAGGGTGAACGGTGTCCTGGACACAGTCGGTCCTCAGACAAGCCTGGCAGGTCTGGGAAGGAGGGGACTGTGGGCCCTGTCCAGGCAGCTCTGGATGCCCTGCAGGTGCACAGCAGCTCCGTTGACTAATTTGTAACTGGGCAGTGGACAAGAGACACCTTACAGCCAAGGGACTGTCAGTGCTGATGAGCACAAGGGCCACGGGGCTGAGAAGCCTCCATGTTGGCCAAAGGGAGGCAAAGGGGTGGGCACCCCGGTCCCAAGCAGCCGGATTGGCAGGGGTCTGGGTGTGCACGGGCCCAGCAGGGGTCAGGCCAAGAAGATTGGTGAGAGGTGACTTCGGAGGGTGACCACCAGCCTGGTGCAGGGATGCGGCTGAGGAGTTAGGGCGTGGGCGGCAGCAGTAGCAGGAGGCCACAGTTCACCTGCCTTTCCCGGAAGGAGCAGGCCACGGCGGCTTTGTCCATGGCTGCAGCCAGGCTCTGCAAACCCTGGAGAAGGAATTTTCCTTCTAGGTGTGGGCGGTGCATGGAAGACTGAAAATCCAGAGGCTGGGATCCTCTGAGCTTAGCTACTCACCTTCCGTGGCCACTTCTGTCTTGATATCTGTATTTTGTGCCTTTTGGCTATTTTTGATCTTAATTTAGAAAATAGATGTGCAGGTTCTCTGTAGCAAACGGCATCTGTGTGAGCAAAGGGAGCTCATCTGGCTTTCGTAGGCCGACGTGTTGGGACCATCAGGAAATGCCAGCGCTCTACTTATCGTATCAGTCAAAGCCACGAGACAGGGACTGAAGCAGGACTTGGAGAGCGCCCAGCTCACTGACGTGGGGGCGGGGGTGGGCGGGGGTGATCCTGGAGGGATGCACAGTGCGGGGGAGGCAGCCCTTGGAGAGCGCCCAGCTCACTGACGTGGGGGCGGGGGGAGTTCCCGGAGGGACGCGCTGTGCGGGGGAGGCGGCGTTATTGTGAGTGATGCTTGGCGGGACCTTGCAGATACTGCCTCTGGATTCCCCTGTTTGGTAGAATTTTGGGGATTATAATTAAAAAGCATCCAGCACAGATGCCACTCAGCCCAGCCTGAAGCTGGGCCTTCTGAATGTGTTGGGTGCATTTCTGACTTCCAAAGCATGCAGTAGCGTTTCTTTGATCAACGATGTTTTCAGCTGAAAGAATTTAGGTAAGTTTATGAATAATAAATGCAAAATAAATTCCAAAAGGAAGAAATTAACTTCATCTAAGGGCTCACAAGACAATGGTGGATATAGTATTTATATTGTGCTAGTAGTATGGAATGAAAATGGGCTTTTATATTTGGAGAAACTCGGCGGTGCACGTAAACTACTCCCCTACAAGTGCAATTCACTTCGCTGCGGAAGAGAATCCCACACTCACTCCAGGTGTCTGGAAAAAGAGCCACGGGAAGGACATTACTGTAGTCATACCAAAGCCAATAAGTAAGGTGGGCACACGTTTAAAACACATCCATATGATCTTAATATTTATTACGGTTTTGATAATGCAAAACTGACAGCTCCAGGCAGGCTATAAGGCTGGATGTTTATATGCAAGCCAGATTTTCAGAGTCAGGAGATTTTCCTATAGAAACAATGCCAGAAGTGGTAGCAAGGTCACAAGGCTCGGCCGTGAGCCCATCCACCTCCTCCCGGGCTTGAGGAGACACGGACGGGGGTGCAGTGGCTGATGCTGCCCGCCTCCCTCCACAGATGTGTGGGGTGCTTGTGCTGGGTGGGGCCAGTGTCCGCTTCCACAAATGTTCAGGCAGGGCAAGGGTCCCCTGTCTGTGAACTAAATCACCATTTCCAGTGCTGTCTCCTGAGGTGCAATTTGCTTTTTACTAAATGCAGAGGCTTGAGTGACAGGGAACATACCTTCACCTTCATCACAGCCATGGCTGGCAGCAAAGCAAGTGCCAGGTTAACAGGTACTCTGGGGACGTGTTCTGCTGTCCGGGACACGTGTCCTGCAATGTACACTGTGATAATGGATGCACACTTGTGCACACACACACCACATACACACACACCACACCAAACACACACACCACACAACACACCACATAAACACACACCACACACCATATACACCATAAACACCAAATACACAAGCACACACATACCACCACACACACACCACACCACACACACACACACAACACACCACATAAACACACACCACACACCACATACACCATAAACACCAAATACACAAGCACACACATACCACCACACACACACACCACACAAACACACACACCACACACCATATACACCATAAACACCAAATACACAAGCACACACATACCACCACACACACACCACACACCACACCACATAAACACAAACACACACACACCACACACCACATACACACACCACCACAGACCACAGAACACACACAGTTACCCAGCCTCCAAGACGGGAGAGTGAGTGTTGGTTTTATCCACTCATGAATTCCCAGTTTCAAGACCCTTCAGCATTTATCACACTCACCCCTAAGACACTTGACCCCGCGACAAGCACAACTGAATAAAAAACTACTTGGAGTAAAGTGGGCACCGATGTTAGATAAGGGCCAGTAGGCCTTTCCCATGAGCCTGAATAGCTAGCTACGTGTCCACGTGCACAGCAGCAGCATATAACTTCATTTGTGAATATCTGAGTTTGAATATGCAAACTAGTAATTATCGGATTTGACAAACTTTATATAAAGTTTCTATAATTACACAATACACTTATTAAAAGCAAAGCACTAGCAGTAGAATAATAGGCATCAGTTAGATACTTTCAGAAAGTTTGTAAATGAATGCATTCAATAACTTTAATATGAGGTCACTTGTGAATTTATTGTAATTCGTAATTTGCTTCAGTGGCTGAGAATACACTACAGAGAGGATTTAAGCGAATGAATAACAATTTTAAGGAAAAGCTGAATTTTAACATAAATTTGGATGAGGCTCCAAAATGGTGAGGAGTCCCAGGAGCCTCTGACCTTGGTGCTTCTCCTGAGAGGAGCTGGAGAAGCTCAAAAGGAATCAAGTGGGTCCCCCCAAGGCCAGTCCCTTCCCAGGCCATTTGTGCAACTGTTGTGTATTTAAGGAAAACGAAACATTTAAGAGTCATCAACAGAAGCCACACAATTATCTTGGTGGTTTTAACTTAAAATAAAGCTGGCTGCTGAACCAGCTCTGAAAGAGATGAGGTAAATTAGAATTGTGATAAGGTTCATGTACATAATGAAGACAATCTAAAACTTAATTGTGTAATTAAACTGGAGGTTCTGGTAACAAATAATTGTCTTTTAATGACCCCATAAATCTACTCTAATCTAATGTTATTCAATATTTCACCTGACTTTCTCTTAGGTTCTCTTGATTTTTTTCAGGAGAAACAAAAATACATTTGTAGTATTATTCTATATCATATTTCAAACTCATTAACAATAGTGGTTTTTTAAATAATTCAAAAAAGATTTTTTTGAAAATTTATCTAGAAAATTAATTTAAGCTTGTAAGAAAATTATGTTTTGCATATTTCCATGTGAAGTGCTTTATAAACATCAATTAATTAAGTTTTATAATATCACGCAAAGATACAGTAATCATGTTAGAAATAAGTACACCAATTCTTAGGAAGGTTCAGTGACTTATTCAAAACGATCTTCCCAGCCACTTATGAATTTTAAAAAGGCAGCATGTGCATCAGTCTCTCTCATATACAATGTATCTAGCTATGGTGCTCAGAAAAGACTTTGCTTCGCAGCTGGATGTTAACTGCAATGCCCAGAAATAGCGGTCCTGGAATCCTGAGAGGGTCACCCTGGGTTAGGTGGATGCCTGACTGACCGCTGGAGAAAAGCACCTACTCCAGCCAACTTCCCATCTGAAAACATCGCAAAAAGCACGCAGCACATCAGAGATGCGGTACAGATATAGCAAATGAAAGAAAACTTTTCTGGTTACAAAAAAACAGCACAAACCACATGAAAAATGATATAAGCAATAGCCTTCAGAAAGACCAAAACAGCCCCCACACAAAACCTTAATTCCTGTACGGGAGCCCCCGCTCCTCCAAGGAGGTTACATTCCGAGACCCTTAGGGAATGGCTGAAAGCATGGAGGTAAGGAACCCTATCTGTGCTCTATACGATGTTTCTTCCTACATACATGCATACCTGCAATAAAGTTTAACTTGTGAATTAGGTGCAGTAAGAGATTAGTAATAGAAATGAATAATAAAACAATTATTACTGTATACCAGCATCACTGCTCTTGCACTTCAGTAGCCCTTATGTGACATGACTACATCCGATAAGAGTGACTTGAATACAAGCACTGCAACGCTGTAAGAGTCAATCTGATCAAAGAGACCGTTGCTAAGTGACTACTGGGTGGTGTGCAGCCTGGATGCACTGACAGAGGGGTGATTCGCGCACTGACGGGTGATTCGCGCGCTGACAGGGGTGATTCGCGCACTGACAGAGGGGTCATTCGCGCACTGACAGAGGGGTGAATCGCGCACTGACAGGGGGTGATTCACGCACAGACAGCGGTTATTCACGCACTGACAGAGGGGTGATTCGCGCGCTGACAGGGTGTTATGCACTGACAGGGGTGATTCGCGCACTGACAGGGGTGATTCGCGTCCCGGGGGGATGCAGCAGGGTGGCACGAGATTCATCACAGTACTCAGAATGATGTGCAATTTAAAACTTAGGAATTATTCATTTATGGAATTTTTCACTTAATATCTTTGGACCACGTTTGACCACGGGTAACTGAAACCTCAGAAAGCAAAACAGAATTGAAAGGAGACTACTGTATGTCACACTTACATAAACAGGCTTTACATCTTCACTTGGGTTTTCTTTGCTCTTCGTTCTGACAAAAGAGAAAGAAGCATTGGTATTTCTTTTCTTGACTACCACTGCACTAGAAATGGCCATGAAGTCTGCAGGGAGGCCTACTACAGGAAGCAGCAAGAAAAACAGAATTGAGGCTTGTAAGATGCGTAAGGAATCTAAAATTTTTTTAAATAAAAGAACTTAGCAGATGGTCAGGTAACAACATACCTCACTAGCACCTCCTGTCCTCCATAAACAATAGCATGGTGCAGTAACTGACATGGTCAGGTAACAGCAGACCTCACTAGCACCTGGTGCCCTCCATAAACAGCAACCTGGTGCAGTAACTGATATGGTCAGATAACAACATACGTCATTAGCACCTCGTACCCTCCATAAACAGCAACCTGGTGCGGTAACTGACATGGTCAGGTAACAACACACCTCACTAACACCTTCTGCCCTCCATAAACAATATGTTGCATTAACTGACATGGCCAGTTACTTGATTGAGTTGTCCCAAAATGAGGTTACTTGTGTACTGTGATTAAGCAGGTGAAGTGCATGTTATACCGTGAAACTTATTCACCAAAAAGTAGTTCCAGATTTGCTTGGAACCGAAAGAGATGTCCCAGTTATAAGAAAATTTTACCGATTAACTGATGACATTTGATAAATGAAATAATCACCATTTTAGTAATGTGGTGAAGTTAATACTTGCCACGAAGTGTCAGAGAGAATGCTACTCATTGGAAAACCAGAAAAGCGTTATCTTCCCCGCCTTTCCAGAGAGGATGGAAACCCCACTGACATGGAGACCCTGGAGTGGGGCCGGACACTTCCGGTGGGATCTCCATGGAGCTTGTCTATGAGGCTGTGCCCCTGCTGCCCTCTGAGGAGCCACTGGGCTGTCTTCCCTCCTCCCCTGCATAGCCCTGCACAAAAACCTCCTGCAGGTGCCCAGCTTGCATGTCACCAGCTGCCTCTTCCCTGGCATCACGTGGAAAAGCCTGACTCCCTGCTATGGTTTGGATGTGGTTTATCCCAACCAAAACTCATGTTGAAATTCACAGGCTGACTTTGGAGATAGCATAGGTTTGGTTCTAGACCACTGCAATAAAGCAAATGTCACAATAAAGCAAAAAGTCTTACTAATTTTTTGGTTTCTGGGTGCATATAAAAATTGGGCTTACACTATACTGTAATCTATGAAGTATGCAAAGCATTATGTCTAAGAAGTAATATACACACCTTAATTTAAACATACTTTATTGTTAAAATAACCTAGTGGTCATCTGAGCCTTCAGTGAGTCTTCCTCTTTTAGCAGAGGGAGGACCTTGCCTGGATGTTGATGGCTGCTGACTGATGCGGATGGTGGCTGCTGAAGGTTGGAGCGGCTGTGGTAGTTTCTTAAGATAAGACAACAATGAAGTCTGCCTCATCGATTTACTCTTCTTTTCATGAAAACTTTCTCTGTAGCATGTGATGCTGTTTGATAGAATTTTATCCATGGTAGAACTTCTTTCAAAATTGAAGCTAATTCTCTCAAACCCTGCTGCTACTTTATCAGCTAACTTTATGGAATATTCTAAATGTTTTTTATCATTTCAGCAATATTAATACAATCTTTACCAGGAGTAGATTCCATCTCAAGAAACCACTTTCTTTGCTTATCCATAAGAGTAACTCCTCATCTGTTCTAAGTTTATCCTGAGATTGCAGCAATTCAATCATCTTCAGCCTTCACTTTTATTTTTGTCCTCTTGCTATTTCTATCAATTTGCAGTGACTTCCTCCACTGAAGTCTTGAATCCCTCAAAGTCATTCATGAGGTTTGGAATCAGCTTCTTCCAAACTCCTGCTAATGTTGATACTCTGATGTCCTCCCATGAGTCACAAATGTTTCTAATGAAATCTAGGGTGGTGAATCCTTTCCAGGTTTTCAGTTTACTTGCTCATCAGAGGGTTCACTATCTATGGCAGCTATAACCTTATGAGATGTATTTCTTAAATAATAAAACTCGACAGTCAAAATTAGTCCTTGACTTGTGACCTGTAGAGTGGATGTTGTATTATCAGGCATGAAAACAACATTAATCTTGGACATCTCCACAAGAGCTCCTGAGTGACCAATTGCATTGTCAATGAGTTGTAATATTTTGAAAGGAATCTTTTTTTCTGAGCAGTAGGTCTCAACAGTGGGCTTAAAATATTTACTAAACCATGCTGTCAACAGATGTGCTGTCATCCAGGCTTTGTGGTTTTATTTATAGAGCACAGGCAGAGTAGATTTAGCATCATTCTTTAGGGCCCTAGTCTTTTCAGAATGGTAAATGAAGCTTCACTTCAACTTAAAGTCTCCATATACATTGGACCCTAATAAGAGAGTCAGCCTGTCCTTTGGTGCTTTGAAGTCAGGCAATGACGTTTGTCCAGCTCAGAAATTCCTAGATGGCATCTTCTTCCAATAGAATGCTGTTTCGTCTACATGGAAAATCTATTGTTTAGTGTAGCCTCCTTTATCAGTGTTGTTAGCTGGATCTTCTGGAGAACTTGCTGCAGCTTCTTGATCAGCACTTGCTGCTTCACTTTGCACTTCAGTGTTTTGGAGACAGATTCTTTCCTTAAACTTCATGAACCCACCTCTGCTAGCTTCCAGTTTTTCTTCTGCAGCTTCCTCCCTTCTCTAAGCCTTCATAGAATTGAAGAGAGCTAGGGCCTTGTTCTGGATTAGGCTTTGGCTTAAAGGAGTATTGTGGCTGGTTTGTTCTTATTCAGCACGTTGATCTTGTTCAGAACTTTCTTCGTAGCAGCAGTATGGCTGTTTTGCTTTCTTATTATTCATGAGTTCACTGGAGTAGCACTTTTAATTTCCTTCAAGAGCTTTTCCTTTACATTCACAATTTGGCTATTTGGCACAAGAAGGTTTTGACCTGTCCTGGCTTTTGACATGTGTTCCTCACAAAGCTTAATCATTTCTAGCTTTTGATTTAAAGTGAGAGACATGTGACTCTTCCTTTCATTTGAACACTTCAAGGCCATTCCAGGGTTGTTAACTGGCCTAATATCAATACTGTTATGTCTCGTGGAATGAGGAGGCCCAGGGAGAGGAAGAGAGATGAGAAAACGACTGGTCAGTGGAGCAATCAGAACACACATAGCAGTGACTGATTAAGTTTGTCATGTTATATGAGCAACACTGGTGGTGCCTGAAACCAATTACAACAGTAACAACAAAAACTGAACACATATCACGGTGACAGATATAGTGATAATGAAAACATTGGAAATACTGCAAGAATTCCCACAATGTGACAGAGACATGGAGACATGACAGAGCACAGACTGCTGGAAAAATGGCAGTGATAGATTTGCTTACTGCAGGGTTTCCTTAAATCTTCAATTAAAAATAAATAATAAAAAGAGTATCTTCAGAGCTTAACAAAGCAAAGCACAATAAAACAAGCTGAGTCTGTAGTTGCCGAGGTAAGGATGTTGGGAGGTGGAGCCTTTAAGAGGTGGGGACTAATGCAGGGCATTTGGGTCATGATGGCTCCGCCCTGGTGGGTGGCTTGCTGCCATTCTCTAGGTAGTGAGAGAGTTCTCCCTCTCTGGAGACTGGATGAGATTTTTCAGGAATGAATTAGTTTTTACAAGGATAGGCTGTCGTAAAGCCAGGACACACTTCATATTTGGCCCCTTTGCACATGTCGGCTTCCTCTTTGATCTACTGCATGTTAGGACTCAGCAGGAAAGCTCTGGTCAGAAGCCAGTGCCATGCACTTGAACTTCCCAGCCTGCAGAACTATGAGCTAAATAAGCCCTTTTTCCTTTATAAATTACCTAGCCTCAGCTATTCTGTTACAGCAACACTAAATAAACTAAGACTCTCCCACTGAGCCTTTGTGCAGGGGCCCAGCAGCCAGGCCGATTCCCCTTCCATCTACCTTGGCACACATTACCACACCAGTGACAAATGTGAATGTGCAATGGTCATGCTCCTACAACAAAATCCAGGCAGAAACGTCCTGATCGAGGGCAGAATGGTGAGTTCTTAGAACAAAATCCAGGGCAGAATCATCCTGATCGAGGGCAGAATGGTGAGTTCTTAGAACAAAATCCAGGGCAGAATCATCCTGATCGAGGGTGGAAGGGTAAGTTCTTAGGTGTGACACCAAAAACACAATCCGTGAAAGAAAAACTCAATGAAGTGGACCTCATTAAAATTAAACTATTGCTCTGGAAATTAGACAGAATGTACTCTTGTTGCTTGGAGAGTGTTCCACATCATTGCATATGCCAATAATTCATTCTTTCTGTTGATGAATTCCACTCCTTTATATAGATACACACACATTTTTGATAGATTCCTACATCAGTGACCATTTGGGCTGTTTTTAGTTATTGTTGTTTACAAATGAAGCTGTTATGAGCATTTTTGCATACACCAGGGTAACGAGAAAGTTTCTGGATCTTGTGGCGAATTTGTCTTTACATTTAAGACACTGTCAAGCTGGGTGTGCCATTTTCCACAGCCACCAACAGTGAATGAGAGTTCCAGTTCCTTCACCAACACTTGGCATCATCAGTCTTTTAAAATTTACTCATTCTAATATGTGTGCTGTGAGATTTCACTGTTTTAATTTGCACTTCCCTACATGCTAATGATTTGGAGCATATTTCAACCTACCTATTTCCCATCTAGAAATCTTTTTTGAAGTGTTTATTCAAGCCTTTTCCCAAATTTCTTATTGTTTTTCTAATCATTGAGCTTTGAGATCTTTTTATGCATTACATATAGAAGTCCTTTGCCAGTTATATGCCTTGCAAATATTTTCTCCCAGTTTTCATATCTTCTCTTCATTATATTAGCAGTGTTTTTCAAATAATAGTTGCTTTTAATTGCAAGTCTAAATTATCAATTTTTTTTCATGGTTTGTGCTTCTGGTTTTGTATCTGAGAAATATTTGCATAACCAGAGGTCACAAAGACTTTATGCTGTTTATTCTTCTAAAAGTTTTATAGTTTTGTACTTATATTTCATTCTATATTCATTTTGAGTTTATACTTATATATATATATATAATATTTATGTATATAATGAGTCAAAGTTCTTTTTTTCGTATATAGGCATCCAATTATCCCAGCATAATTTGTCCAGAAGGCTTTCCTTTCTCCACTGAATTGCCTTTGCACATCTGCCATACACAGAATCTCTTTTTGGCTGTGCTTGTCTTGATAGTACGGTAGGAGTGGTAAAGGCATTAATGAATCACAGAGCCACCTTGATTTGCTTAAAATTCTGTTGCACCTGATATCAAGCAACTACTAATACCAGAATATTAACCTGTGTGTGAACAAGAATAGTCTTTGGGGAGTCTTTATAAACAAAAAGGAGAAATTATCAGAAAAATTTCTGAAACTTGGAAACAGGCAGAAGAGATTGGTGTTCTGTGAGAGCAGCTCAGACCAGAGAGCAAACCTAAGTCCAGAAATGGAGCAGGAGGGAAAGACGGGCCCATTAGGGAGAATGCTCCTACCAAGGGAGCTGTGTGGAAGGATGACAGCTTGGTTTGCCTCAGTGAGGTCCCGTTCCCCGAGGCGGGCAGGCAGGGGCGTGCTCGTCAGGACTTGGCAGTGGAAAATCCACGGAGCACCGTGCGTGACCGGCTCCTCTAACAGGAGACCCACTGCGCGGTGATGGTGATGGTGCGCATCCGTATAGCACACACAGACCTAGGAAAATTTCATAAACGTGATCTCGTGAAACTGTCTTGCAAAGGAGAAAGCTGAATTTGATGAGAATGCTTTTTGTTCAGGCACCGCAGGAGACACTGTTGTCCTCCAGTTCTGCACCTTCTCCGTGGGATGTCCTTTCTACACCTCTTCCCTGGGATGCCCTTTCTGCACCCGCTCCCTGGGGTGTCCTTTCTGCACCCGCTCCCTGGGGTGTCCTTTCTGCACCCGCTCCCTGGGGTGTCCTTTCTGCACCCGCTCCCTGGGGTGTCCTTTCTGCACCCGCTCCCTGGGGTGTCCTTTCTACACCCGCTCCCTGGGATGTCCTTTCTACACTTTTTCCCTGGGGTGTCCTTTCTACACCTGTTCCCTGGGGTGTCCTTTCTACACCTGCTCCCTGGGATATCCTTTCTACACCTGTTCCCTGGGGTGTCCTTTCTGTACCTGTTTCCTGGGATGTCCTTTCTACACCTGCTCCTGGGATGTCCTAACAGAATCCTTTTTTTTTTTTTTTTTTTTTTACCAGTACCAGTCTGTGGCCTGTTAGGAACTGGGCCTCACAGCAGGAGCTGGGTTAGTGAGCATTACCACCTGACCTCTGCCTCCTGTCAGATGAGCAGAAGTATTAGATTCTCACAGGAGCGGGAACCCTATTGTGAACTGCACCTGTGAGGGATCTCGGTGGCACACTCCTTATGAGAACCTAATGCCTGAGGATCTTTCACTGTCTCCCATCCCCCCAGATGGGACCGTCTAGTTGCAGGAACACAAACTCAGGGACCTCACTGATTCTGCATTATGGCGGGTTGTATAATTATTTCATTACAGATTGCAATGTAATAATAATAGAAATAAAGTGCACAATAAATGTAATGTGCTTGAATCATCCCCAAACCATCCCCCTGGCCCTGTCCGTGGAAAAACTGTCATTCACAAAACCGGTCCCTGGCACCATAAAGGTTGGGACCGTTGCTGACTTCATTTCCAGTCCCCAGGGTGGATGTTGGTTCACAGAAGCCAATCATCCAATAGCGTTCCCTTGACGAGAAGCCAATCAGCCAATGGTGTTTCCTTGACGAGAAGCCAATCAGCCAATGGCATTCCCTTGATGAGAAGCCAATTAGCCAATGGTGTTCCCTTGATGAGAAGCCAATCAGCCAATGGCATTCCCTAGACGAGTACTTTGGTCTGATGGGCTCATGACCTAGGCTGGCACAGCTAGGCTGAAGGGGACATCCTCAATGGGTTATGGAGGCCATTTTCTGCCTCCCCTGAACACCGACATGAATGCTTGTTGCTTCCACAAGCATCTTATGACTGGGAGGGGAGCCACACCGAGGCACAATCTAGACCTCAAAACTCAGCAAGGTGGAGTATGGAAACCTTGTTATGGAAAATAATAGCAACAATAGGTATTGTTTATTGTTGGGTGAGTCAAGAACTTTCTCTTACTTGTAGCCAAAGGCATCCTATCTGATAGATATTTTATACTTTGTGTTTTTGTGTTGCTATTAGGAAAGATATACATTTTTAATTTTAAATTCTAACAGGACATTGCAATGTCCTGTTAGAATTTAAATAAATTGACATACAAATTTAGATAAATTGACATGAAAATGTACAAAAGTCTTGTAAATTGCAGAACAACATGCATATGTGATGACTTTTCAATAAAAAGGAAAAAATATACTTGAGTATGTGTAAAAACAGTTTGAAGATTATATAACATAATATTGGCATTTGTACCTCAGCTTGGGAGGCAGGGATGGAGAGGCTGGAACATGGAAGGTCTGTTATTCTCTTATGCATGTGTGTGACACTGAATTCTGGATAACTTGGAACGATATTTGTAATGTAGATATTATTTAAGAGAGTAATAATGTTGATAAGGCAGTCAAGGACTTGCATGAAGCTACTATCCTGATGATGGAGAACTTTTCTGTAAAATGTACTGACCTCACATAGGTGCATTCAGAAACGACTGTGAAGGAATGTCATCAGTTTAGATCCAGAGCCTGTGAAGGATGCAGGGCTTTCCTTTCAGAAATCCTTTTAGAGAAGGAATGAACACGCTAATCACTGCTGGAAAAGTGTTACAATTAGTAAAGAAAAATCAGTGCTATCAACACTATACACATGTAATTATTCTGGAGATTTAAAATTGCAAGTCGGGTTGGAATACGATCAAAGTCAGGAAATAGTAGAAAAAACTAGCAAAACAAGCAAAACAGAGACAGAAGGTGGAGAAAAGAAATCCAGCAGTGCTACTGAATCAAGAAGAACACATTTACGGAGAGTTTGAAGTATGCCGGGGACTGTTCTAGGCACCTTCTCACTATTTTGTTTCTGTCACATGTGAGGCTGAATGTTTCAGCAGAAAGAACGTGACTCTCAAGACAGCAATTCTTGAAATCTTGCGTAGATCCTGCCATTGTGGTTTAGTCTCTAGGTGACTGTGGAGAAGTAACATAGCCCTTCTGAACTTTCATTTACCATTTGTAAAATAAAAGGGAAAAGAAAAGAACAACTGCATCTTAGATGTATTAAAAAAGTTAAATGATGTACGTGCAATGCATCCAGCCTAGTATAGAGTATTAGGCGTTTGACTTAATTCATTTACAGATATTACTAAATGTAATATAATTTTATAAGTACTCCATGATGAGTTATAATAATTTACAGTTTATGTAATGGAGTTTTGGAGAAGTATTTTCTCTAATTCATGAAGAGGGAGTGAGTCCATCTAATTTTGAAATGCTTTGTCCCTCCCAGGACACCATGGGCAGATCTGATAGGAGTCAGGTCACTACCTGGGGTGGAGCTCAGGAAATGCCTGCAGGGTGGGTTCCTGAAACACAGGTCCTGAGTGAGGCGTAAATTGGGAATTCAATGCCCTGAGAGGTCTTGCATGACCTTGCCACCCTGCACAAGGAAGCATCCACCCGGGGCTTCTTTGAGGGCATCCACTTTGCTGAGTTGTGAAGATCCGGCAAGTCAGTCATGGGCAGCATGGCACGGCCCCAGAAGTTCTTCCCAACAGTGGTCATCACGGCCCCCACAGCCCCACTCTACCCAGTCCTGCAGAAACGTGGATGGATGCCCACACCCACTTACAGTCTCTGCAGGTGTGCCGGCTTGTTAACACCCTCATTGCCTCCATTCCCCACGAAAGGTCTTCATTATCTCAATCCTGGATTATTGAAAATGTTTCCTCTAAAATTCACCTGGGCACATTGCTGCCTGCTGAGTCCTAGCCTGAATCTTAGATCTTTCATTCTGCCAAATGGAGCATTAGCCTAATTTTTCAATGCTTCCCACTGGGAATGCCTTCTCTTCTCCACCTGTGCAAGACACCAACGATTTTTAAAAGAGACTAACCACTTCCTCTAGGAAAGATGTCCTGACCATTAAAGTCCAACCCCAGCTCTGACCCCACTCCCACCCTACCCTATACCTTTTTTTTTGAGACAGGGTCTCACTCTGTGGCCCAGGCTGGAGTGCAGTGGTGCCATCATAGCTCACTGCAGCCTCAAACTCTTGGACCTAAGAGATCCTCCCCACTCAGCCTTCTGAGTAGCTGGAACTACAGGCATCAGCTACCATGCCTGGCTAATATTTTATTATTATTTTTTGCAGAGATGGGGCTTCTAGGTTTCTTGGGCTTGGTTGCCTGGGCTGGTCTCTAATTCTGAGGCTCAAGGGATCCTCTTTTCTTAGCCTCCAGAAGGGCTAGGATTACAGGCATGAACCACCGTGCGCAGACTTCACCCCCTTTAGTGGAATAAGGACAGTACGAAACATAAGGAAGGACTATTCATAAAGAAATTCTATTTTTTAGGAATCCTAAATAAACTTTCACCCTCTAGAATGCTTCAGACATTCATTTCACTACATCTGGGTACTAGATGAAATTACTAACCTTTCACCCTCCCTCCAACACTGTAATTCTATGATTGCTCTTATTCAGGATATCTTCTCCTGTAACCTGTCACCTTCCCATAGATGAGTCTGAATGGCCACCGGGACTCTGCTCAGCCAGGCATGGGCCCTGGGGCACTAGAGGGTGTGGGGCAGCCCTGCACACACACGCGAATGGAGAATTCTCTCTACTTCTCCGGTATTTATGTTGAAAGCAAAATGATTACTGCTATCATCTAAAGAAAACAAGCAGAAAGGTCACCTTGTCCCAGAAACGCTCTTTCACTTTGCCTTTTAACGACTTGAACCTTTAGTGCTGATGGTTTCTAAGTGGCTAAATGCCACTATACATTTGAGTAAGTCCCTGAGATGAAGGATCCTATGTTTAGTAATTTTCTTTCCAGCATGTAATGTTCTATAATGGTTAATGAATTGGATGCTTCAAATATAAAGGTTACTTTAAGCATCAGGAATCAACCATAATTCCAATTTAGGGTGCCCAATTTGAGGGGAAAATCACAGCAGCCTGGGATAAATGAGAATAAACATTGGCATCAGTTTCTATGAAGATCTGGGTGTGACTTCATTCTGTGGACTAAGAGATCTCAGTGTGCATTAGTTACAGGGAAGCTTCGTGCTCTGTGATGGCATGCCAAGGAGCCTGGATACATTTTGACAACGTGAATGAAAGATAAATAACACAGAATAGTTTCACATTCAAGGTATATATGTATATTTAAATGAAGTAGCCATCTTTAGTTACTAAGTTCACACTCAGCATTCTCCGCGCTCAGCCAGGCGGGAGCCCTGGACTTTGGTGTGAAGTCAGAGCTCCTCTGGGATGCGCTGCCTCATTTATCTCCTGTCACTCTTCATTCCTGCAGCACACATCCTCCCTGAAGGATCATCCCGCTATTTAGGATAAGGAGGATTATAATGCATTCTTCCTCATCCCTTCACATGGTATACATTCAAATTTGTGAGTGATGTATTTGCTGTTGTCAGGAAGAGAAAAGCAATTCAGACACACAAGCTGTTTTATATTCTCCTTCGGACCATCAAGTTTGAGAGGAAGAACCATTAAAGTGCCTTAAAATATTACAAACATCCAAGTAACTGCACGACACATTATACTCATTTGTAAGCTAGGTGTTCTGTCTCCCGGAGCACAGGCTAGAAGTGTCATCACTTCTCAGGAACTTGAGCGCCACATCGGTGGAGTCCCTTCCTGGAAAGCGATGCAGCCCGTTCCTCACATTCAATGTAGACACAGACACAAAATCCTCTCCTCCCCTTCCCTTCCACTACAGCTCATATTTATCCACGGAGCGCATGACTCCGTGCGAACGATCATTTCCACACAGTAGCTCCGGTGAAAGATTCTCACCTTCTGAAGATTCCTCTTTTCCCCCGATAAACTGCTACATATTCCCCAATGCTATGTCTCAGACACCCGAGCAGGTGTAGGTGAGAAGAGTGTGAGTTGTTCACTTACCCCGGTTCTCTGAACTTCCATGAACGTGGCTCTTTGGAAGGACTTCTCCCACATGGCCAGCTCGCTGCCAAGCTCCACGTTGAAAACATGGCTCTTCCCATGGCCGGCCACGATGCTGAAGCAATAGGGCCTCTGGTCCTCAAAGTCAAAATCTTGAAGACCCAGATACAAGTTTGCTTGCAACCAGCAGTCCTCTGTGAGCCAGAACTGAAAAACAGAGCATGGATTGGAAACGTGCAGCGCTGGAAGGTCATTCCCATGCTGAGGGCCCTGGTGTGGGGAGAAGGCAGCGTTTGCGTGATCTGGGAAACGGTCTCCTGGGTGCAGACAAGGAGGCAAATTCAGAGCAATGAGCCCTCTCATGCACAGCTGGTGCGGAAGTGGTCCACAGACAAATATCTGTAAATAAATTTTGTCAAATGCTTAATTCTCTGTAAGTGCCTTTCCCTTAAAATACTGGTCACCACACACTTTCCTGTTTTACGGTGAAGAGAAAGATGAAGCTGGGTGTGGTGGCTCACGCCTGTAATCCCAGCACTTTGGGAGACTAAGGTGGGTGGATTGCTTGAGCCCAGGAGTCTGAGACCAGCCTGGGCAACATGGCAAGACCTTGTCTTCACAAAAATAAATGAATAAATAAAATACAACAAATTAGCCAGGTGTGGCAGCACACGCTTGTAGTTCTAGCTATTTGGGAGGCTGAGGTAGTAGAACGGCTTGAGCCCAGAAGCCCGAGGTTACAGAAAGCCAAGATCACACCACCAATGCACTCCAGCCTGGGTGACAGAGGGAAACCCTGTCTCAAGAAAAAAAAAAAAAAGATAAAGATGAAAGTCTTGAGACATTGATGCTTGTGTTTATCATAAAACCAGAAAACACTGAAAATACCACCACCACTCTAACTAAGCGTGCCCCCTGCGCCTCCGAGTCTCTATAGAATTACTGGCTCTTCCTCTCCTTGCGGGTTCATTGTCCTGAGATAAAGGACCGAGTGCCCAAAACGCCTCTGAAGCATGACAAGGCACCCGGCCACCCAGGAGCTCATTCTGCCAACCCAAAGGCCTGACAAAGGGAATGATGTAATGATGTTGTTCCATTTCTGGTTAATCGTTTAACCCAGAGATGTAAGTTACTTACAGCACGTCTATTAATCACTCGGCGATTCGGATGCTGCCAGCCTGTGCTGCATGGAGCAGCCTGGGGAGCTCCCCACTTCTTTCCCCCATCTGCAAGGTTGCACCCCACTTCGGGATTCATTTTATCAAGGGCAGAAGAGAAAGACTGGGGGTCCCAGTTGTCACAATTACTAGGTCAACAGCATGGAGGTGCATGGTGAACGCGCACTCAATACCTGGCTGGCACCTCTCTGTCTCTGTCTGTCTCTCTCTCTCTCTCTGTCTCCATTTCTATGTCTCTGTCTCTCTTTGTGTCTCTTTCTCTCTCTCCATTTCTGTCATTCTGTTTCTCTATTTTATGTCTGTTTCTCTGTCTCTCTCTATCCTTCTCTCTGTCTCTGTCTGTCTCTCTCTGGACCCACCTCAGTTCTCAGCTCACCCATTCATTTACTGGTCCACAGATCCACCCTGAAGAGCCCCCACCAGACACCTTCCTGGGACGCTGCACCCCAACATCAATTTTGCTGCACCAGTCTCTCCCCAGTGAAGGGAAACAAGGGGAGACACCTGGGCTGGGGTTTCCAAAGTCCTGAATGAGAATGTGGTGTTCACCCACAGCCCTGCATATGGCAGCAGAAAGGAAGGGGAGCTGCCCACCTGCTGGGTCTTCCCATCATGATTCTGAGATATCTCCATTCACTTGTGCCAACCAGCCAAGCTGGACAGTCCCCACTCACACTTACGCTCAAGGTCCAGTCCCAAAATCCACATGAACTCAGCAGTTGGCCAAATAGTTTTACTTGAAATATGCTGACACATGCACTCTAGGCACAGGTTTGAGGTAAAAGCTACGACTGGTGTGTCTCAGGTGGGCCTTCTGGACTCTCCGGGGGGATGCCCTGGCTCTCCTGGCCCCGCAGATGGCTCTGCAGGATGACCCTCTGATCATGGAGAGCATTGCACATTTATCCCTGTGCATCATCCAGACATCAAATGCCTTGTGGTGTGTGCACGTGAGAACATGTGTGTGTGTATGTGTGCACATGAGAATGTGTGTGCACACATGAACATGTGTATGTGTGGAAATGTATGTGAACATGAATGTGTGTGTACGTGAATGTGTGTAGTGTGCATACGTTGCTAACCCTAAATGAGCCTTGAGTACAGAAACTGCACTTTAATTCTGGGGCCCTCTGGATCGTCTCCTTCAGCTGGGATACCTGGAACCTATAGGGTTACACGTCACAAACCAAGAACAACATGTTCATCATTGACCTTATGGTGCAGAAAGTATCTCTTTATCCACTGAACTTAAATGTCAAAACTGATAAAGAAAAACTTTTGGAAGATATTTATGTGGGAACGCACATCCCCCATTGAATGGCTCATTATAGTTGGGCCTTGAACAACCCAGGGGTTAGGGGCGCCAACTCTCACGCAGTTGAAGATTCATGCATAACTTTTGACTCCCCTAAAACTTAACTACTAGTAGTCTATTGTTGATCAGAAGCTTTACTAATAACATGAACAGTCAATTAACACATATTCTGTATGTTATACGTATAATATACTACATTCTTAGAATAGAATAAGTGAATTCAGGCACAGTGGCTTACACCTGTAATCACAACTAATTGGGAGGCTGAGGCAGGGGCATCACTGGAGCCCAGGAATTTAAGACCAGCCTGGATGACACAGCAAGATCCTATCTCTAAATAAATAAATGAATTAAGAAAGTAAGCTAGAGAATAGAGAATGTTATTGAGAAAATCACAGGGAAGAGAAGATATACTTAGAGCACTGCACTGTATTTATTGACACCATAAGTTTACATCATCTGTTTATGAGATGAATGGTCTGAAATGGTGGCAACCACGCTGCAGACCTCAATCTGTGGTGCACAGCAAACAATTCAGCTTTTTGGCAATGCTGTGATATTCCCGCTTCTTGGGGCACTTGCAACATCCCTTGTGGCACTTCGTGTGGGTCCCGGGGTGTTATTCAAGGTTTACGTTACTGGACTCAACACGAAGGAGGGAAGGTACACAAGAACTCTGAGAGATCACTCGTTACCATGCTCTGCAATTTACTGGAGAGAGAAATTGCTTCCACAGGGATGATTAAGACATTTTACTCAGAAACCCATGTCACACTATGTGCTCCAGTTAACCATGGGCAGGAATGATTGAACGCTGCATCTTTACCTTTGTCTATATTCCTCTCCACTGCAGATGGTGCCAAATTGATTGATTTATATTTTACAGGAGTAAATGATGAAATAGACTAGTATCTACATATATTGTATGAATTCACGACATCTCTAACTTTTTCTTAATGTTTTGATATTTTTAAGCTACACAGTTTGTCTTAAGAGGTTTTTACAATTGTTAAATTGTTTTCAAAAAATTTTCCAACATACTTATAGAAAACAATTGGCATACAAATGAGCCCACGCAGTTCAAGCCCATATTGTTCAAAGGTCAATTGTGTTTCTTTCCTATCACTTGCTATATTTGGGCAGCTGTGTATTATAATAGAAGAACACCAGGTTTTGGAGTCAGATAAAATTTGAGGCCTTTCTTTGCCCAGTATTAGCTGTTTGATCTTGAGCAATTCACTCTCTCAGAGCCTCCACTTTTGAGCTGTGAAATGGAATCGTGATAAAAATGTTGTCATAACTTCACATGACAGAGTGGCCAGCATGCAGGGCTCACATCCCGGATTCACATGAGTTCACTACGTGCTTTCATAAAGACACACGTCCTAAGGCAATGCTGAGCCAGGCCGTACATGTCGATTTGATGTCTGCTTTGCAGCTACCTGGCTTCCTGGCAGGGTCAGCTCTGGCAATATCCAGAACAGCATTTCCAGCCACCCCCACGACTGAAGAAAGCCCACCCCCCACCTAGGACTGCAAGACATCATCTTATTATGTTCCCTTTCCTGAAAAAAACAAAAAGGGTTGTATTCTAAAATTACATATTTTTTCTATTTATATTTATTATGAAACAATTATAGCAACAATAAAGGGAATTTAAAAGATAAACTTATTACTATGTTTTGTCATCTGATTTTTAAAAATATGTCAATAATTATTAATATAACCTTAATAATAGGACAATAATTAATATTCTCTTTCATGCAATGTGAATTTGTACATATAACTGTATAAATTTATAGTAGAATTACTTAAAATATGTTGTAAGATTTTAAAATATTTCTCAATGGTCTTTTGATTATTCTTCAAATATCATTAATTTAAGGAATATCCTTAAACATTCTCATACATATAGCTCTTTGATTCCTCTGAACTCAGTGTTGTAATGGACTCTTCTTTAGATTCAATTCTGAGGAGTGAGACTGCTTGATCAAGCAAGGGATTGTTTTTCCACTGTTTAGCCTCACAAAGAATGTGTTGTAAGTTCTACAAAAGGAAAATTAATTATTCATATATAGCTCATTTCCCCAGATAGTTCCTGTAGCTCCTTTAAAAACAATCACTCAGACCTTGTGGATCGCAGTGTGTTGATACGACTGGAAACCCTGAGCACTGAAGTTCAAGGTCAGCGGCTTGCCGTCAACAGTCAGTCAGCGGCTGGCTAGGCCATCGGGTTTCCTCGTCTGGACCGAGCCTTCGGGTTTCGTCGTCTGGACCGAGCCTTCCGGTTACCTCGTCTGCACGGAGCCTTCGGGTTGCCTCGTCTGCACGGAGCCTTCCGGTTGCCTCGTCTGGACGGAGCCTTCCGGTTGCCTCGTCTGGACGGAGCCTTCCGGTTGCCTCGTCTGGACTGAGCCTTCCGGTTACTACGTCTGGACTGAGCCTTTGGGTTTCCTCGTCTGGACTGAGCCTTTGGGTTTCCTCGTCTGGACTGAGACTTGACCCGGCTTCTTCCCACCTCTGGGACCTGGAACTCCCTATCTTTAGAGCATTTGCTTTAGAAAATGTATTATTGTATGTTCTTTCTCTGCCATTTGATACCTGAATCTTTCTAGAAGTCTCTTGCTGGCTGTACAACCCAGGACTGTCTTTCTCAAGGAGCTGGGAGCTGTCCCTTCAAAATGTGATCACTGGCAAGATGGCGTCATCTCCTGTCCCTGTGGAAGGATGGAGCCCAGCCTTGGTGGGTGCTTGGCTCTAAGCTGTGCAACCACCTCCTGTCATGAAGATGGGGGAAGCTCTCTGTTTCTTTGCAGGAGGCCAATTAACAGACAATGATGGCCCTAATCTCCTTCCCATCCCAACTTGTAGAAACCCTCTCATCCTTTGTTTCAGTGGAGTTGAATCTCTGAATCTCTCTCTCTCTCCTATCATAATAGACTTGAATAAGGTCTTCTTGCCTTCTTCGCCTTTAACTCTGGTGCAGTTTTGTCCTGACATGGCTTTAGGAAAATCATTTAGGAATTCTTCCTCTCAGTGTTGATATTATCCAAACAGGACTACCCCGAAGATCCGTGGAGAACACGTTCTAGAACTCTTAACGGCCACTCGCGACAGGCTCCCGGAACACCACTGCTTCTAGCACGTGGAATAGAGCGGGATTCGGGATGAGCTTTGCAGCCACGTGAGTCTGGGCCCCATCCCTGTCTCTGCTTGGCTTCTGGAAAGTCCTCGTCCACTTCCCTGCTTCTGAGTTCTTAGCTACAAAACAGAGTGCTCCTTAGGTGGGGAGAGAATTAACTCAAGGACATAGCTAAGTGCTTAGCAAGGTTCCTAGGGAAGTACTCAATAAAGACAGCTATCATTACTAAGATCTTCTGCCAAACATATGAGAATATTGACTTTTCCTGAAAATTTAATGGGGTATCTTTAGGTTGAGAGGATGGACCCGTGGATTTCACACAGGACGCTCCATAGTGTCCAGAGTGCTTTTCTGCCATGCTGCACGAAAGCTGTTTATCATTTCTCTCACGACTGCAATCAAGGCTGATTGGTGCAATTTTCTCATCTATTTCGTGATGAGTGTTGAAATACAGAACACATAATTTTAAGAGTTGGGAAAAGTAATTTTTAGAAGGTATCAGAGAAAAAACAAAATCACAACTTCAGAATTTGATTTCTGGTCTAAATATTAATGAGTGTACTTTGAAATGGTAATTATGGATATTTAAAGAATCTATATGAAAAAGTATTAGTTCTTATGATACTCACATATTTATTTACATTTCTGAAAATGAACTGAATGCATTTACTTTTAAATTTATGTATGCTAAATGATAAACATCAGCAATTAAATGCGTGTAAAAGCAGTCAATATGATTTTGTAAGATCACTATTTTAAGACTTCCAAATAGGACATTCAACTCATATAATTTAATCTCTTTTTTAAAAATATTGAATGCCATAGATTTATTATTATTTACCCCATTTTTTAGTTTAATACCTTTGCCATAGCCATTCTACTGGCTAATTTCATGATTTCATAAATACTTCATATAATATTTACTGACTAAAATTTTTTTATAATCTTCCTGGGAAAATGAGATGGCTCTATAGCTTACTAATGAACCACATATGTAAGATACAATAATCTCTCAAAGACACCCCAGTACCTAAAGAACATCTCAGGTGCACGGAAGGAGAATCCTCTGAAACAAGAGGGGGGAGAAGCGAAAATGTGTTGATGAGGAGCCCATGCGAAGGAAACAAAAAGGCCAAGAATTCTTCTACGAATTCTTCTGTGGAAATGTGATGGATGAAATGACCTGCATATCATCTACGACCAAGAGGCTCATGTTAACATAAGGCTTCCTTTTTGCCATTTTCAAAATAATGCATTCCTGTCACAGATAATTTCGAAAACAGAATAATTTTTAAAATGAAAGCAACAATAACTAGAAAAGCCATCACTGAGAGAAAACCACAGTTAATGTTTTATTCTATTTTCCTCCATTTTTTAATGAATATGCCTAGCACAGAAATGTTCACTTTCTGATCAATGATTGTTTATTACAACCTGTAATTAGGAGTCTTAATTTAAATACATCCGGCCTTTTCCTTCATCTCCTTCATTACCATATTCAACAAAAGTAGGAACAATGCAGAAAAATGTTGCCCAAATAAATTTTTCAAAAATGGGAAATAAATGTATTTATCATTTGATAATATTATTATGGAAATGTATTTCCCTTGTACATGTTTCCATTAAAGGCAGTCTGAAATTCCAGATTTAAATTTAAAATAAAGCAACTACAGATAGAGAATATTATTTTTGAGGATATTTTCAATTTAAGAAAACAAACCAAACTTTGAAAGACAAATCTTTATTCAAAACTTCTAACTTTAGACTGATAACTCTTTACAGTCAAATTCTCAGACTAAAAGGTACGTACATTTAAACTTTCACTTAATATTCCTATTTGTCTCTGTTTTGTGTACTCCTACATGAAAAAGACACAGGTGGTTTGTTTACATGATGCACTGAGTCACATACTAGGACACGGTGGCACCCGGCCACGGTGAGCGCATCGTCGCCTTGCTGTGGAGACACCTCTGCAGTCAGGTGGGCGGGGGCCTGGGCTAGGGCCCTGCTGCACCTCCAGGCTCCGGGCAGCCCCACCAGTGAGGTGTGTCCCCTGGAGGAAGGCTCAGTCCTTACCTACCCTAGGAACCATGAGCAGCAAACTGGCCAGACCCTGGGGCAAATTTGTATCTGATTTGTTGAAAACAATTTCAATAACAGCAGCAGCAGTAACAAAATCTAAAGTTCTTGGAATAAATGATTGTAAGTGGATGTCATAAAACACATCTCTCCCGTAAAACACACACAAACACCACATACCACATAAACACAGACACACCCTGTCATCCATTCATCCTGCCTTGATAAGCAACAGGGTGACAGCTAGAACCCATGTACCAGGTAGGGCAGGAGAATGGGTCCAGATCGTCACATTATTTTACTATTTCAAATTTTACTATTTCAATGGACCACGCAGAACAAACAATCCTCTCATTCTGCAAGCCCAAAGGGCATCTTATTTGTATGAAAGCATCTGAAGTGCAAAAGATACCTACCTTGTGAACTTTAAATAGCACCTCACAGAGGTGATAGGTCCTTTCTGCTCGCACCCAATCGAATGTGCTCACCTGCAAGAAACAGAGAACGTTCCATGAAAAGCAGCATGCTACTTTTAGTTGAAAAATTTAAAAATTTACAATAGTGTGACTGCATGTGTGTCCACCTCAATTAAATCCTAAGCCCCATTAGTATAAATTGGTAACATTAAACTTTACGTACTGCTGTGAGTTTTGATGAGTTGCCACATCCTCATCTTTGTCAGTTTGTGGCAAATATAATAGATCCTTTACCGACAGGAAAACGTCTATCTCCTTTATCTTATCTTAGATAGATAAGATTGATATCTATGATATCTTGTCTATCACATGCAATTGGGCATAATTTTAGAAAACCATTTTGGATTCCTTTTAGATTAAATTAGGGATTAATTTTGGGTAACATTTAATGCATGTGAAAGTGAATGAGTTTATATATTTACTGGAGTACAAAAATGGACAGAAAATATTGTGTAGACAGTCTTTTGCTTTTTAGAACTAAACTTAGTTCTGTTTCAGAAATGAATGAAAAATCTACTAACCAATTTAATTGAATACATTTTTCGTTGGTCTGAGCTGTTGTAGTTCACAACTATTTTAACAATAATAATGGCCAAACTAATCTCACTGTCGAATAATGCTGTATGTTTCACAATTCAAGCTCAGATATTTAATCTCTAAGTTAAAATATTTCATGCAGAAAAATCTAAAATATTCAACAATGTAACAAATTTGATGTTTTTTATTGTTGACCCTGCACTTTTTCCTTCAGCCAGTAAAAATAATCCAAAGTGCACGGAATTATGTCTTTGAAACACTGAAATTATCTTGGCTTTAATTAATTGGGGACCTTCTGGTAATCCTTGCAGCAAACAAAATTTTCAAGACATTTTTCAAGTCATCACAACTGAAATGTGGAAAGTTACACAAATAGTTTTGCTATTTAATATTTTATTGCCCTAGAGTCAGCTCATTGCAATTGTGATTTTGGCAATAAAACAATAAGTAAAGGGAACAATTTGAAAGTGAGAATGGCCAATTAGAATACGAACTTTAAGGTTCCTTTTGGATCTGGTATTCAGGCCATAAGAGTTACATCTCGAATTTGCTAGAGGGAGTTTCAGGTGCTTATTTCAGAGTTTAAAAGCCAGAACTCCAGCACCCCTTCTCTTGAGAGCTGGGGAGCCATGCTGATGGATGCCTGAAATAAAACATCACCCTGAATTCCACAGCAGTGCCCGCTGATTCCTCAACACTGCACCTGCCCCTCCCTTCCCACTCCTCCCGTTCCCACCCTGGCCAGTGTTTTATGCTACTGCCTAATGTCAGAGCTCAGGTGCTGGTTTTATTACTGGCAAATACAGAATTGTGGATCCACCATTTTTATCTTTCCCAGTTAGGACAATGCTGCTTATTTTTGAAGGCTGTAAATATAAAGGGGAAAAAAAACCCACTAAACACCCTATTCAGAGACATCTTCCCAAGTTTACTTGTTGCTATAAATACACCTTATGCATATTCATGGTTTTACACTTTTCAAAATATAGTTAGTAATATCAGCATTTTCCCATGTCATTAAATGTTATTCAGAAATACAACTGTAACTACAGCTTAGAATTTCCGTGTGGAGTTACGGTTTTTGTAAGCTTTATCTTTGTGATGGACATTGTAGATTGCTTTTAGGTTTTCACCGCTGTCATCGTGCTGTGATTAATATATCTGGTCACTGTATTAGATTATGTCACATTGAATGCATTTTCCATACTAGTCTGATATCAATATGTGACAAAACAGCAGGGATTTGAGTCATGTTCTAAGACAAAGCTTGGAGGGGGCTGTGCTCTTTGTTGTTCGCAGAAGCAGGTCTAGTCTCTCCCTCCTTCCGCTGCATCCATCATCTGTTTATTAAGCCCCTTTCTGTTCGTCCCTGTGGCGTCTGCTGGTTTTGCCGTAGTCCTGCCTTCCTCCTACTCGTTTATTCCTCCTGCCAGTGGCCGTGTCTCCCCCTGGGGATCCCTTCTCCGCTCCCAGAGCTATGACCTTGCCCACAGCCCAGGGAGGCAAGGCGCAGTCCACACACAATTCAGGCCAGAATTCTCATCATCTTCGCCAACATGATTGATTCAGGGAAGAGAATGTGCCTCGATCGCAGACACAGGTAAGAAGGTGGTCGGGCTTCGGATGGAACCATTTCTATTGTGGACTTGAAGAAAATGCTGCCACCCTGAGAGCTGTGGGAAGTCCCCTTGAGCCACATGGATGTTATGGGTGTGGCAGTATCCACACTAGCTCCTGGCTGTGACAATGTACCAGAGGATGCAAGTGTTAGGAACAGGGGAGGTGGGGGCAGTGAGGGGCACAGGCTACTCTTCACCTTCCACTGTTTTCTGTAAATCTAAAATCGTCCAAAAAACAAGTGTATTAATTAAAAAAAAAAAAGAAGAAGTGGGTCTTTCTCATCATTGTTCTTTCCCTGCTTACCTGAACCGCATGGCTTAAGGACTCAGCTCAGACCCAGCCCTGAGGCTTTTCCTGACAGCCGTGGCAGGTCTCCCTCCCCTCTTCCAAGTCCCAGAGGCCCTGCCATCGGCTTCCCCCTGCTGACACGCAGCTCAGGTGACTTCATGTGAGTGATCCTTTCTGCAGAGCACCCTCAGCCTGGCTCCAGCCTTTCACAGATATCCTTCCTCTCCCTACATGGATGTGATGTGAATGCTTCTCTAATTTAGTGAAAGTGCAGGCATCAGGTTCCTCTGAGTTTCTGCCAGAAAAAAAAAATCACCAAAAAATTCATCATGTCCATTAGGGCTCTTCTCACTTTTTATTTCACGAGTTATAGCTCTAGAAAATATCTAGGCTACAACAATTCAAGGCCGAACATGACCATGTAACAGAAGGGGGTTATTTAAGATAAAACCATGTCCAAGGTATCCAAGAAGAGCATCTCGTGTGTTGGTTAGGTTCTGCGTAGCTTGTAGTTCAGATAGGAGGTAGGTTGCTGCAACAAAAGTGAAAAAACTTGGCTAAATTGAGCTTAATGTTAGGAAAGCTAGTCAAAACCCTCTCTGTATGCATATACAAATGTGTGTGCGTGTGTGTCTATACAGTCATGCACCACGTCACGACACTTCAGTTAACAATGAACTGCACAGACCACGGTGGCCCCATAGGTTCTAATGGAGCATATACAGAAACCCGGTCGATGGAACTTGATCCTGGCCTTGCAGATCAACTAGAGGAAGGAACTCATAGGCAGTAATGGTGCCGAAACATTTGGTTTTCTATATGAAAATATACATAAATAAAAATATACAGCCCATCTAGGTTTCTGTAAATACACCCTATGATGTTTGCACAACGACAAAATTGCCTAACTGTGCATTTTCTGGAATATATACCTGTCCTTAAGCAATGCGTGGCTATACATACGTATGTGTATTAACACATGTAGTTATATATATATATATTTATATATTTATATATTTATATATATATTTATATATATATTTATATATATTTATATATATATTTATATATATTTATATATATTTATATATATTTATATATATTTATATATATATACATACAACTTTGTGTATATATATATATACACACACACACATATAATTAGAAGATTAATGTAAAGCTCAAAATTCTAGGTGTGCATAGCCCATGATGCAGTGACAATACTGAAAGCCTGGAGTACTGTTCTGAAGCAGGGCACTCCTAGTGTGTTTGTGCCATGCCTGAGTGTGGCCAGGCGTCACCTGCCGATGCAGATTCCTGCGCCCCATCCAAGCGGTTCAGATTTAGCAAGTTTGGAGTGAGGCTCAGAGATCTTGACTTTTTATTTTTAAGCAATTTATTGTTGATGTATCCATCATGACTCCCAAAGTGCAGCAAGGCCAGCAACAGCCTCGGCATCTCTGGGTCCCTGTTGGTGATGTCAAGTCTCAGGTCCGCACCAGACCTGCCATATCACAGCCTGTGTTTTCAAGAAGTATTCCCAGGTGATTCATAGGTACATTGGTGTTCTTGATGTTTTATGAGGGGAGTCTGACGTGGTGGTCTTGTGGGAAAACAACCTGAGGATAAGAAGCCTGACACCTTTTAAAAGGAAAGGAAGGCCGAGGGTGGGATGGAAGCAGCCACTGTGAATTGCAAACGAATTCCTTACTGCAGAGGCGTGTTCAATCACCGCTCATTGGACAAACGAATTCCTGACTTGGTAAATGACTGGCTCCACGCCATGGCTTCCTGAAATCCAGACTCCACGCCACGACTTCCTGAAATCCAGGGCTCCCTAATGCAGTCATCATGGCTTAGTTTACACGATTTTCCAGGACCGCACCTCTTATGTTAAAAGAGGGGAAACCCTCTGCTAAGAGGGGCCCATGCAGCGTGAACCTCTCTGAGGCACTTTATCAGCCGATTTTCTCTGGGGAATGATTTTGCATGTCCGGAGAGAGATCCACTGGCTCTACCATCATGCTTCTTCCTCAGAGCAGTGACTTAACACCAGGGCAAGGAAACACGAGGTATGCAGATTCCTGGATTTTCTCCAGACTCTCATGGAACAAAAGAGACGTAACGGATGGTAGACAAGATGGGTGGTTTTGTAACTATATATCATCACTATGGTTTTCCTAATAATGGCAATTGACAATTTTCTAAGTATCTGGCCACACTTGGCTTGAAATGGAGCCGAAATTGTAGATTACAAGATGCCATAACTTGGTACCTTTGACTGTTATCATAGAACAATGAATATGTGGCCCCAGAACAATATAGTTTGCTCCATCTACAAATCTTCATTTGAATTATTTTTTCCAAGTAATATTTTTAATGATAGAATATACCTATGTAATTGATAGTCTTAAATTGCTAATAATTCTTGCATATGCATAGGCAGTTGCTACATCATTGATATATTAATGCCATACAATTCTGTAAAATTGACTTTATAACTTATTTTGACACATTTTAATGATGTTTGAAAACAGGAATAACTGAAACATCTTTCAGATTCTAATGTACAAATCAGAAATAAATACTCTGGCTAACGAGGGAGAGTAGGGTGTGTGAGTTGTTGAGAGTCCCGGCTTTAATCTCAGCTCTTCCAGCATCTCCTGGTGCATGGGAAAGACAGAGATTAGGGACCCACCAGGGTGGGCCGGGCCCTCCTCACGGAACAACTGAGCTGTGAAACACGGACCTGCTTTTTCCACTCCAATTCCTCCTTTCCATTCTTCTATCCCATTTCCCTTCTGATACGGTTGGGGTCTGTGACTCCGCCCAAATCTCATGTCAAATTATAATCCTCACTGTTGGAGGTGGAGCCTGGTGGGAGGTGACTGCATCATGGGGGTGGATTTGCCCTTTGGTGCTGTTCTCCTAATAGAGTTTTCATGAGATCTGACTGTTTACAAGTGTGTGGCATCTTCTCCCTTCCTCTCTTCCTCCTTCTCTGGCCATGGTTCTATTCTTGTGATACAGTTCTCATGAGATCTGATTGTTTAAAAGTGTGACATCTCCTCCCGCTCCCTCTCTTCCTCCTTCTCTGGCCATGTAAGATGTGCCTACTTCCCCTTTGCCTTCTGCCACACTGTAAGTTTCCTGAGGCTTCCCCAGACGTGCTTCCTGTACAGCTTGCGGAACTGTGGGCCAATTAACCCTCTTTTCTTTATAAACTACCCAGTATCAGGCATTTCTTTAGAGCAATGTGAACACAGACGAATACACCTTCTTTTCTCTATTCTCCTTCAATATTCTTCCTCTTCCTCATCTTGAACGAGATCAAAAGCCACCGTTCAAAGAAGGACTTTACCTTTTAGTTTTTCCTAAGTTGCCATGATAATCTTTGGGTCCTTGTAAAATTCACTAAAATTTTCTGACGTAGACTGCTGAGAATCGAAGCTCTGTGAATATTTCTACATTATTGCATAGTGAGGGCTTTCTGAGCAACACTCACTGGCACCTGGAATGAAGGACGATGGTGCAGTGACCCAGCCATGGGAGTTGGCAATAGTGAATCATTCAGGGACATTTACACGGATGGCCCCTGAAGCCTTTGGTTTATATTCCAAAGTGTGATGGAAGAGAGACCTCGGCTTTCTCTCCTGAGAGAGGTCTGATTGGTGTTAGTAAGGGGGAGTCTCTCCTTCTGTGGGGAGGAGGGTGGGTGGGTGCTGAGCATCCTATATGAGCTCCGAGAGTCATGGCCCCACGTGCTTCTCCCATGGCTGACATCTCTGCCCACACAGAACTCTGGGGCAGGGATGGGGAACCAGCATTGAGACGTTCTGTGAGTAATTAACAACCTGTCTCTGATCCAAAAACCTCATGTTTATGTCAGGATAAAATACATTTAAGATACTGATGTTAAAACCTTAACATAAGGTTGTTTTAGATCTGGGCAAAGTAAGACTGCTACTGGCAAATTGCCACCAGTGCCAGGATATAAAATGTCAGGCCAGAAAAAATATTAATACATTATAAATATTTAGATGTAAATTTATTCACCATATTGTGTGTATTGATTTTGCAATGAGAAGTTGGTGAATACTAATACATGATTTTGTCTGTTAGATTCAAATGCTTTTACAGCTTTTTTTCTTTGAAATAGAGTTTCACTCTTGTTCTCCAGGCTGGAGTGCAAATATGAGGGGTTGATTTCTCCTTGATGTTCTCATTAGAGAGGACTTGATGACCTCTGCAAAACACTCAGCCCACCGCCAAGCATTAATAGGCCTCAGTACTGATTTTATAGATTATTCCACCTGTAACCAGGCAGCATCTTCTCTATGTCAGAGGTGATGCTGGACATGGTGCAGGCAGCAGGAGCCCAGCACAGGCAGCTCCCAGGTCCATGGAAACCAAATTGCATTTCCAGTGTTTTATCAAGAGAGAAAACTTCCACACCAGTGATCCATTGTATGATATTTATAATGTACTAATCATCCTTCCTTAATCTCCCTACAACCCTCTCAGGTAGGCATTTACAGTCCTCTATTCTCATTTTACAGGTGACGTTAAGTAATGACAGTTGGAGACCACTAGAAATTTATAAACTATATGAAGTCATCGGGAAGTATACAGATAAAACAAGTCAAATCAATCTAACTTTTGGATGGAATATTCATAAAAACCTGCACCTTTTTATCTCTCCAGTGCATTACTGGTATTATTGATTACCACTGAAAAAGTACAAATTATCCAGATCCAGAAGAAATGAGTGGCTTCTTTCTCGTGGATCATCAAGGATCCAGTTAGATCAACTCACGGTTCCTGCAGCCTCACAGCATCGGGAGCTCTCTGCGTACTGGGCGCCTCCAGAGTTTCTATGGCTACCCAGTTCTTGTCTCTGAACTCAAGCCTGGTGGATCTAACTCTACTCAAAAACCTCCCTTTGGAAATCTTTAAACATTTCAAACTTACAAAGATCCAGCACTCACCAATGAGTACATCCCACAGTTCCCATCTCAGCAAATGGGAGCATCACTGCCGGCTGGAGTCCCTCCTCTCACATCCACACGCCATGGTCTGGGTGTGTGTGCATGGGGTGTGCATGTGGTGTGTGCATGAGTGGTGTGCACGTGTGTGTGGTGTGTGCATGAGTGGTGTGCAGATGTGGTGTGCGTGTAGTGTGTGTGTGGTGTGTGCCTGTGGGGGGTGTGTGTCTATTTGTGTTGTGTGTGTGGTGTGCATGGTGTGTGCATGTGATGTGTGTGTGGTGTGTGCATGTGTGGTGTGTGTGGGGTTTGTGTGGTGTGTGTGCGGTGTGTGTGGTGTGTGCATGAGTGTGGTGTGTGTGGTATGTGCCTGTGGGAGGTGTGTGTTCTATTTGTATGGTGTGTGCATATGTTATGTGTGTGGTATGTGCATGTGTGTGGTGTGTGCATGTGGTGTGCGTGTGGTGTGTGCATGAGTGGTGTGTGTGTGGTGTGTGTAGTGTGTGGTGTGTGTGGTGTGTGGTGTGTGCATGTGTGTGGGTCTATGTGAGCTTCCTAAGCACTACTAGACTCAAAAGCTTCACAGACTGTGCAGTCTATATTGGTGTAATTAACAGTTATATATTTATACTTAAAAATTTAAATTATGAAACTATGCTTACTTGAGGATAACAAAATTTTTATATTTCAGAGATCTGGGCAGCTAAACTGTCAATGACCATTTTGGATGGATGCGTACACTTTAGAGTAACATCCAGCTTCCTTAAATTGCAGCCTAATGGTAAATCTATCTGGGGCTAATTCAACTTCACAGGTTTACGAAATCTTGAGAATTACTCTCTAGGCTCATTCGGGTCCTCGCTGACCCTTTACAAGGAATAGCGAGGCCTTCAGAACCACAATGATGGAAAGAAGCCCTGCTGATGGCTCTGAAGAGAGAATGGAGATGGTGCCAAGTCATCTTCTGCAGAAATTACTAGAAATAAGAAGTTAATGAAAACAATCATGTTCTAGGAATGTTCCGGAGTGTATGCAGAAGGAGAAAGAGACGATAGATAACTTTTATAGGAAAAGACAAGAAAGGGGCCATGAATACAAGATAAGGCACAGTTTCCCACACCAAAGATGAAACTGTCTCTGAGGGACTGGAAAGCAAGTAAAGGAAGAGACCTCGAGAAGAGCAAAGAGTGGGCAGAGAAGGAGAGACAGAGAGAAAGACAAAGAGAGGGAGAGACCAACAGAGAGAGCCAAAGACAGAGACAGATGGAGAAAGAGAGAGACCTCGAGAGGAGCAAAGAGGGCAGAGAAGGAGAGACAGAGAGAAAGGCAGAGATAGAGAGAAATAGAGTCAGACAGAGAGAGACAAAGACAAAGACAGATGGAGAAAGAGAGAGACCTTGAGAGGAGCAAAGAGTGGGCAGAGAAGGAGACGACAGAAAGAGACAGAGAGATGAGTCAGACAGAGGAAGAGACACAGAGAGAGTCAGACAGAGAGAGACAAAGACAGTGACAGGTGGAGAAAGAGAGAGGGATAGAAAGAGATATAAATAGAGACAGAGAGAGACAGAGACAGAGAGACAGGGAGAGAGATGGAGGGAGGAGCTGCAGCATCTGGAATGGACAAGCAGATGTTGCCAGAGGAAACATACAGGGTTTGTCTGCTAGTTTTTTATTGTTTTCAAATAGTTTAAATGACCAAGAAAGAAACCCTAACAAACCATGGCAAAGCCAGGTGGCGGAGACAGAGCACGGACTTTGTGGGCCAGAGGAAGGGGCAGGAGGCTGGCAGCCCTGGGGGAGGGAAGCACCAACCCAGCAGGCTAAGGTGTGGGCACTTCCTCTACGTGAATGAGGAGTCTGCGATTTCCAGTTCCTTCCTGGACACATAGAAATGTGACTTTGGCTTCCCGGCACGCACGGCTGGTCCTGTGGCTTTGGGCAGGTTCCTGGTCCTCACCCCAGTGCCATGCGCCCTCCTCAGCCCTCACTCTCCACAACCATATCCTGGTTTCAGACCCCCAGGAAATGATTCTCTGTCCCTTGCAAATGCTGCACTGCCCGGCCAGTGTGAGTGGCAGCGACCTCAGGGCCCTGAGGGAAGACTCGCCTGCATTTTAACAAAACAAAACTGCATTTAAAATAAGAAATGGACTCTCTACCCACAGCAGGTATGAAGAAAAAGAAGCACAACTTAAAATTTAGATACATTAGGATTTCTTTAAAAGAATTATTTCAAAATCAAACATAGTCAGGGTCTCATAATTTACAACTAAGCAGAATACAAATGAATACTGAAGGAAAGTTGCTTATTTGTATTTATTACTTTTTTCAGGCAAAGTCAGCCAGTTTCAAACAAATTATGAGAGCAAGTATCAAGAAGAACAATGACAGGCCACATACTTAGGTGGTTCCCACCGGGGAAGAAGACCAGAGAGAGTATACTCCCTGCACTCTGGATTTTCAGTACATTGTAAGAATATTCTGGTATTAAATGCAGTTAATACAACCCACAGTCTATTAAGAGAGGATTTTAAATAAATTATCCAAAACAATCCTCGGTCAAGTATATTTGTTTACTATTTTATTTACACATGACCTTCATCTGTAAAAGCAAGACTCAAATGAGAAAAAAAAAGCAAGTGAATGTGTCTGTTCAATGTGTTGCTAAGATGAAAATACCTATTTTTAGTTATCGATTTATATTACAATAGGTCTCCATGATAAAACAGTTACGATGTATCAAGATGGAGCTCTGATATTGTGTGCTCTTGCCACTCATCACTAAAATGAGGGGCCTTCAGTTGTCTCAAGAATCAAATTATATAATGGACAGAAGTGCACTACAAGCTACAAAGGAGTTTACGCACGTTAGCAATTCCAGGGACACTTTGTGACGCTGCAATCAGTTTACCAGCCGGGCCTTGCTGAGATGAGTTGGATGCTACCAGCACTCGGAGCATCCCAAGGCAGGACATAACTTCCGTGAAGACCCACGGCCAAGAAACCTGTCTGTTTTGAACCCTTGCTTTTCAATGGTTATTGAATTAGGATCTGCCCATTAGGGTTTGAAGAATCCCTGAGTTCCATAAAAGGCCAACTGGTAAACAGGCCACACAGGTAACACATGGAGTGATATGGGTCCATGGAAGTCCTCCGACACCTCAGCCCCTTCATGCATCTCCAGTGTCAGTGGTACGTGGTCCAGGTTGGGTACATGCGGTGCCAGCCACCTCCTCCGAGTCTTTCAATACCTCTGAGATGAGCTGGCATGAATATCTTAGCTCTGCTCAAAAACAAAATCAGCCCAGCCAATCAGACGTTCACCTCTGGGACTTGAATTTGAAAATATGGAGCAAATTAGCAGTAAATGTTAAAGAACATGGTTATGTTTGTTTTGAGGGGAATTCAGTCATTATTCATGCAAACATTTAGGTGCAATAAGCACAAAGTGCTGGTTTATTTCAAAACCTTGCAACTAAAGCCAATATGATATCCTATGTTATCTCTGGGGCAGAAAAAGTGCATTAGTAGAAAAACTGAAGTTTGACTGGAGGGCGAAGTGTGGTTAGTAATGCTGCATCATTGTCAAATGGTGGTTTGCCAGATGCTCCATGGCCACGTAAGTTGTGTAAATCAGGGGAGCTGAGTGGAGGCAGACGGGGCTCTCTGCACTCAATGTGCAGCTTTTCCATAAATCTGAAATGATTCTCAAGTAAAACGCTTACTTAAAAAGCCATCCTTATCAACGAAAAGACAGGCAGGGTATTACTGTCTTGATGTCTGGAGGTAAAACTTGGTTTTATCTTTTCATTTCCTTTTAATGGAAAAAAGTCCCATGAACACTGCACGTGACATGCATCCAAAACGTGTAGGTACCTGAAGCTCTCAGGTTTTTAGTTTGCTTGCAGTTCTGATGGTCAGACTCTCAAAAGTAAAGCTGTTTAAATTGATAAACTTCTAGACATTACACATTACATTCAGTCAGTTTGGGGAGAATGGTACCGGTGGGCACTGGAAAATGAAATTGCAGAACGATAGCATTCAGCCATAAATTTATATTATGGACCCCACTAAAGCAGGCTGCTTATTTTTTAAATAAAACTTGGGAGACATCCGGGAATAAAAGCTTTTAAAATTTAGAAATTGGAAACGTCTAAAAAGAGGGTTGTATTTTGTATGTTTCTTGGCTTCTTCAACTACATAATTGATCCTCTAAGACACAGAGCCTCTGCATCCCACCTCCAAACCAGCTGGAATTTGAGGAAGGAATAAGCTCTACAATATCTTAATGGCTATTTGAACTAAAGAAAGAAATGGGTTAATTTATAAATTTGGAGCAAGAAATAAGCAATCTACAAGCAGAATCCTTTCCAACCATGCAGAAACAGCAAACGGCAGGACCAAGCACTCTGTCTGTCCTCCTCCAAACACCAGATGTAGCTTTCCCCCTCCTACAGGAATAGCCCTCCCAGCAGCCCCTCCCTGTGGAGTGTCAAAAGCATCCTTACCGGAGGAGTGCTGAAAACGTAGAAGGACGGGCCCTTCAGTGCTAGGAACTTGGGTCTGAAGGTTTGAGAGGAGTCAGCTCCTTGGAGTTTCTCATTTACCCACCCCATATGCACAACCTGCAGAGGGGTGAAAATTACAAACCAAGCCTTAATGAGGGCATACTGTCACAGCAGCAGAGTTAAGCACATGAGCAAGCCATGATCCCATCAGGTCAACACACCCAGAATCAGGAGACGGGAGAAACGTGGAGATGTCCAAGTTTCCAAATCAAGTTCACACAATAGGAATGAATCACATCTTGAATTAAAAATTCAGTTTTGCATTGAACCAGGTTTTATATATGAGCACTTTCAGTTTTGGCCAATGGACTTCTCAGCTGCCTTAGAGTTGTTGGTTTATCTTTTAAAACGACTGTATTGAATTATATTCTATTAGAAGGTAGTATTTCAGATTTTTCTATGAGGTAGTAAAAACAGCTAATTATATTTTTCATTCCTATAGTGAACATAGAAGTTGGCATATGTGGAAAAATAATTGTTTCTCTTTATGGTTCAACTTCTTAACAACAATGAAATAATGTAAAATATTAGATTCTTACAATGAGCAGTGAATATTTTGAGCCGTATGATATAAAATCCAACCTATCAAAATCAGAATATGATTCAAAAACATTTAAATAATAATCCAATTTAAGAATTCAGTGAATTCAATCTAATATTAAAGAAAAATCCATGTTATCTAAAATTTTAATGTGACATATTTTGTAGCAAGTACCAGGAGTAATTTCATTATAATTCTTTCATTTTCTCATTCTATTTCAAGGAAAACCTATTAACATATGCTTAGCATTAAAAACTTAAAAAAATAAAAATAAGTTATCACAGAGATCCCAACCACTTTACCAAATGACACTGACCGATGAGCTATTAAAAGTTGAGAACCAGCTGGGACCTGGACACCCCTCAAGTGTGCAAGCCCCATGCACCCACGAAGTGCCCTCTGCTGGAGCCGCCCAGGTAAGTCCCGTCACAGCCGGCGCCAGCTCCAGGATGGGCGCATCCTGTTTCTGATATTTACTTGATAAACCACTGAAGGTCTTCACTCTTAAGCTGGAGAGACTTCCTGGGAAGTCGAGATGCTAGAGGACAGAATCAGATTTCTACAAACGGTATTTCTAGCAATGGGAAAGAAAATTAGGAGCACTGTCTTGTAGGGCGGGGACGCGTAGCCGAACAGCTATCATCATGGTTTTCAGTGTTGAATACGAATCCCCTGATGCATTAAACGTTTTAGTTTTGTCTTTCTTGACTGTTCTGGATTTAGAAGGCTTTTCAAAGTAACCCAAATATTTCACTGGATCATGAACTTCCAAGTTCCTAGTGGGTTATACTTACGTCCCATGGAGGCTCAGGAACCACATAGATGTGGTATGGGGTTAATGTTGCAGTAACACAGGACGACTTTATTTCCCCGAGACCCTCCCCAGCAAAGCACATTTAACATTGCCAAGGCTCTCTTTTTCCATCATGAAACGGGTAGAATTCTAGATCTCACGTGAGAATTACGGGAATTTCACAGTGTCCCATAGGAATCCCTCATAAGGCACTAGCTGGGGGCAAATGCCAGGGACATTCATACCTGGAAAAGCCACTGATGTGTAATTTACTCCTCCAGTGTCTGAATTTGAAACCAAATACACAGATTATTTTAAAATACCTAATAGATTTTTTCCTTTTTTGTCTGGTTGGGTCACATACTTATATTTTTGTTGGTTATAACACTAGCATTTATACTCTGTAAATCATAAAAGCCTCCATTTAAAAATGCATCTTTTTCTAGCAAATTTAGCAGATGCTTGATGTTTCCATAATTAACATGAATTCAATGCGTGATTAATTCCAGCTCACTACTGCACAAGTGCAGTGATTTGTACAGTTTAAGATAGGATTCATTTGAAGCATAGTTACTAAAAACAATTGCAAACACAGTGGCTTCCACACAGTCATGAAAAGAATATTATGCAGGCAGTTTGTTCAGCAAGAAAAGAGTTCACATTCCAGGAAGACCAGGCACATGGCCCTGAGCAGGCTGCCCAGGTCATCTTACGCACATTTGAGTGCCTTGCTAAAGCTCTTGAGGAGGACTTATTTCTTTTTTTTTTCCTTTTTTTTTATTATTATACTTTAAGTTTTAGGGTACATGTGCACAATGTGCAGGTTACATATGTATACATGTGCCATGTTGGTGTGCTGCACCCACTAACGTGTCATCTAGCATTAGGTATATCTCCCAATGCTATCCCTCCCCCCTCCCCCCACCCGACAACAGTCCCCAGAGTGTGATGTTCCCCTTCCTGTGTCCATGTGTTCTCATTGTTCAATTCCCATCTATGAGTGAGAACATGCGGTGTTTGGTTTTTTGTCCTTGCGATAGTTTACTGAGAATGTTGATTTCCAGTTTCATCCATGTCCCTACAAAGGACATGAACTCATCATTTTTTATGGCCTTATTAGGCGAGGTTTCACAAACAATGATGACCATATCTTCAAATCTAAATCTTCGGAGCAGCTGGCTGCTGGATAACTGCAGCAGGCAAAAACAAGCTTATTGTATTTGTCAGGATGGCTGAGTGGAAGACCTTTCTTTTACTGATTAGCATCAAAGTGTGGAACCAGAATTTCTAGAAAATGTAGGAAATTGCCTGAGTTCTAAATTATTGCAAACTGTTTTTTTTTTTTTTTTTTTTTGAGATGGAGTCTCGCTCTGTCACCCAGGCTGGAGTGCAGTGGTGCAATCTTGGCTCACTGCAAGCTCTGCCTCCCAGGTTCACGCCATTCTCCTGCCTCAGCCTCCCGAGTAGCTGGGACCAGAGGCGCCCGCCACCACGCCCTGCTAATTTTTTGTATTTTTAGTAGAGACAGGGTTTCACCGTGTTAGCCAGGATGGTCTCAATCTCCTGCCCTCGTGATCCGCCAGCCTCGGCCTCCCAAAGTGCTGGGATTACAGGCGTGAGCCCCCGCGCCCGGCCTGCAAACTTTTAAGAATCAGCAACAAGCACAAAAAGTCTGGTTTGACCCCATATTTATTACGAGGAGTCACACCAATATCCTCGTCAAATCACAAAGTTAGTAAGAGGGAGGAGTAGAGAATAATCACATCCAGAAAAAAGAACGAAACAAAAAACGAGCGAATGGCGAACACATCCCCTTCTGCAGGTCCCTGCCAACGTGGTCTGAGAGTCTTTAAAATTCACGAAACAAATACTAGTTCTGATGAGAAATTCTAAGGGTCACAGCCTAATTAGATTCATACGGGGTAGAGAGATTTAAAGTGATGTTTTTCTTTTGCCTGCAGGGCAAACTCTGCTGGTTTTACTTCCTCCACTTCCCCAGCCACCCCCACCACCACCCTGGCCCCAGGCCAGAGTCTTGCTCTGTCGCCCGGGCTGGAGTGCAGTGGCACGCTCTTGGCTCACTGCAACCTCCGCCTCCAGGGTTGAAGCGATTCTCCTGCCTCAGCCTCCCAGGTAGCTGGGATTACAGGCGCGTGCCACCACGCCCGGCTAATTTTTGTATTTTTAGTAGAGACGGGGTTTCACCATGTTGGCCAGTCCGGTCTTCAACTCCTGGCCTCCTGATCTGCCCACCTCGGCTCCCTCATTTTTTAAATCACGTGTTCACATACTGTCGAGTTTCCTTGATCTTACTCGTTCTGTTCACGAAACACTTAATCATGCGCTGCAATTTAGATTTCACAAGGGATGAACTATGAATAGGAAACTGATGTGCAGGAACTTAATCTAACGGCCGTAACACTCAGGAATATCTAAATACAGAGGACAGATGGGTGAGAGATTGATTTACATTACAGGTAGATCAAGGGCGAGTAGAAAGTTGAAAGTATGCATTCTTGAATCTTGGCTAAAATAGAGAACTTGGGATTCTTTTTCCAGCATGGCAGCAGCAAGCCTTCTTTTTGGAGGAGAACTTGATCAAGGGTGGAATTACCATCTAATTCTGATTGAGCAGAGTTACTCTGTTTCTGAGGAGCTGCAGGTACCAGCTGGAATCCGAGCACCCAGACCTGGGAGGCCCCATGAGCTGTACACCCACCTCCCTTCCCCAGGGCTGCTTGCTCTTTCTTCCCCCTGGGCTGGGACAGTGTTGGGCTCTTCTTCTTTTCTATATCGGGTTGACACAGTGTTTGGCACAAAGTTCAAGGAGAGTTATGTATTAAGGAGTGAATAAAGAGCTACTGTTGGCCCAAGATGGCAATAATAGACCGCCAGTAATCTGAAATGCCTGTTAGTTGCATGAGCTTAATTAAATCACACAAGTAATTGAATTATGCTAGATTTAGCAAAGAAATACGTTATAGCTTTGCTATTGTTGGAAACATCGGATGCTTTCTGAATCTTTCTTAGGTATATGCAGTTCATAAATAATTTTAAGCAAAGCTAATTTTATCTTCTACATTATGAATTTTCTAATTACACATTCCAAGAAGTGTGTATTATACTTTTAGAAACATCTCCCTGACTGTACCACCTTAATAAGGATGTCATAACCATTATAATAAAGAAATATATTTTTTATCTTTTCTGATACCATTTCTATAAGAGAGTCCTCTTCTTTTCACCCCATCAGTCAAGATAATTAGTTAAGCGTCCACCAGATGATAACATGCAGCTGGTCTTTTCCTTTAGCTAGAAAAAGCCAGAATTACCTGTGTTATTTAGGGTTTTCTGCAGGGGGTCAGGGAGATTTGGCAATTAAGGCATCATCAATAGCTACCTAAATTAAAATTCAGGTTATTCAAAAATAAGTTTAATTTGGAAAGAAATAGGGCTGCTTGCTATTTGGTGGGGTGAGCATATGTTTGTTTGCAGTTATCTTGGTAATGTTTTCAGGTTAGTCTTTGTCCCAGACAAAAGTGCTCTGGTTTGTATGATAAATTATTTGGTTATTTTATATACCAGATATGAGAGTCTAAAAATGCATACATTATGCTTTTTGTAGTATTCTCCTAATTCTGTTTTTTGTGTGTTTTTGTTTGCCAATTTCAGTGGTTGTTAAACACCTTTATTTATCCTTTCACATAAATTTTTTTGACATAAAATTCGCATTTTTCACATTAACAATTATCTCACAATTATTTGTTAAATACCAAAATCAAGAATGAATTGTTCAGAGTGAAAAAAAATTTTCTTTCTGTTTTAAAGGGCCTAATGTCTTAAATTTAAACTCCTAACATTTGTACAAAGCACACCACTTTTGGAGAAAACGTGAAACCATCCTCCACCAAAAGCGCATCCGGATATAGCAGGGCTAGTTCTTCATCATCCTACATAATGAAGCTCAGCTCTAAGATCAATTTCCAAATAAACTACTCCAAGCTGCTAAGTAAATTCAAAGTTGTATAGGACTTTTAAGGTTGTAAAAAGGACCTTAAATTACCCAGTACAACTTTCTTATATTACAGATAAAGAAATTAAGCCTCAGGAGTGAATTTGTTAAAATTACAACACCAGAGAAGGGTTTGGTCAGGGTTATCAGGTCCAGGGTTTGCCTTTGGCTTTTTGCTTTGTCAAACAAGGCCACCAAGATCGATGTGAAATACACAAGGCTTAATATGTGGGAGAATTTCACTGAGATGAAGCAAAAACAAGGCCGCCCACTGCCTCTGAGGTCTCTGGAAGATGCTCCTTCAATGTGCTCCATAGCGGAAACTGTGCTCCCTACAGGTTTTTACATTTCTCTGAACCATTATTTCATCATTCTCTCTTGTCAGTTGATGATAAGGAGGATTAAGGGGTGGGGAGAGGGTGAAGGATAGCATTTGGAGATATACTTAATGTTAAATGATGAGTTACTGGGTGCAGCGCACCACATGGTACATGTATACATATGTAACTAACCTGCACGTTGTGCACATGTACCCTGAAACTTAAAGTATAATAATAATAATAAAAAAAAAAGAAAATGCTTTCCTCTCCGGAGCAGTGCTCTTTCCAACATGAGGAGTAATTCCAGTATAGCTACAAAAGTCAGCATTTCTCTGAAACACGTAAAGGCCAAGTCCATAAATGCTGCCCATTCCCACGTATGCTCTCCACTTGCGGACATCACTGTTTAGCATCAAGGATCTGTCTGCAAGGTGACAACCCCTCTGAGGGTCGGGAGAGGACGGCTGTCCTCATGACGAACAAACTGAGAAACAGGGAAGAAGCAGCCAACACTGAGAAATACCAGAAGCTGCGGCTCCTCCTAAGATCTCGGAAGAGTCTCAGCTTTGCCATAAAGAGGATCTCAGGAAACATTTTGCTAATTTTGCGTGTGTGAATAAGATGCAATTTCAAAATGGTAAATTATTCATAGAGATCATGTCAAAACTTTGGCCCACTGTCCCACCAGCCTTGATAAAGGCTGTTTCCTGTGTGAACCATAGAGAGATATGTACTTTGTGGAAAAGTTTCAGAACTTCTGTTTCAAAAACACATAGTAGGGAAATGATATTTTATGTATAAGAATATGAAATGAATCCTATATTAATTTGAAGAATTTATAGAAATATTAATCATAAAATATCTATGTAAACAAAAATAGTTGATGGTAATTTTAGAATAATATTAAAAGAGATAAAAGTTAGAAGAACCATTTATTCTTAGTGTTTCTTTTCTAATGTAGAAATGTTGACTAGAGAGGTTTAATTTAAAACACAGCCCTATTTTCCCATTGTTTTAGTAAATATTTCATAGGCAGAGGACCTGCTCTTCTCAAGTCCTCCATCGTGAATTCAAATATTCTTGCTAAGCACTATTTAAAGTCTTTTGTGCGCTATTTAAAGCAAAGCGAACATGTTTTTCTCAGTTTTCTTAACTTGAGGCTATGATGCATGCTTCCTTACGCCCCTAAGAGATGTAACCAGAAAATGAATGAACTATAAATAACATACTCCCTTACATTACAAGTTAAATCATAAGTTTATTATAAAGGAAACAGAAGAATAACACAGTGGCTTAAAAACTGATTTGGCTGATATTGAAACAGCTTGATTACCATAGAGTTTTCCTAAGTACTCATAGACGTGGGAAGTGAGCAGAAAATCAGGCCTGAGGGTGGCTACAAAGGTAGCTATCCTGAATCCAGGACAACGTTAAGGGCTCTGGGCTCCAGGTGAACAAACTGCCTGGATTTGGGGATGACAGGATCCTACCCACTGGCAATAACACCCACTGGGCCAAAGCCCTCCTGAGAATGAAGCTTTCCTAGTAAGGATTTTATTTAAGAAAATAATATAATGCTTAAAATTTCAAATTACACAGGTGTGTCATCTCAAAGCCCTTCTCAGTTTAAACAATCATATCTAAATCATCATTTAAATCACGATTCTTTACAAAACATAACTGCCAATAGAGAAATAATCTATACACAGGAGATCAGAATGACCTATGCTATTCCCACAGAAAGAGCAGTTTTATAGAATTAACAGGCAGGGCAGAGACCACCAAATGCAGTCTGAAATGTGCTAATGTTTTCCTATCAACATTTTCAAATCAAATTTCAAAAAACCAGAGACTGCTTTTCGAGATGTGTTACATCATGAATCAGAAAATACAAACCCTACCTGATGTGTTACATCATGAAGCAGAAAATACAAACCCTACCTGGTCGGAAGGAGAGCAGCATTTGTTCGCCATCTTCATCTGTGGAGAGAAGGCAGAAGAGTCAGGGCCACAGCCACCAACACCAGGATGGCTCACCTGAGTGACAGCTGGAAGTCATCAGCCACGCTCTGTCCTGGGAAACAGGCCTCTTTAATGACATATTTCCTATCTGAAGACCTAGCCAGAGTCAATACAAACATGGCAGCAGTAGAAAACAACTTTACTAGCAGGCTTCAATTCCTCTTTTTCAAATATCAGCATTTATGTAAGTGAAGTTACACTTCAAGAGCAGGTGCTTAAATTCCAATATCTGAGAAAAGTGAGGAAATGATTTCTGCTCTACATAACCTTGTGAGAGTCAGTATTACTGTGATGGTAATTACGGTGATCACAGTTGATATTCTTTCTTTTATTTAGTTCTCCCAATGACCTATGGAGGTAGATGTTGTTTTCCAAAATTTCACCGAGGAAGTGGAGGTGCAGAATCATAATGTTCCCACAGCCCACAGCCACACAGCCGGGAGGCAGCTCAGAGTCCACATTTCTGTTCTGAAATATTGGGGTGTCTGACTTCTCTGCCCTGCCTATGAGGGCTGATTTGTGAAATGACAGAACTGAAGGGCGCTCCTCGTCACAAACATTTCTGCAAATATAAGTCAAGCACCATCCTTTCTTCCCTATTTATTGAGATAACTTTGGAATTTAAAGTGTTGCGTTTGAAAACTACAATGTTAGGAAGGTCCTGGTACTTCCTTCTCTGCTTGCAGAAAGGAAGCCCCTGAGGTCTTCACAGGAGAAATGTCACACATTGCTGCTTCCCCCAGTGTTAGGTTAACTTCTGTTTTGCAGCCACAGGAAGAAGGGAGGTTGCAAGGGAGACGTGAGGTGGTGGGCAGGGCAGGGGCAGGGCGGGTGCATCTGCAGGGCCGCAGGGTGGGCCACGCCTGGCCAGTCTGCAAGCTGGACCCAGCCTCTGCAGCCTCCAGGCTGCGAAGGAACAGAGCAGGGATCGAAGTGCAATTACAGGGCAACTCAGCTTAGAGGGAGCAAGGGCAGCAAGGCTGGTCCAGGGCCGCCTCCAGGCACGGCCAGTCCTGCCACAGTTGCCAGGGCTGCGGCCACGGCTCCATGTCCGAGTCCAGGCACCCATCACTCCAGGCAACGCCCGTGTCATCAAGTCTTCGTTCCCACCCCATCTCTTTTCATTTCTTTAATTTTTAAAATCCTGTTGACTTTTAATATCAAACATCACTTAAGGGGACAGAATACTTTTTCGTTTCTGGGGGACTGCAGTACAAATTTGAGAAGTAATGTTTTTGCTCAATTATGCCTTTTTCTAAATCTTCATAATGTTTGGGAGAATTATACTTTTAACTCAATTAGGTTTCCCCAACTCAAAATGTCACACTGTATCAATGCATTTGGGTAAAATATAAAATTATGACATATAACTATTTCTGTATATGTGTGTGGAGAGAAAGAGAGAGGAAGGGAGGGAGAGAGACAGAGGCAGACAGAGGGGAGGAGGAAGACAAAACCAGATGGGAAATTCTCAGCTGTTAGACATTGCCTTACTCTTTGATTTGGAAACATTCTGATGGCTTCATTTTTAATGTTTTTAGACATAGATTTGACACATTGAAACAAGTACATGATTTTCTGTTTCGGGTTAATCATAAATCATCAGAAACATGATGTCTCCATTATTTTTCATGCACGAATGAGCATCAGCAGAGACTCAGAAACACCGTGTGCTCACGTTCTGAAGTGTCAGCTCCCTGATGTTGGCTGAGACCGCCCGCAGCCAGTCGGTGCCATCCTGGGCTGTGTAAAACCGGAGGATCCCAGAGCTGACTCCGTCCAGGGCGAGCACCTCGAACGCATTCCACCTGGGGAGGGAGAGAGCTGTCCAGGAGGCCCCGCAGCGACGGGAGCGGGCCTGCCTCCGTGAGTTTCGAGGCTGATGCTCAGCAGGGCTCTACCCTGGACCCAGGACATGGGGCAACTGCACCACTTCCTCAGGCGCCTCAGTACAGTCAGCAGGCTCGCTGAGACCAAGACCAAACCCCGAATTCCCTTGGTAACAGGAGCTACTTCTAATTCGATGAAACATGAAAAGCACTTTGTCAAGGAAAGAACAGTGCTCCTGAAATTCTGGAGTTATTGTCTGCAGGATTCTTACTGGTTATTCTTTCGAAGACCCTTTGGATGGAGCACTTAAAGCTCCTGATGGGGTGAGGCTGGAGCAGCCCAGCACCCTCTGCACTCAGCATCCACCCTTCTCTAGGACCACCTGTGTGCTTCTGATTGACAGGGGAGCTTTGGGAGAACATAGTCCCCTTCCACTGCTCCATGACACTCCACTTGCTGAGAACTCAATCATGGCAAAGTATTAACAACCAACCGTCTCAAATTCAGTAGTTCTTCCCTGTCATGCAATATTTTTTAAAAACATACTTTACATATGCCTATTTGCAAAAGAGAAATGTCATGTACACTTTTATAGACTTTTTCTTAAGAAAATAGTGCATATTGGCCGGGCGCAGTGGCTCACGCCTATAATCACAGGACGTTGGAAGACTGAGGTAGGTGGATCACTTGAGGTCAGGAGTTCGAAATCAGCCTGGCCAACATGGTGAAGTCCCATCTCTACGAAAAATACAAAAATTAGCCGGGCATGGTGGCACACACCTGTAGCTCCAGCTACTCGGAAGGCTACGGCAGGAGAATCTCCTGAACCCAGGAGGCAGAGGTTGCAGTGAGCCGAGATCACACCACTGCACTCCAGCCTGGGCAACAGAGTGAGACCCTATCTGAAAAAAAAAAGAAAAAAAGAAAACAATGCATATTAATGTATATGACTCATAATACCTCCATGGTCTCAAGCAGCTAACTGAAGATAAAATACAGAACAAAGCAAACATATTTTTTTAAAAAAATAAGTCATCACTAAGCTATGTTCTAATAATCTTTCAAATGTGAGTGTCATCGCTGCTTTCTTAGGCAAGGTGGGGTGTGTAGGAGAAGGGGTAGGAAACAGAGATGGTATAACACAGTTCTGCATATTTTTGAGCCAAATCTATCAGACCAGAGTTTGCTATTTTAAAAGTCATTCTTTTAAAAAGCTGACATCCCTGTCTAGGGGTCATTCTCATTCTAATTAGTGTTTCTTGAATCAGAATGTGAGGTTTATCTACTTGTGGCTGATATTCTGCCTGATGGCGATGAACAAGGTACTCTTGACTTGGCAGGAGGACAGAGGTGAAGGTGGAGGTGACTGTGTGGAGCCGGAGAGGGGAAGAAGCCAGAGGAAGCAGGTCCCCTGCATGGGGAGGGCAGGCAGCTCTGCCTCCACCTTCGCACAGCCCTTTCTGATCACCTTTCCTGGTCCTCCTGGGGAGCACCTGTCCCTCAGGATCCATCGCTTCCCGTGGGGCCTTTGGTCCTGGATGTCTGCTATAATAAATTAATTTTTACACTTCAAAATGCTGGGAGACTATTTTAGGCAGATTGTGTAATATTCCACATGAATTAGGTGCTTATTAAATATTGACAGACTTATATCTACACTTTTGTCCAAGTATCCATTAATTCTTATTAAAGTAAGTGCTAACTAAAAATGGGTTCATTGCCATCATTTCTCATTTGTTCATGTTAACTGGTGCGACATATACAAAGCAAGGCTGACCTTAATCTAGTGGTTAATAAACAGCTGGGTCAAGTAGATTATTGCGGACGACAGCCAAGTTCCCTGGCTCCCCACATGAAGAGGTCAGAGACTATTATTTTTAGGCATATTTTACATTGAGCTACAGGACACACACACACGCACACAACTCACCAGTGAACACCTCGATAAACAGTCATGTATTCCATACTCTTGGCCAACCAACTCTCAGACCAAAAACAGACTTTAGAAGAATCCTCAAAAGTTCCCTGTGTCCCATCCTCCAATTTTCCCCATCTCAGAGCTCTACGCTTTTATTCTTTCAGAAGAGCCTGTTCTTCTCCAAAGGCCTGGGGAGGAACAGGGGGTGGTGCCAGTGTGGGCCAGGGGCAGCTTTTCCTGGATCCAGCTAGACTAGGGGGCCTGCAGGGATCCTGGGGCAGCGTGGGGGTAAGGGTGCCTCCTCTCATGAATCGGGGGTGCCTCGTGGGGCCTGCAGGGACCTCAGGGCAGCGTGGGGCAGGGGTCCCCCCTCTCATGAATCGGGGGTGCCTGGTGGGGCCTGCAGGGACCTCAGGGCAGCGTGGGGCAGGGGCCCCCCTCTCATGAATAGGGTGTGCCTGGTGGGGCCTGCAGGGACCTCAGGGCAGCATGGGGTAGGGGCGCCCCCTCTCATGAATCGGGGGTGCCTGGTGGGGCCTGCAGGGACCTCAGGGCAGCGTGGGGCAGGGGTCCCCCCTCTCATGAATCGGGGGTGCCTGGTGGGGCCTGCAGGGACCTCAGGGCAGCGTGGGGCAGGGGCCCCCCTCTCATGAATAGGGTGTGCCTGGTGGGGCCTGCAGGGACCTCAGGGCAGCATGGGGTAGGGGCGCCCCCTCTCATGAATCGGGGGTGCCTGGTGGGGCCTGTAGGGACCTCAGGGCAGAGTGGGGTAGGGGCGCCCCCTCTCATGAATCGGGGGTGCCTGGTGGGGCCTGCAGGGACCTCAGGGCAGCATGGGGGCAGGGGTCCCCCCTCTCATGAATTGGGGGTCCCTGGTTGCGCGTGAGGGCGTGTGAAGGACACGCATGGTCACCGCTTGGCTCCAGCTCACATGTACTAACGACAGTGTCTTCTCAGGGAGTTGGCATTTCCTGATTCTCAGGGTTGGTGACGTATGCACCAAATGCATGGATGACTGAACACTGGGTGCTCTCAGCAGGGTCAGTACTGTGGTCATCCTCGTAAAGTCAGTGGTGAGAAGGAATCTGAGTCCAGAGTCCTAACTCTGCCTTTGGAGGTTTACACCATCATTGATGTAGCAGGAATAAGATGTGAGTAGAGACAGTGGACCCAGGCTCCATGAAGGACCCTTTATCGATGCTGTGGTCTTGAGAAAGATCATCAGCTTTGCCCCCTGAGGCAGTGAATGCACGTGGAGCCCCAGAGGCTCACGGACTCGCACGAGGGGCAGACGGCTGTGTCCTGCAATAAAAAGGAAGGCGTCTGCAGTCCAGGCACGTTTATGCCATAGCTTCATGAGGCAGGCTGGACATCTCACCTCTGAGCTGGGCTTTCCTTGTCCGTACGATGGGCTTCAAATGCCAACCGTACCACAAAATAGGAATACTGAGAGGAACAAATGGGATAACTGAAACAAAGTTATTTGTAAGCCCGTAAGTACCATATAAACATTATTAGTCTGTAATTTATCAAAGAAAGCAATAAAAATTAAGTATCAAATGAACAGAAACTGTGAAAGTTGTTGACATGAATGCTGATGGCAGATACTAACATGTTAATGAAACAGGGAAAGAAAGTTCACAGCGTGGCTCACTGTTGGTTCACTGTTTGGTTTATTGTTATAGAAGCCGGGTAACTAGTGTAAGTCACGCAATCTGCTTTCAGGCACGTCTGGATGCAAGATCAGGAGCCGCTTCTTCCAGGGCATTTCTGGGCCTTTGTTTCCTCCGAGTTTCACGGTTTCCTCCGAGTTTCCTCCGTGGCTCACAGTTGGAACCCGGCCTCTCTACCCGCCTCATGGTGGCCGCTCAGGCCTTTTAGGATGGTGTTCACGTGGCCAAGGTCATTATCGGAGCTAAAATTCACAGAGCATCTGCTGCTCAGGAGCTAACATGCTCTTTGATGGACACACATGAGATTGTAGGAAGCTGCTGTAAGCAAAGCCACACCAAGTGAAGGCAGAGCGCTTGGCACCCCGGGGTCCACCGAGAAGAAACCAAACCAGCTCCCAGACACTCGCCATCCATGGGGAAGTCAAGCACTGACTGTGTCGGCACTTTTGAAAAGTCTACCCTCCTCCCAGGGTTTCCTCGTGCCCTTAGAGAATTTTTCAATTCCAAAGAGAAAACTGAAAATAGACTTATACTCTAGAAAGTGAATCAATTCAGTTTTTGGCTAAGAGAAATAAATTTATTCCAATAACGTTCAAAGCACATGTCTTAACGTATTAGGACATTAAGGAATTGAAGTTACGTGCTCAGGTCTCCACCTCCTGTGGAGGACAGCCAGTCTGTTTAAGCCGTTCTTCCTGCGCTCTTGACTGTGGGCTCAGTGCCAGCCTCAACCCTGCACCCTGCGGCTCCTGCCGGGAAAAGCCCCACAGCCCAGCTCTCATGTGCCCGGTCACACTGCCTGCCTTCGCTGCGGTCTTCCTGTCCACATGCAGAAAGGCCTCCGAATCCCGCCCACACCGCTGGGAATCTTCCTGTCACAAAACACACCTCAACAGATTTGACCCTTTTTCAAATCATCTGTTTCAGCGGAAACCAATCACAGAGCATTAGCAGTTGTCATTAAAGCCCCAAACCGAGACCCCTGCTACATCCGCTACCAATGACCACTCTTCCAACCTTCTGCTTCCCTTGTGCTGTGGGATTCCAGTAACTATAAAATTTGACCCTAAAAACTGAGAATTCTTAATTGCTCGTCAAAGCTTCAATGCCGGAGAAAGTCAAAATGTGTAAATCGCCTTTTTAATAAGCTGTCCAGTTTTTAAAGAATAAATACATTGGAACGTACAAAATTTAACCAAGGAAGCTTTCATCCATAAATGATGGCTGGTGGCCTTCATTACAACCACAGCCTGTCACTCCCTGTCGGCTCTGGCCACCACCTCCCTCTGTGCCTGTGGTAACAGAGAGGAAAGGTGTGCATTGCACACATGCCTGTTTACTTTAAGCCTTCATGCTTTGGAAAATAAGGAGAGTGTGCATGTGTGTGTGTGTGCATGTGTGTGTATTTTAGCTCATGACTGAAAATTACGAGTACTCGAGACAAAAACAGAACGTGTATGTTTCAGAATTTGAAAAATCTTGAAATTTCGTTCACATATTTTATTTTAAAACTGTCTCTGTAGTATATTATTTTTTAGTACAATTTAGAAAAATATATTTTTTCTACTTCCCTGTCATGCAGTGGCATTTCTAAATAGTCCATATTAAATATTAATAAAGAGGGCTAATTTAAGTTCAGGAACTATGTAGTAACTTGTTCATTAAAAAGTCATGGTGGGCTGGGCATGGTGGCTCATGCCTGTAATCCCAGCACTTTGAGAGGCTGAGGCCAGCAGATCACCTGAGGTCAGGAGTTCAAGACCAGCCTGACCAACATGGTGAAACCCCGTCTCTACTAAAAATACAAAACATAGCCAGGCATGGTGGCGGGCCTGTAGTCCCAGCTGCTTGGGAGGCTGAGGCAGGAGAATCCCTTGAACCTGGGAGGCGGAGGTTGCAGTGAGCCGAGATCATATCACTGCACTCTGGCCTGGGCAACTAAGTCTCCGTCTCAGGGGAAAAAAAAAAGTCATTTTTACCAGAAATTCAGGCCACAAATAAAGTGTTCACTCGAGACAAAGAAAAGTTCAATAGGTCCAAGAAAGAGAATTTCTCCCCTGTGGTGTCTCACAGGGCACCTCCTCACCCTTCTCTGTCACTTCCCATTGGTTCATGAGAACAGGGTTTGGGTCTTCTGAGCCCCTCACTTCCCCGGGCAGTGCTGCAGAAGCAGGAGAGGCAGGAGGCCCCATCCGTGCAGGCCATGCTGAGGCCAGTGAGTGGGGCACTGGAGCACGATGTCCAGGGACTCCCTGAAGGCCTCCCTATGGATGGGAAGAACAGGAAGCAGCCTTCAGGAATGCTGTGCACGTCCATGCATCTTGCCGTGGAGCCATCACGAGCCTGTGTGTTTGCTGAGGGCCTCAGCACAGAGGGCGTCCTGCATTTGTTCATTCCACCACGGCCAGCACTAACAGCCCTGGCACTCAGTAGGCACACGTGAGTGTTTGCTTTGTGAGTAAATGTTTGAGAAGACCCAGCAGGATTCCAGCACCTGGGTTTGTCACGGGAAGGTGGTGTCTACACTCCCCTCTGCCTGCTGCCTGCTGGTAGGACTGACTCCACCCTATCTCAGCCACGCTGTGGGGTTCCCTCATCTGACAATGGGCTCACACCACTGGGCTGTAAGAAGGAAACAGAGGAGGGAGGTGAAGGGAGGAGCTCATGGCTGGCATATGCACATTTAGCACATCCTCATGATCATTTTCCTCTCCACTGGGGACCATCTGGAGCGAGGGCACAGTGCTGCATTGAATGGCTTGTGCTTCCTTTCATACCCACACTGCGGGGCATGTCACCTGATTATAAGAACTGGTCATATATGATAGTGGCAGCAGTAGCTGTAACAACAACAGAGAACTAAATAAAGGCCATCACTCATTACGAGCTGGCTTTGTGCCAGGCTCTATCCTAAGTAATTCACGTTTCGGATCTATTTCACCCCCGCAGTGACCCTATGGAAGAGGCATTGTCATTATCCTAAGTAATTCACCTTTTGGATCTATTTCACCCCCGCAGTTACCCTATGGAAGAGGCACTGTCATTATCCTAAGTAGGTCACCTTTCAGATCTATTTCACCCTCGCAGTGACCCTATGGAAGAGGCACTGTCATTATCCTAAGTAGGTCACCTTTCGGATCTATTTCACCCTCGCAGTGACCCTATGGAAGAGGCACTGTCATTATCCTAAGTAATTCACCTTTCGGATCTATTTCACCCTCGCAGTGACCCTATGGAAGAGGCACTGTCATTATCCTAAGTAATTCACCTTTCGGATCTATTTCCCTCTCGCAGTGATCCTATGGAAGAGGCACTGTCATTATCCTAAGTAACTTACGTTTCGGATCTATTTCACCCTCGCAGTGACCCTACGGAAGAGGCACTGTCATTATCCTAAGTAACTTATGTTTCAGATCTATTTCACCCCTGCAGTGACCCTATGGAAGAGGCACTGTCATTTCAACTGCACAGGGTACAGGACAGTAGGTAGCGGGGGCTTGTGCCACTGGCCGGGCTGAAGAGCTGCTGAGTGTGGGGCCCGGGCCTAGGCTTGGGAATGTCTGGCGCCCCACGCTGTCGACCAGGGCACTGTGCTATCCGTAAGGTGGGACCCATGGATCTGGGCACTGCGCTGCCCACAAGGTGGAATGGTTATCTGCGTTTACTCCAGGGATGCACAACCAGCATCCAGGGGCTCAGTGCTTCTTCTTGGTTATCTGAGATCAAACGAGACCAACCAATTGGCCTCGACCACCCAGGTGGGCACCCCCAGCAGCAGGCAGGACAGAGGGTGATCTGTGATCACAATGGGACTTCGCTTTTCATCCAGGTGAAGGCATCACTCACAGAACTGTCCCGAAATCTTCTCGGCTTCAGCATCGGCCTTTTCTTCTCTGTAAACTGCTCCTGAGTCCCGGCCCCCAGACATCCAAGTTTCCAGTGCCCGTCCCTCTGATCCTGGCTGCCCGCGCCATCTGTTTATAAAATTGTGTCTGATATACCAGGCAGGTCATCATAACACAACAGCATGCCTAAGTTTGCTCACTGATCTTTGTTTCCTTTTTCCATTTCAAAGAATAAAACTTCATCATTAAAACAATGCTGTATCCTGGTAGTGAGAGGTGACAGCGTGCTGGCAGTACTCACAGCCCTCGCTCGCTCTCGGCGCCTCCTCTGCCTGGGCTCCCACCTTGGCAGCACTTGAGGAGCCCTTCAGCCCACCGCTGCACTGTGGGAGCCCCTCTCTGGGCTGGCCAAGGCTGGAGTCCACTCCCTCAGCTTGCAGGGAGGTGTGGAGGGAGAGGCACGAGCGGGAACGGGGGCTGCGTGCGGCGCTTGCGGGCCAGCTGGAGTTCCGGGTGGGCGTAGGCTTGGCGGGCTCCGCACTCGGAGCAGCCGGCCCTGCCGGCCTCGGGCAATAAGGGACTTAGCACCCGGGCCAGCGGCTGCGGAGGGTGTACTGGGTCCCCCAGCAGTGCCAGCCCACCGGCGCTGCACTCAATTTCTCACTGGGCCTTGGCTGCCTTCCGGCGGGGCAGGACTTAGGACCTGCAGCCCGCCACGCCTGAGCCTCCCACCCCCTCCATTGGCTCCTGTGCGGCCCGAGCCTCCCCAATGAACACCGCCCCCTGCTCCACAGCGCCCAGTTCCATCGACCACCCAAGGGCTGAGGAATGCGAGCGCACGGCGCGGGACTGGCAGGCAGCTCCACCTGCAGCCCCGGTGCCGGATCCACTGGGTGAAGCCAGCTGGGCTCCTGAGTCTGGTGGGGACTTGGAGAACCTTTATGTCTAGCTCAGGGATTGTAAATACACCAATCGGCACTCTGTATCTAGCTCAAGGTTTGTAAACACGCCAATCAGCACCCTGTATCTAGCTCAGGGTTTGTGAATGCACCAATGGACACTCTGTATCTAGCTACTCTAGTGGGGCCTTGGAGAACTTTTGTGTCAATACTCTATCTAACCTGATGGGAACGTGGAGAACCTTTGTATCTAGCTCAGGGATTGTAAACGCACCAATCAGCACCCTGTCAAAACAGACCACTAGGCTCTACCAATCAGCAGGATGTGGGTGGGACCAGATAAGAGAATAAAAGCAGGCTGCCCAAGCCAGCAGTGGCAACCCGCTCCGGTCCCCTTCCACACTGTGGAAGCTTTGTTCTTTTGCTCTTTGCAATAAATCCTGCTACTGCTCACTCTTTGGGTCCACGCTGCTTTTATGAGCTGTAACACTCATCACAGAGGTCTGCAGCTTCACTCCTGAAGCCAGAGAGACCACGAGCCCACCAGGAGGAACAAACAACTCCAGACGCACCGCCTTAAGAGCTGTAACACTCACCGCGAAGGTCTGCAGCTTCACTCCTGAGCCAGCGAGACCACGAACCCACCAGAAGGAAGAAACTCTGAACACATCCAAACATCAGAAGGAACAAACTCCAGACGCGCTGCCCTAAGAGCTGTAACACTCACCGCGAGGGTCCGCGGCTTCGTTCTTGAAGTCAGTGAGACCAAGAACCCACCAATTCTGGACACAGTAGCCTGCATGAATCCAGAGTGAAAATTATCTGGACTATCAAATGGAACATGGGTGGAGGCTGCACACCTGACAACGAACGGAGCAACAGAAGCCGTGGCCGCGCTTTTACCCAACACCAAAGTCGGCTCCTGTCCCTTTAGTCCACAGCTTCCTAAAACCAAGTGGCTCAGGGCCCGGGACACAGCAGTAATTTCTAAGTAACGTGAGAAAATGTTGAGATCTGTTGATAAAAGGAAGCCCAGAGCAGGCCCTCCAAGGTGGGCAAGAGCCTGGGTGTGCAGGCATGGACCATGGCAGTGGAAGTTGAGGGTCTCCCAGGGGCTGGACAGCTGTGCTGAACGGGGCCTGGGTGAGAGAGAGGCGCTCCTCCCCCCAGCAGGGAACCACAGCCAGAAACCAGATGGATCAGGGCCAGAGCCGGCCTTGCAGTCCATGTTCTCTGATCCTAAGAGAACCATATTTTGTAAATGTCAAAGCCACATTTTAAGCACACATGTGAACATGGGTAATTCACAGTCCATGACCACGAGGGCCCCCCGCCAGCTCGAAAGTGCAGACGTGAGTGGAGCTTCATCCCACGCTGGGAGGTCACAGGGCTGAGTGTGCACGGGAATGACAGAAGCACTAGCTGAGATCTGAGACATGGTACAGCACTCAGTCCACACAGTGCAGCACTCAGACACTCAGACCCCAGCCTTGAGTCGCAGAAAGGCCTGGACACTGCAGGTGCTGTCTCATCCCCAGCACGAGGCGGGAGGCTTCATCCCCTGCACGAGGCGGGAGGCTGCCAGCCTCTCAGGCTCTCTTCCTCATTTTTAGAATGGAGTCCGACCTGCCCAGCAGAGCGGTGTTTGGTGCCACAGAATGCAGCAAAGTGCCCTCGCTTACACCCAGCAGAACTTTAATAGCGGCACCAGTATGAGCAGAAGAATCACCAGGGAACTTGTTTATATTTTATACAAGTTGACTGTAAAACATAATCATGTCTCAGAGGAAATGATTAATTCCACCAGAGGACAGACACCAAGGCTGACCGCAACAGGCCAGTGCTACCTTCAAGCCCTAACTTTGGTGGAGACCCAAGCTCAGCTTCCCCAGCTGCGGCTGCACAGGCCCACACTCCAACAGGCCTGAGGAGCTTGTGTGGAAGCTGCAGGACTCCAGGGTGGATACCGTGGGGAAACGGATTCGTGGCGGAGCGGACGAGCTCAAAGGCTGTCTGCCGTGACTCTCCCTCCCACACCAACAATGCTGTTGATTAGAGTCACATGGGCGGCTCCTCCACTTCCGGAGCGAACACCCACCTGCAGCAGCAGACGCTGGACACCAGCCAGGGGCCGACTGTCCTCCACCCATCCGTGGCCTCGGCATAGCAGCCATCAGCTGGACAGGCTGTTAGTCCTATAGGAATCCTTCCTACCCTGGAAAGTGCACACAGTAGGTGCTCAATTCCTGCTTGGAAATAAATGCATGTTTTGTTTGCTTCTGTTCAAGAGCTATTTCATCATCACTGGAAGAGATTTTGTATGTTTGGTTTGGTTTTGTTGTTAAGGGCAAATGCAGAATTAACTTAGGAGAAAACACCGCAGAACCTCTTTCAGTGATGATAAAATAACTCTATAAAAATGTAAACACTGATTTAAAATACACAGTTGGGGTGGTGCTGAATGTACAAGGACACTTATACATCGCACCTCTCCCTTAGGGCAGACAGCACGCAGGGCACCTGCTTTCTGTCCAGGGAAGCAAGGCAGCTGCCTGTTACAGGTGCTGTGAAGTGTGTCTAATGGGCTTGATTATGGGCTCAAATTCCTCATGTTTGAAAAAACAAACACATTTTAAGAGTTCACTTTACATAATGAGTGAAGTTACTGTTAAAAATTCAAAATACAATCAATTTGAAACAGAGATAGATTTATTGTCTATAAAAATAAAACAGTCTAAAAGATTCTTACAGGCTAAATTTACTGGGACTAAGTCCTAATCTCTCAAAATTTAGTTTTCTATAACTATTTTGCATAAGAGACTTGCGGTTTTACCTATAGCTGAAGAAAATTAAGATAAGAAGCCTGGCTTGGTCTCCACCTTTTCTCTCAGTTCAGTCGAAGAGTGTCCTTCACAAGCTGGGTCCCACGTTTCTCTCGGTGTGAGCCTTGGTGTATCACAGGCTTCCGTGTCCAGGAGGTCACTGTCATGGCCTCGAGGCCTTGCACCTCCATTTAGCAGAGCTTTGGTTTCCTGTGTCTTTCCATACTGATGGGGTGATTCCAACGGAAATGCCGCCTGTATTCCCAGTTGGTGCTGGGGATGGAGCGTGGCACGGCCCCACCCACTGCTGCCTATGCTTCCGATTTAACCTCTATGAAGCTGGGTGACTGGCAGAATGGGCGCCATGTACATGGAGAACATTCTGAGCAATCATCCCGTTTTTGAGAAACACACATTGTGTTCAACAGTCCTCCAGGTCCTCTTCCAGGGATCAACCTTCATTTTAAAATCCAAATCCACCTTTCTAATGACATAACCATGTAGGTTTCCTCTAAATTGACAATAACCTAACAGGCTATCTCAAAGCCCATGGAATCAAAATCAATGGTTATAAACCAGTAGAATTTGGTATTGGTCAATAGAATGCCTTACATTCCAACTTTAATGCATTTTTGAAAGTTTTAATATGTTTTTGAAAGTTATCATTTAATCACATAATCCACAGCAAGGTTTTTTTTTTTCTTTTTTCCAGTGTAGTGAATGGTATTAAATGGTGGTCAAGAAATGTTTCCCACATAAAATCTGATCACTGAATACACGGCTGGTGTTAATGGGCCTCCGTGTGCCCTCAGATTGTGCCCTGCCCAGGTGTGCTAAGCTGCACACACCGTGGGCTGCACCTCCTGAGTCAAAGATGAGAAAGACCTGGTGTCACTCAAGAGCAGGACGAATCATCCCTGAGCATCTGCACTTTTCTACTTCATTCAGATCCCTGGGAACGAACGTCTCTGCAATGATTTCTTAGTCCAGACGGTGCTTAAATTCCACCCCAAAATGCAGACGTGAGTGGAGCTTTGTCCCACACTGGGAGGTCACAGGACTGAGTGTGCACAGGAATGACAGAAGCGCTGGCTCAAAGAGCCGCCCGTCAATGTTTCCTGCCAACCGTAAGCTACGGACTTTACAGAACCACAAAAGCAGTAAAAGCCGACTCTCAAGAGAGGACCGGACACAAGGATGCGCAATTCCACCTCCTGGCACTGCTTTTCTGCGGCTTACTTTACGACCGGTCAACGATGTGCAAAGAATTCTTAGGCTCCTTTCACAAAAGCATCCTGATTCTTTTCATACTCCTGCATACGTCTTTAAATATTTAATACTTTTGGGAGAAATGAGGACGGATAACACATAGATTACTAACAACTGCATTTAAAACGAGGATAAAAAGAACCAGCTGGCACATATTCTTGCACACCTTGTAATAAACACCGTGTAAATTACTTTATATGCTGCAGTGGTTTTAGCCCTCACAATCATCCTATGAAGAAAGTCCTGTTGTTATAATGTTAAAGATGAAGAAATCAAGGAGGATGTAGATTCACCAATTTTCCCAAGGTGACTCATAAGGCCAGAAGTGGTTAAGGCAGGGACACACATACACAAGTGAGCTTTATAAAGAACTCAGTCTCCGATTCACAACCTCAGTTCTTAACTAACAAAGAGCCTCTTCTGTACATTAAAGCCACGTGAATGGCCACTGCTTACACAGCTCAATGTTTTCCTGCCTAACACTGCATTTTTCCTATATATTTGTTTAGGTGTTAAACACAACTGCACCTGCTGGAGGGGTTCCGTGAACTCCAGGAACGTAACCACTCTTGTGACCTGAGTTATCACGGCTTCCATTCTTTCTCCTGGGATGGAAACGCTGCGTCTGAAATGAGCCATAGAGTGAGGCGAGCCCCGATTCAGAACACCCAGGCAAGGCCTGCAGACTGGACCCAGTCCAGGTAAACATAAAAATCTCTACAACAGGAAACCATTCAGCCAGGAGGATAGTTTTGCGTTTCCAGATAAGACTGAGAATGAGGTGAGGGGAACATGGAATGCATTCTGCAGATGCCGCCGAGGGTTCTGTCTGTACCTCCTCCTCCCACGCTGGGCACGCGGCATCAGAGAGGCCTTGGGACACTCCAGGTGAGGGGCCTGGGAGGCAGAGCATGGGGAGATTTGGTCTCTGAGGTAAGCACAGAGCAGGTAACAGGAGGGGTGGCCATGCAGCAGAGGAGGCGAGAGGGGGATGAGGAGGCTGGGAAGCCAGGTCAAAGGTCAAGGGTCAGGTGGCATCCCCAGGACTGTGCTCCAGGCAGAGGCACAGATAGAAGAAAAAATGAAATTAAATCCAGTTTTTGAAGAGTGTGACTTCCATAGTAATGGAAAAGTTTGGCCTAATTCCTAAAAGTGGAGTGTCCCTAGCAACTCCCATCCCCAAGTCTGGGGTCAAATTCCCAGTGGATTGAACGTGGCTCCCCAAACGTTCAGTGTTGAAATCCTAGCCCCCGAGGCAGTCGTGTTGGAAGGTGGGGCCTTTGAGAGGTGATGAGGTCCTGAGGGTGCAGCCTGACGGGGTCTGTGCCCTTACAGAAGAGGCCGCAGGGAGACCCTCACCCCTTCCTCCACAGGGAGACACAGAGAGAAGGTGCCATCTGCAATGCAGGACAGGCCCTCACCAGACTGACCACCTGACCCTGCACTTGCAGCCTTCAGAGCTCGAGGGACGCATGCCTGCTGCATAAGGCCACCCATCTGTGGAATTGGGCTACGGCCTCCAGAGCTCGAGGGACGCATGTCTGCTGCATAAGGCCACCCATCTGTGTGCTGCGTAAGGCCACCCATCTGTGGAACTAAGGTCACCCATCTGTGGAACTGGGCTATGGCAGCCCACACTGACTAAAACGAGGTCTTCAGAGCCAGGTTAGTGTGCTGAGGTCATGTACACCCTGAAGGTCTCGTGCCTTTAAAACCTTCTCCATCCACTCTTTCCACCAGACACGCCTGGCTCCTCCCTCTTTGGGGATTAATTTGGCCCAATACGAATGATGTCACTGATAGTTCTCCCCTTTCAGCATCAGGAAAACTCAGTGACTTTGGTTCATGTTTAGTTGTAATGGGGAGGGTGCCAGGAAATTGAGGTGAGGGGTTCATGGTAAAATGACTCTGGCCACAGCTGTGGTTGTGGGGCTAGGAGCACAGGGATCCCAGGATGCACTGAGGAATCCGACGCAGTTGGCAGAGACACAAGATCAGTGCCCGGGCTGCAGGCAGGACAGGGAGACGCCCTCCATCACTGCGCTGCTTTCCTCTACAGCGATTCAGCACCTCCACGGCAGGACAGGGAGACGCCCTCCATCACTGCGCCGCCTTCCTCTACAGCGATCCAGCACCTCCAGCAGCAGGCAGGACAGGGAGACGCACTCCATCACTGCACCACTTTCCTCTACAGCGATCCAGCACCTCCAGCAGCAGGCAGGACAGGGAGACGCCCTCCATCACTGCACCACTTTCCTCTACAGCGATCCAGCACCTCCAGCAGCAGGCAGGACAGGGAGACGCCCTCCATCACTGCACCGCTTTCCTCTACAGCGATCCAGCACCTCCAGCAGCAGGCAGGACAGGGAGACGCCCTCCATCACTGCACCACTTTCCTCTACAGCGATCCAGCACCTCCAGCAGCAGGCAGGACAGGGAGACGCCCTCCATCACTGCACCACTTTCCTCTACAGCGATCCAGCACCTCCACCAGCAGGCAGGACAGGGAGACGCCCTCCATCACTGCACCGCTTTCCTCTACAGCGATCCAGCACCTCCAGCAGCAGGCAGGACAGGGAGACGCCCTCCATCACTGCACCGCTTTCCTCTACAGCGATCCAGCACCTCCAGCAGCAGGCAGGACAGGGAGACGCCCTCCATCACTGCACCACTTTCCTCTACAGCGATCCAGCACCTCCAGCAGCAGGCAGGACAGGGAGACGCACTCCATCACTGCACCACTTTCCTCTACAGCGATCCAGCACCTCCACCAGCAGGCAGGACAGGGAGACGCCCTCCATCACTGCACCGCTTTCCTCTACAGCGATCCAGCACCTCCAGCAGCAGGCAGGACAGGGAGACGCCCTCCATCACTGCACCGCTTTCCTCTACAGCGATCCAGCACCTCCAGCAGCAGGCAGGACAGGGAGACGCCCTCCATCACTGCACCACTTTCCTCTACAGCGATCCAGCACCTCCAGCTTAAGAAGCCCCTCCTGTTCATTTTCATCACAAACTCTGATAGCCTATGAAATCTCCACACACAAAGGAAAGAAAAATCAAATTAATGTTTAAAGCAGACAACTTGTTACGAATTTATCTTGCTTGGATACGAAGAAAAGATCTTAATGTCCAAAAGCGGAGACTTTGCAGCATCTTTTCATAGACAGGGCGCTAATCCCTTACAGTCAAAATGAAAAAAAACGAATAATCCTCAGAGGTGAAAAGAAAAGATCCTCGACTGAGAGGCTGCAGAGGGAGAAAAAGAGAGACAAAGACAGAGATAGGCAGAGACAGAGAGAGACAGAGAGAGACAGA